>NC_000002.12:199610830-199913860 GCF_000001405.40 Homo sapiens | reverse complement strand
CTTTAAAAACACTTAGGAGGTGCTCAATAAATGTAATCATTATCATCATCATTATTTTAGGAATGCATGCAGTAATTGTTCCACAAAATTATTCTGGCAGTCATAGTCGGAAATGTCACATGTTATTTTCCCAATCTGAGCCACAAGGGCACCAAGTAAGTAAGTGGCTTTTTTTTCTCTTAAATCTAAGTAGTAGTTGTTTTTTTCTTTATTCTCTTTTTTTTTCTCCAGTTTTTATTAGCAGTCAACTAAACCAGTCAATTATTTTGAGGGCAAAAGAAAATAATACATATTATAAAAATATATATATATTTTATATATATTATATAGTATATTTTATATATAGTATAATATATATTTTATATAATATAATATATATTTTATATAATATATATTTTATATAATAGAATATATATTTTATATAATATATATTTTATATAATAGAATATATATTATATATAATATATGTTATTATATATAATATATATCATAATAGAATATATTATATATAATATATATTATAATAGAATATATATTATATATAATATATATTATAATAGAATATATATTATATAATAGAATATATATTCTATAGAATATATTTTATATAATATATATTATATATATTATAATATATATTATATATAATATATTATATATTATATATAATATATATAATTTTATATATAATATATATATAAAATAATATATATTATTTTCTTTTGCCCTCAAAATAACTGGTTTAGTTGACTGCTAATAAAAACTGGAAAAAAAAAGAGAATATCTATATCTATATCTATATATCTATATCTATATCTTAATCATTATCTGACTCAGAGCACAGTTTCTAAGTATGTCATTTTAAGGCACCAATTTTGAAAATAAACTAATGTAGTTTCATAGTATAAGAAACACATGTAGGCCGGGCGCGGTGGCTCACACCTATAATCCCAGCACTTTCAGAGGCCAAGGTGGGCAGATCACTTGAAGTCAGAAGTTCGAGACCAGCCTGTCCAACATGGTGGAACCCCATCTCTACTAAAAATACAAAAATTAGCTCAGTGTGGTAGCGCATGCCTGTAATCCCAGCTACTCGGGAGGCTGAGGCACGAGAATCACTTGAGCCCGGGAGGCGGAGGTTGCAGTGAGTCGAGACTGCGCCACTGCACTCCAGCCTGGGCAACTAAGCAAGACTCCGTCTCAAAAAAACAAAAAAGAGAAACATACCTAGCTATAGTCTAGCTTTACCTGTCTAGAACTTTCTATGATGATGGATTATTTTCTATGATAATGCTATATATCTGTGCTGTCCAATACAGCACACGCAAGCCATCTGTAGCTACTGAGCACTTGAAATGCAGCTAATATGAATAACTGGATTTTTAGTTTTATTTAATTTTAATTAATTCAGATAGCCATATATGGCTAATGGCTACCATATTAGATAATGCAACGTTAGATTAAGACCCAGTTTTCAGGGCAACATAACCACGGATATTTACCTGCAGCTATAAAATAATAAACATAACATGCAAAAGCAAAAGTACAAAAGAGGTGAGCATCAAAACATTGACATGCTTAATAATTATTGTCCCTTTTCTTCCACCCATCCCCACTCTTTTTTAGGGTTACTGGATGTCATACCTTTGTAATGTTTGTTTGGTTTTTAATTACTGCCACCGTTTTCTAAACACTACGTGCTAACTTAATTTGAAAGCCATCGCTCTGTCCCCTGCCCAACACACACACACGGTCCTCTGAGAAACCAAATTATAGAATAAATATACAAGATGCGTGTCACTCCCTGTCTCAAATTCCGCCTCTTGGAAACCTGGACCGACAGCTGGCTCTTTCGAGATCGTAGCCCTCGTCGGACACCTTCCCCATGGGGTTCTATGGACAAAGGGCGCCAAGGGCGTGGAAGGCACGGTTTTGGATTTCGTGGAGTAGAGGAAGAGCCACCCTCAGTGAATGTGTGGGTGTGTTCAGGCAAGGAAAGGAACCAGGCAGCAGCCACGAGGGAAGAATCAGTGACCGCGTACGTATACACGAGAGGAAGGAACAGATACCCAGGCAGGCCCCGAGTTACCTGCACATCCCCAGGGAAATAGAGGACGTGATGCTGGGGCGGCGGCTGCGGCTCCTCCTTCGCTGGGTCCCCGGGGAGGTCCTGCCGCTCCAGTCCCTCCCCGGCCGCCGCCAACAGGAGCAATTCGTTGCTGCGCTGCGGATCGGCTCCAGGCACGGTGGAAAGCTGCAGGCACTGACGGCGGCGCACCTCGGCCGAGAGGGAGCATCGCGCGCCGCCGCTGCCGCCCGGGTTCATGGTTCTGGCCTGAGAGCAGGACGAGGCGTTTCCGATTCCGAGCTGCGGCAGCAGGAGCAGCAACGGCGGCGACCGCAGGAGCCTGAACCCCCACATGGGTCGCCGCCGCGAGAGCGGTTCGGAGGTGGAGGGTGGCGGAGGGGTTCCTGAGGGAGGGACTTCAGCAGGCGGCTCAGCCGGCGGCTCAACGGTCGGCGGCCGCGGCCCGGCCGGGAGCCGGCGCTGAGGCGACGACGTCAGAGGCCGACGTCCGCGCGCAGCGTGCGTAAGGAAAGGAAGGGAGGGGTGTGGGCGAAATCGGTCTTGGGATCCCGGAGAAGACGGTGGGCGTGGCTTGAGGAAGGGCGTTTGTGATTGGTGGGTTCTGCCGCGGCCGGGAAGTTCGAACAGAAGTCTGGGGAAGAGCCGGCGAAGAGCAAAGAGATAATACAGTACTCCCAGCTATAGCAAGCGGCAGTTATGGAGCATGCGCAGCAGCAGGGGCGGCCGCAGGTCGCCGTTCAATAATACGTAATGTATAGACTTTTGAGTATACGAAGCTCCCTGTTTCTCTAGGTTCACCTGAGATTTATCTGGTCTTTCAGGGCTTAAAAGGGAGACATTCCCAAAGAAGATTCCGTGGGAAGTCTCCTACAAGCCCCGAAGGAAGGGAATCTCTCTCCTCATACCTTGAGTTTCCTGAGTACAATTATTATAGATATACGAAGATCTCTGTGCTCATGGAGAATTTGTGGTTAGATATGAAGCTAATTCATCTCTGTTTGGGAACAGGGTACATGATCTAGGACAGGAAAAAAACGGGGCGAGGCAGTACGCTTTACTTGGTGTTTTGCTATTTGGAGGTTTTCAAAAACTAAACAGTGTAGGAAAGTCATGTGTGTCCAGCAACTATCTGTGGCCAGTTGAGTAGGAATAAGATTTGGCGAAATGTATGCTCAGGCCTGTACTCCCAGCACTGTGGGAGGCCGAGGCGGAGGATCACTTGAGTCCAGCAGTTTGAAACCAGCCTGGGCAACATAGGGAGGCCTTGTCTCTACTAAATTTTTTTTTTTAATTAGCCGGGCGTGGTGGTGCATGCCTATAGTCCAAGCTACTGGGAGGGCTGAGATGGGAGATTGGATCGCTTGAGCCCAGGAGTTGTATGCTGCAATGAGTTGTGATCCCACCACTGCACTCCAGCCTGGGCAACAGAAGCAGACCCTGTCTCAAAAAATAAACCAAAAACAAACAAAACAGGGAAATGTGTGCGAGCGAGGATGAGATCCAAGTACTTGTGAGACAAAGCACTGTAAAGAGAATAATTAATGAAAATTACAAAAAACTACAGCCAACATTTGTTGAGGGTTTACTATAGGCCAGAAATCTAAGCACTTTATATATAATTGTTCGGAGTTTATATATGTGTATTTAAGCACACATACTGTTTTCTTTGGTCTACATATGCAAATAATAACAAATGGCTTGGAGTAGGAACATAAATGAGCAAATGATAAAATATGATTTATATATATGTATAGACTTGGTGACTTAGTATGCTAACCTACTCTGGTCTAAATTGTTGCATTCCATCTGACATCAAAATATTGTTATCAATCAAAAATTATTCAATTAATTACTAAGGAAATCTGCCGCTTTCTAAAATAACTGGTTAAAAACAAGTAGAGGTTAGTTATACAATAATTAGTATATAATGACATTTAGGCAACCTGACGTCACTCTGTTTTGCCAATTGCAAACATGTTACTTTCCATTGTTAGATAGAGGATTGCTGAAATGTTATCTAAAAGTCCAAACATGTACATGAATTGCAAATGCAGCTTTTGATTTGTGGTCTTGTTTTTAGCTTGACCTTATAATGAAATCTATTTTTATTTTTAAGTTTATTTTTTTAAGACAAGATCTTGCTTTGTCACCCAGGCTGGAGTGCAGTGGCACAATCTCGGCTCACTGCAATCTCTGCCCCCCAGATTCAAGCGATTCACTTGCCTCAGCCTCCCTAGTAGCTGAGATCACAGGCATGTGCCACCACGCCCGGCTAATTTTTGTATTTTTTTAATAGAGACAGGGTTTCTCCATGTTGACCATGCTGGTTGCGAACTCCTTACTTCAGGTGATCTACCCGCCTCGGCCTCCCAAAGTGCTGGGATTACAGGCAGGAGCCACCATGCCCTGCCTTAATGAAATCTATTCTTATTGAAGAGAGTGGAGAATGTGTTTTATAAGGAAAATTGTAGCAAATATTAAATGCCACAAAGTTGTCTCAGTATCGCTAAGATAATTAAGGTCTTTGAGAAATACAAGTAAGAATTTAAAGAGTAGAGTAAAGAAACAGACTAAAGTAAGCACAAATGTTTCCTTACAGTCAAGGGATTTGTACAGCCCTGTAGGAGACACCTCCAGAGAAAGTAACAGCTCTCAATTGATTAGCTGAGGTATGTATGTCATTTATGGCAAGTCATTGCCGTTGCAATTCCTTCTCACAGGTCCCCTTGATATTACTGTAATACCTGTTTTCTGTCTCCATCCCCTCTGTCTTCTAGGAGACCGATTTTGTAAATCACTACTTTTCTAACAACACTGGCACAGATGGCCAAGCATTCTCCCTTTTCTCAGAGCTGGTTTTCCATCCCGGAAAGAGGTCTTACATATACAAAGTTACTCTAATCAGTTGTGTGAGTTTTCTCTTCTCTAACTGATAGGGTTCTGCACAGGGATTATATTAATGCTTATAGTGTCCAAAAGGCTATAGCTCACCTCTGGACTCTTGAGAGTTCTCAAGGGATCCTGCTGAGCTCTCAGACCTTTTTAATGCTATTCAATATAATAGAAAAGTTGCAAAATTGGAAGGAATCTGAGAAAGGCTAATTTACAATGGAAAGGACAGCATTAAAAGGCACAAACTCCAATATCTACAGGGGCCAGGTCTATATTATAAATAGTAAAATTGGCCACAAATAAACAATAGGGAATGTAAACACTGGCAAACTAGAGAGATGTCATATTTGAAGAAGGCAGTCACTATTCACTGCTAGCCAGTTGTAAAATGAAGGCAACATTTTGCCAAACCTTCAAACTTGTTAAGAGATTTCTCGACACAAATCAGATACAGATTTTTATGTTTCATTTGCCAACTTGTAAATGTTGACAACTAATTAAATTTGCTTGTAAAACACCGTATTAAATTAAATGCACACATAGGCCATATTTGGCCTAGGGGCCACAAATGTGCAGCTTCTCTACTGAAAGGTGAAATGGGTGGATACAGGAAGGCAGGAGATGGGGGAAAAAAATAGACAAGACAAAAAAGTCCGGGCACAGTGGCTCACACCTGTAATCTCAGCACTTTGGGAGGCCGAGGCAGGCGGATCACTTGAGGTCAGGAGTTCGAGACCAGCCTGGCCAACATGGTGAAACCCTGTCTCTACTAAAAATACAAAAATTAGCCAAACATGGTGGTGGGCACCTGTAATCCCAGCTACTCGGGAGGCTGAGGCAGGAGAATCACTTGAACCCGGGAGGCGGAGGTTGCAGTGAGCCAAAATTGAGCCACTGAACTCTATCCTGGGCAACACCGTAAGAGTCTGTCTTTAAAAAAAAAAAAAAAAAAGCGGGGGGGTGGGGGTGGGCGAGCAGCAAAAGCCCTTAAATGTGGCTTTCTGTGAGCAGTTGAGAGGGAGAGGAGTGGGGAAATGATTTTGAGAAGTTCTGTGAGATTTTAATTGGATCCCATTTGATGTTCTTTAAGAGATTGAAAAGTTTTAGTTTTAAAAAATTATTCTTGGTTTTGAATAGGTATTTTTTTGTGTTTTAATAAGCTTGTTTGCCAAAACTGGGCCTTGAGAGGAACAGGCTTCATATGAGGTATGCCACTCTAGCATGTAATTTGGCCCCCAAAGTGCTTGATAAAATAAAAATTAGAGAATAGAGCCATTTGGGGATTTGAAAGCTTATTCTTTGGCTAGTTTCACCAGCTAAGCAACACCATGTACCCTGTTCCTGTGGTATATAATTTATTAGACACCTACTTCCTCAAAATGCAAATCACTACATGTCAAGACCTTACAGATTATCTTTACCACTCAATGAATCCTCAAATGCAATAATTAGCTAAAAATACTTGCATATATTGTACTTTACTCAATGTTAAAGGGTAGAAAAAATTGAATCAATTCAAAATACAGCAAATCCTTAACAAAATATTAACAAGCTGATATGGTTTGGCTCTGTGTCCTCACCTAAATCTCATCTCAAATTATAATCCCCACATGTCAAGGGAAGGAGGTGATTGGATCACAGGGGCGGTTCCTCCATGGTGTTCTTGTGATAGTGAGTGAGTTCTCACGAGATCTTATGGTTTTATAAGTGTTTGACAGTTCTTCCTTCACACACTTCTCTCACTTCTGCTGCCTTGTGAAGCAGGTGGCTGCTTTCCCTTCTGCCATGATTATAAGTTTCCTGAGCCCTCTGCAGCCATGCAGAACTATGAGTCAATTAAACCTCTTTCCTTTATAAATTACCCAGTCTTGTGTATTTATTTATAGCAGTGCAAGAATGGACTAATACACAAGCCAAATCCAGCAACATATGAAAAGAATTATACACCATAAAAATGTGGGATTATCCCAGGAATGCAAAGTTGGTTTTTAATCTCTGAAAATCTATTAACATTATATACCATATCAATATAATAAAAAACAAAAATGACATAATCATCTTAATGGGCACAGAAAAAGCATTTGACAAAATCTAACACTCATGATTAAAAACACTCAACAAACTAAGAGTTGAAGGGAACTTCCTCAGCCTAATAAAGGGCATTATGAAAAACCCAACTAACATACTTAACGATAAATGACTGAATGTTTTCCCCCTAAGAATAGGAAAAAAATAAAGATGTTTACTCTTGCTACTTCTAATCAATATCATCCTGGAAGTTCTACCCAAGGCAATTAGGCAAGAAAAAGAAATAAAAGCTGTGTAGATTGGGAAGGAAGAAGTAAAGCCATGCAGATGACATGATCTTGAATATAGAAAATCCTAAGGAATCCACTAAAAAATTATTATAAATAATACACAGGTTCAGCAGGATGCAAAATCAATACAACAGTCATGTTTGTATATGCTAGCAATAAAAATACAACAATTCCATTTACATTAGCATCAAAAGATACTTAGGAATAAATTTAAAGAAATGCAAAATTATATAGTGAAAGCTACAAAACATTATTCAAAGAAATTTGAAAAGACCTCCCATATTAAATGGGAGGAAATGGAAAGATCTCCCATATTCATGGATCAGAAGACTTATTGTTAAGATGACAGTTCTTTTCAAATTGATCTACAGATTCAATGCCATTTGTATCACAATTCCAGCTGCCTCTTTTGCAAAAATGTTTAAGCTGATCCTAAGATGTGTATGGAAATGCAAGGGACCCAGAATAGCCAAAACAATCTTGAAAAAAATGATCAAAGTTGGAGGGCTCACATTTCCCCATTTCAGTACTTACTACAGAGCTACAATAATCAAGACAGTGCATATTGGTATGAGGATAGGCATGTAAAACAGTAAAATAGGATCGAGAGTCTAGAAATAGACCCTAAATTTACGGTCAAATGTTTTTCAACAAAAGTGCCAAGATAATTCAATGGGGAAAAAAAGCCTTTTAACAAGTGGTACAGGGTCAAATGGATAGACACATGCAAAAAAAGGAGTTGGATCCCTTCTTTAAGCATTCAAAACTCAAAAGGGGGTGTAGAACTAAATATATGAGCTAAAACTATAAAATTTTTAGAAGAAAAAAATAGAAGTAAACCTTCATGACTTTAGCTTAGCCAAAGCCTTCTCATATATCGCACCAAAAGCACAAGATTAAAAAAAAAAAAGAGGCAAATCGCACTTTTATCTAATTAGAAAAAGTTTAGTGCTTCAAAGAACACCAATAGAAAATGAAAAGACAGCCCACAGAATGAGAGAAAATGTTTGGAAATAACATACTGGTTGTGTTAGTCCATTTTATATTGCTGTAAAGGAATACCAGAGATTGAGTAATTTATAAACAAAGGAGGAGGTTTATTTGGCTCACAGTTCTGCAGGTTATAAAAGAAGCATGGCACCATCATCTGCTTTTGGTGAGGCCTCAGGAAGATTTTACCCATGGCAGAAGAGAAAAGGAGCTGGCATGTCACATGGTAAGAGAGGTAGCAAGAGAGAAGGGAAGAGGTGCTAGGCTCTTTTTAACAACAAGATCTCATGTGAGCCTACAACCACTGATTACCATAGGGAGGGCACCAAGCTATTGGCTAGAGATTTGCTCCCATGACCCAAACACCTTCCATTAGGTCCCCCCTCCAGCATCGGGGAACACATCTCAACATGAGATTTGGAGGGGACAAACATCCAAACTATACCATTGGTTGAAGGATTTATATCCAAAGTATAAAAACCACTCTTACTACTCAGTAATAAAAAGACAACCCAATTTTTTAAAGGGGTAAAGGATCTGAATAGACATTTCACAGAAGATATACAAATAAACAATAAGCACATGAGAAGATGCTCAACACCATTAGCCACTAGGGAAATGCAAATGAAAACCATAAGAGATACCACGTTATATCTACCAGGATGGTCATAGTAAAAAGACAGATAATAAAAAATGTCAACAAAAGTTGGGTATTCATGCATTGCTCATAAGAATGGTGTAGTGGCTTTAGAAAGAAGTTTGATAGTTTTCAAAATGTTAAATGTAGATTTATCATGTGACCCAGCAATTCTACTCTTTGGTATATATTCAACAGAAATGAAAACATACAACCACACAGCAACTTGTTCATAAATGTTTATAACAGTACTATTTATAATAGCCAAAAAGTAAAAACAACACAAATGTGTATTAACTGATAAATGAATAAAAAAGTCATATATTCATACAATATATTGATATTATTGAATAATAAAATATTAATCAATAATAACAGAAAGGAATTAGTCCGGGCACAGTGGCTCATGCCTATAATACCAACACTTTGGGAGGCTGAGGCAGGAGGATTGCTTGAGCCCAGGAGTTCAAGACCAGCCTGGGCGACATAGTGAGACACTGCCTCTATTTTTTTTAAGTAATTAAATACTGATCCAAGCTACGACATGGATGAACTATGAAAACATGCTAAGTGAAGGAAGCTAGTCGCAAAAGACTACATATTTTATGAGTCCATTTATATAAGTGCTCTAAAAATTGAGTATCTATAGATTCAGAAGTTAGATTAGTGATTACATAGGGATGGGGAGAAGAGGAACTAATTAAAACCTGGTCATTAAGTCCACTCAAGGGGAGAAGAATTAGCCTCTACCTTTTGAAGAGGCTCTACCTCTTGAGGGGAAGAGTACCAAACTCTTGTAGACATATTTTAAAACAACCATACCCAAGCTCACTCTAGACCCATCAGAATTCAGAGAACTTTGAATTTAAGCACAAGGTGAATAAAAAGAAATAAGGTACGGCTATTCACAGTGGCTCACGCCTGTAATCCCAGCACTTTGGGAGGCCGAGGTGGGTGGATCACGAGGTCAGGAGTTCGAGACCAGCCTGACCGACATGGTGAAACCCCATGTCTCTACTAAAAATACAAAAAAAAAAATTAGCCGGGTGTGGTGGTGCGCTCCTGTAATCCCAGCTACTTGGGAGGCTGAGGCAGGAGAATCGCTTGAACCCAGGAGGCAGAGGTTGCAGTGAGCTGAGATCACGCCATTGCACTCCAGTCTGGGCGACAAGAGAGAGACTGTCTCAAAAAAAAAAAAAAAAGAAAGAAAGAAGGTAGACTTAGCTAAGACTAGATTATTGTCAAGCCCAACAGAGCTTAAAGGTTAAAAAAATGATTGTATGAGACTAAACATAACCTTTATCTTGAAAAACCTGGGGAGCCACTGAATAATTTTAAATAGGGAAACTCATTATCAGATCTGCACTTTAGAAAGATCACTGTTACAGCAGTATGGAGAAGAAATTGAAGGAGGCAGAAATGCAGTCAAGGGAAGCCAGTTGGACCGCTACTTCAGTACTCCATATATGTCTGTTATCTATTGTCACAATAATGCTGTATATTTAACAAACCAATCTCAAATTCAGTGGCATAAAACAATAGTATTTATCATTGCTCATGAACCTATTAGTCAGCTGGGCAGTTCTGCTGATCTGGCCCAGTATCAACTGATCTTGGCTAATCCCTTTATTCAGCTGACAGAATGGCCAGGGGCTGGCTTATTTATTATAGCTTCACTTGCATGTCTGGTGACTGGCTAGCTATTAGCTAAGGCAACAAAGGTAACTAGACTATGTATCACTTATTATCCAGAAGAGTAGTCTGGGCTTATTTTCATGATGGCAGTGCCTAGGAGAATGAGCAACAGTGAAGCCAAGACTTAGAACTTGCATGTTATCCAGCTGCTGCATTCTATTAACCAGAGCAAGAAATAAGGCCAGCTCAATTCACGGAGTGAAGAAATAGATTCCGCCGCTTAATGGGAGAAACTGCAAAGTCACATTGCATAGGACATGGATATAGAAAGGGTTGAAGAATTGTAGCCATTTTTAGAATCTACCACAGTCCACTCTCTGGCCACAATTATTCACATCCCTCCTTATGATCCCTCTTCCTACTCCAAAATATGATATCATGGCATTTGAGAAAACAGCAGAAGCAGGAAGGTCACTCTCATCTTCCCCCTCATTTTTCTTTCCTGGAGCAGCCATAAAACTTAATTTCCTGACCTTCCCCTGAAGAAGATCATATGACTCTCTTGTCAGAGGTTCCTTTCCTATTTTCGGAGGAAAGGAACATCCTTATCTCTGAAGGCACAGGGTCACAGAGAAGGATCTGAACAAACAAGCCTTGCTAAGTTCCCTCCAGTTTATTACTGTTAGGTCACATCACCTTTCTCCATACTTCTCAGCTATCCACTTCTTCATCAAACATAGCATAAAATTATACAAACTTCCCTGTTTATTTGAGTCTACATTTCTGAAAGCTCCTGTGTCATGTTAAACTTATATTAAAGAAATTTGTATGCTTTTCTCCTATTGATCTTTCTTTTGTTATAGGGGCCTCAGCCATGAATCTGGTGATTGATGAGAAAATAAATGTCTTTTCCCATACACTCACATACAAATACATTCACTTCTACCGCAAGACACCCTAATTCTCGTCCAGTCATGGTTTCATACTTCAGAATTTCATGTTCTGTATCAGGTACCAATGTGGCAGCACGTCCTGATATGCAAATCTATAAAGTGAAAAAGGTTACCTGTCCCTCATACACTCAATATTTAGTGGTGAAATAAGGAGTGGAAAATCACATAAATACTTCCATTCAAAAAGAGAAAAGTTAGCACACTTCAGTCCTTGGTTCCGAGCAGTTTTGAAATTCTTCTAGACACATGTTATCAGATCCCTCTATTCCTGGGAAAGGGAATATTCCTTGATTGGGGCCCAGCTTAGGTCTCTGGGAGTGGCTCTGTATTCCATTGTGTCCTGTGAGTTTTGGCTCTAGATTCTGAGCAATATATTATGAGACACCTTTTCTTCTCCATCGTCCTTTGGATACATCTTAAGTAGCTCATGTTGGCAGCTGACTAACTTTCTTAACCTGCTTTCTGCCAATGGCAAATTAGGGATCCAGAGGTCTTTTTGCATATTCGAATACTCTCAGTCCTTTTAAGGGCATGCTAATAGCTTTTTTACCTATAAAATTTACTTAAAAATTGTGTGTGCTATGTATTTGATTATAGTCTATGTCATGCTCCAAAGCTCACAATCATAATTGTTTTTTTGGTTTTGGGGTTTTTTTTTGAGACAGGGTCTCACTTTTTTGCCAAGGCTGGAGTGCAGTGGCACAATCACGGCTTACTACAGCTTTCACCTGTGAGGCTCAAGCAATCCTCCCACCTCAGCCTCCCAAATAGCTAGGACCACAGGCATGCACCACACTCAGCTAAATTTTTTAAATTTTTTTGTAGAGACAGAGTCTCCCTCTGTTGCCCGGGCTGGTCTCAAACTCCTGGGCTCAAGTGACCCTCCCACCTTAGCCTCCCAATGTGCTGGGATTACAGGCATGAGCCACTGTTTCCAGCCTCCATAATTGTTTTTAAGACATGCCTCTCACCAGACATGGTGGTGTGTGCCTATAGTCCCAGCTGCTCTGGATGCTGAGGCAGGAGGATCACTTGAGTTCAAGAGTTCTGGACTGTAATGTGCTATGTCAATTTTGTGTCTGCACTAACTTCAGCATCAATATGGTAACCTCCAAGGAGCAGAGGACCACCAGGTTGCCTAAGGAGGGGTAAACCAATCCAGGTCAGAAACAGCAGGTCACAACTCCAGTGCTGATCAGTAACGGGATTGCACCTGTGAATAGCCGCTGCATTCCAGCTTGGGCAACATAGTGAGATCCCATCTCTTAAACAAATAATAATAATAAAGCATACTTCTGTATATAGAGATTTTTACTTTGGGAAAAGGTTTCTGTAAGACCATGACCCTAAAATTCCAAAACCCCTCTGCCCTGCTGATAAGGTCTAATAGTTATACTTTAGTTCTTTCAAAGACCTGTATGAAGGATCTTGTATTTATACCCTTGATCTTATCTGTGGCTACCAGGCTATATTTTAATTGGAGAGACTGGAGATAGAAAGTTTTATTTTCCAACATAAGAAGTCCTGGGCCCTTAATACTCCCTTTATATTTGGTTTGACTACTGGCCATTTTTAACTCTTGTCTCTTTCTTTCTGTATCTTTTCATACACAACTAGGAGCTGATACCATCAGCATTCTTACTGAAGAACTCCTTAGTGAAATAGGGAAGTTCATAAAATGCTTGTGAGAAGATGGAATAAATAGGAATTTCTGTATTCCTCCTGATAAGTACAACTAAAAACCCTGGACATTATTTATAAAACAAACTGAAGAAGACTCTGAAAGATAGAGAGGAGAAAGCAGACCACCTAGGGACCTCAGGACTCAAGGAACAAAATGGTAGTGATACCTTGGGTATTCTTTTTGCGTCATATATTGCAGAATTGGAGCTGAAGAAGCCAGCAACTCAGAAATGCCACTAGGCATAGACCAAAAACAGAAAGAAAAAGAAAATCCTCAAAAAGAGCTTGTAAGCCAGGCACAGTGGCTCCTGTAATCCCAGCACTTTGGGATGCTGAGGCGGGCAGATTGCTTGAGCTCAGGAGTTCAAGACCACCCTGGGCAACATTGTGAAATCATGTCTCTACCAAAAAAATTAAAAAATCAGTTGGGCATGGTGGCATACGTCTGTGGTCCCAGCTACTCGGGAGGCTGAGGTGGGCCTGGTGGGTGGAGGTAGCAGTGAGCTGAGATCGTGCCACTGCACTCTAGCCTGGGTGACAGAGTGAAACTCCATCTATAAAAAGGAACTAGGAAAGCTGGAAGCAGTGGCTCACTCCTGTAATCCCGGCATTTTGGGAGGTTGAGGCAGGGGGATTTACATTAGGGCTCACTGTTTGTATTAGGTTGGTGCCATTAAAAATGGCAAAGACCGCAATTACTTTTGCACCATCTAATATTTACATTCTATGGATTTTGACAAATGTGTACTGCCATGAATCCACCATTACAGTATCATACTGAATAGTTTCACTACACTAAATATCCCCTTTGTTCCACCTAGTCATTGCTCCCCTGGAGACCTCTGATCTTTTCACTGTCTCCATAGTTTACTTTCTCCAGGATGTCACGCAGATAGAATTAGGTAGTAACCAGCCTTTTCAGATTGGCTTCTTTCACTTAGCAATATGCATTTAAGTTTCCTTCATACCTTTTTGGCATGACAGCTCATTTTTTTATTGCTGAATAATATTCCATTGAATTTATGAATCAGAGTTAATGTATTCTTTCACTTATTGGAGGATATCTTGGTTGCCTCCAAGTTTTCAGCAATTATGAATAAAGCTGTTATAAGCATTTGTGTGCAGGCTTTTGTTTGAACATAAGTTTTTAGGTCGTCTGGGTAAATACCAAAAAGTGCAACTGCTGGATTGAATGGTAAAAGTATGTTTAGTTTTCTAAAAAACTCAAACTATCTTCCAAAATGGCTATACCATTTTGCATTCTCACCATCATTAAATGAAAGACTCTGTTGCTCTACATCCTTACCAACATTTGGTGTTGTGAATGTTTTGGATTTGGGCCATTCTAATAGGTGTGTGATAATAACTCATCGTTTCATTTTGTAATTCCCTGATGATGTATAATGTTGAGTGTCTTTTTATATGCTTATTTCCATGTGAATATTTTCTTTGGTGAGGTGTCTGCTTAGATCTTTGGTTTATTTGTTAATTGGGCTGTTTGTTTTCTCACTGCTTAGCTTTTAAGAGTTCTTTAATCATTTTGGATATCAGGCCTTTGTCAGACATATGTTTTGCAAATTTTTTTTCTAATCTGTAACTTGTCTTCTCTCTCTCTATATCTATCTCTATCTCTCTCTGTCTCTATGACTAGGTCTCACTTTGTTGCCCAGGCTGGTCTTGAACTGGGCCCAGGCAATCCTCCCACCTCAGCCCCCCAAAGTGCTGGTACAAGCGTGAGCCACCATGCTCAGCCTTTTTTATTCTCTTAACAGTGAATTTCACAAAGCAGAAGTTTTCATTATAAGGAAGTCCAACTATCAGTGTTTTCTCTTATGGATTGTGCTTTAAGTATTGTATCCAAAAAGACATCACCAAACCCAAGGTCACCTAGATTTTTCCCTGTTTTCTACTGGAACTTTTATAGCTTTTCATTTTACATTTAGATCTGTGATACATTTTGAGTTAGTTTTTATGAAAGATGTAAAATTTGTGTCTACATTTATTTTTTATTTTGCTTGTGGATGGACAGTTGTTTCAGCACCATTTGTTGAACTATCTTTGCTCCATTGTATTGCCCTTGCTCCTTTGTCAAAGATTAGTTGACTATATTTGAGTGGGTCTATTTCTGGGCTTTCTATTCTGTTTCATTGATCTAGTCAGTAGTCTTTTAATAATTTCGATCCTCCCAAAGTGCTGGGATTACAGGCGTGAGCCACCGTGCCCAGCCAAGTTTCCCTATTTATGAATGAATTCAGCATATAATTTGGTGGTGGTGCAAAGTAATGTTTCAAGATCTCAAACTCTCTAAACCTATTAACCTAAATAGTTACTTTCTCTTGCCAGTTTAAAGAGGTGCCCTTTCCTCTTCTACTGTATAAATTACCAAGACCCATCTTTCTCCTCATCTGCAACAGCCATCTTGCCAAGAGAGCCTCTGCTGCCCAAGGAGCTCTCCCAGGAGGTTCTGTCATATTACCAGAGGGTCTGATGCTACTAGAAGATAAACAGCCCCTTCTCACACTGCCAAAATTGGGAGAGATGTGCTTCCAAAATGAAAATTGGAATTTATTTATTCTTAGAAACAATGTTAAAAGATAGGTACTTAGTACATCATGTATTAAATGGCTTCTTTATGGTCTACTCTAGGAAAATAAGACTGTTTATGGCACTTTTATTACAAGTTCTAAACAAACTTCTCTTTGGAAAAATCTTGCAAATTAACTTGGGGGCTTCCTATATGTACTGGTTACCAAGGAGTGGGGAACAGTTCACCTCAGCAAGAAGGAATATTTTATTGCTGACATTGTTTAGAATTGATATCACATGATGATTATCATTGAAAAGCAGATCTATTTTTAGTCTGTTTTACTATTGTTTTTAAATTTTCTCCCACATAAGGCATCTTTGGTTGCCTGCTCCCAAGAGCTGATGATTTTACTCTCCCCACGGCCCCACTACTTTGTACACCACTGCTTATATGTGCATTAGAAGCTGGGAAGTGGAAATTAGAGTTCTGTTGTAAAAAAATAAAATAGGCCGGGCGTGGTGGCTCACACCTGTAATCCCAGCACTTTGGGAGGATGAGGCGGGCAGATCACGAGGTCAGGAGATGGAGACTATCCTGGCTAACACAGTGAAACCCCGTCTCTACTAAATATACAAGAAATTAGCTGGGCGTGGTGGCGGGCGCCTATAGTCCCAGCTACTCAGGAGGCTGAGGCAGGAGAATGGCGTGAACCCAGGAGGCAGAGCTTGCAGTGAGCCAATACTGCACCACTGCACTCCAGCCTGGGCAACAGAGCGAGACTCTGTCTCAAAAAAATAAAAAAATAATAAAAATAAAAATAAGATAAAATAAAATGAAGAATTTGGAAGGATAAAAGCCTGGCATGAATCTCTGTTCTCCATTTTACCAACAAGACAATTCAGGGCTAGTAACATCCTTTCTGAGCCCCAGCTTTCCCTTCACTAAAATAGAGTTAAATATCTATTTTTGTGAGCATTAAGTAATGTGATTTAAAGCATCTGACACTTAGCATATACTCTTAACTAAAATTGATTTTCTCCTGTAGTAAACATTTTCATATTTTCTGGTAGCTCAGGATGTTTTGAATATATTTGCTATGTTTAGGGAATTTCCAATCTTAATATAAGTGTTGCTTCCCCAAGGTAAGCTCTGAAAATTTTTCCAGACTCTCAAAGCTAGGGCCAGCACGCCTGCAGAAGACTGATTTGGAAGTTAGCAGCTTGAGAAAGGAAAAATTCTGCTTTGAAAACAATTTGCTGATAAAGGCATATGACATTTGGGATGGCAGTGCTTGCAAGGCCACAACTAGTGCAGTAGTGGCCTTGCTGGGCAGTGGGAGTGGCAGCAGTTACATTTAGTGTTTGGTAGGGCATTAATAAGTTGTGGCGGTGACTTTGTCATTGGACCAGTTTTATGGGATAGTTTTAAGCATTGTTCCTGGAAGCCTAATTCCATACCTGTTCCTCTAGCCTCCCATTGATTCTCTGAGTCTTCCCATCTCCTTTTAACAAATTCTTTTCTGCTCACTCAGCCAGAATTAGCTTCTGTTACTTACAACTGTGAGTCCTGACTGAAAACATATTTCTTCCTTTGAAGAACTGTTACCTGTAACAGGCTAAGAAGAATATTAAGGTAGAGGGAGTAATTATATAATTTATAATCACTGTAAACAAAGGTGCATAATGCTGGAAAACAAACTCTAGAAAAGTTTAGTGAACTATTATTGAGCAGAAATTGAAGAATGTATCTTTTAAGGAAATTATACATAATATGGGGATATTTTTGCCAAGTTTCTCTATTACTGTTGGAAATAGTTGGAGACCTTAGACGTTTTTTGTCCTCCAAAAGAAATTATCTTAAAACCAGTTTATACAAATACAAATGTATACAAATTTTCAATCCCTGGATATTGATTCTTTTGTTTCTGGGGTTTTTTTTGTTTGTTTTTTTTTATGCACCCTCTCTTGTCTGTCACCCAGGCTGGAGTGCAGTGGTACAATCTCAGCTCACTGCAACCTCCGCCTCTCGGGTTCATGCAATCCTCGTGCCTCAGGCTCCTGAGTAGCTGAGATTACAGGAATGCACCACCACCCCCAGCTAATTTTTGTATTTTTAGTAGAGATGGGGTTTCACCATGTGGGCCAAGCTGATCTTAAACTCCTGGCCTCAAGTGATCCGCCTACCTCAGCCCCCCAAAGTGCTGGGATTAAGACATGAGCCACTGTGGCAGCGGGCCAATATTGATTCTTTATAGCAGTCCCAAGTGAGTTTATCAAGTCAAAGCCAGAATCAAAATGAATCAGGCATTATATAGCATATTAAATTTCTAGAGCTCAGCTCAGCTCCCCTAATCTCTTAGCAGCAACAAGCAGAGTGGCAGCTCTCTCTCATTGCAGTAGGGAAATAACAAAGCGAGAGTAAAACTGCTGTTGCAAAATGAAGCACATCACCACATTTCCATCTAATGCGTTATACTTCATGAGTCTCCCAGGAGCCAGAAAAACACAACAAAGTCTTTAAAAGTGAATCCAGATGTCGGCCATCACCATAGCAGTGCTTTAATTATCAAAAAACAAATAACTCCTTAGGTACAGTCTAAGCAGGTGTTTGTTCACAGAAAACAGAATAGCTGAAGAAACAGCTGTGGCATTATATCTGCTTCAAGACTAGGGAAGAAAATTACAATCTAAATGACAGAGAGACTACCCAGGGAGAGCATAGAAAAATCACAATTATTAGAATTTTGCAAGTATTAACCTATATGACATAATGACTGATTAATATTAATTACTCCATTTTACAGATGGTAAAACTAAGTGCCTTGTATTATAGTCATGCCTCATTCAAAACCTGTCAGTCTTTGACAAGTTCACTACATGATGAATTTATTTTACAAGATCCTTTATGCATATCATATAGCATGGGCTTATTTTTAAAATATATATATATATTTTAACACAAATAATTTTTGTTTTATGAAACTTAGAAAATAAAAATTAGCAAAAAGGAAACCTTTAAACCATCTCTAATAACTGCTAACTTTTTAGATGAGAGGATTTTACATCTGGATCTATGGTTAGGCTTCACAGGATCTGTGAACCTCTGAACTAACTAAAAAATTACAGTATGTTTTTTCCTGGGGTGAGACTGTATATACCTTTCATCAGGTTCTCAAGGGTCTATCATAAAAATTAATAACTCTCCATTCTCTAGATTTTATATGTTTGACTAGAAGACCAAAGATTCATTACAGCTTATTAGTCGCAGCTTGAGAAGGAAGATGGCCTTTGTCTAAATGTTAAATGGGCCCAAATAAATAGTAATCTCTAAAATTTGGCTTAGCTTTTGTACAGCAATCTTTCAAAATTACTGAATATTAGGAAAATATTTCCTTTCTTCTTTAAGATTTGTACTTTTTGTTTCTGTGCATGTTTTTGTATGTGCAATCTCACAATTACCTGATGGACAAGAAGAATAAACAGATGCTTTTACAGCTCGCCTTGGCGGGAAGATCTGGCACAAATGAAGTATCTATAAGGAGCAGCAGAGTCAAGGTGGTGATCCTGTGGATGAATAACTGAAACCTGATATACTTGACAGCAGAAAATATAAAGCAAATTGAAAAGGAGAGAGTGTGGAGATAAATAAGAAAATGAAAGAACTGATAAAGTCACTTGGATTAAAAAACCTGGGAGTAAGGGCTTTGTTTATGATTGAACTTAAGAGAGAATTGAGGGACCACCTACCTTTGATGTTAACGAGAAAGTAAAGAGGAAACATATTTAGAGATACCCTTTGGTGAAAAACAGAAATGGATGTGTCATTTGATGCATCACATTATTTATTCAACAAACTCTTAGTGAGAACTTACTGTGTATGAAAGACTGGACTGAAACATATATAAGAAATAATTTTTGGCCCAAGGAATTTATAGTATAATTGAGGAAACAAATACAAATCACTTCTGCAAAGTAGCAGAGACACAGATGAGGAATTGTAATGTTTGTAAAATCAAAGTGGTGGGAGTAGTCAAAAAAGTGTTTACAGAATGGTATTCAAAATGGGCCTGAAGGCAGAAATCAGACTGGTTGTTACCTGGAAAACAAGGAGAGAAAGGACAAGGCAGGAGAAGAGAACAAGTACAAAGGCATGTGGGGGTAGGAAGGCATGGCATGGGTAGAAAATGCCAGTTAAATTGACATTGTGGGAAAATAACGAGTTTAGCGTATGGGGGCATAGCAAATAATGACTCTGGTTTCGGCAAAACCCCAGGGGAAAGAAAATGAGATCCTGAACTATGGCAGTAACAGAGGGGAGTGGGAAAAGAGGATTAACTAGAGAAATATTTAGAAACTAAGAATCTCAGGATTTAGTACTTCTTGGGGAAGCCATCGTGAATGCTGGCTCTCAAGCTGCATTATCAACAAACAAAAATATTGATACCTTAAAGTTAAAGTCCCACCCTCCTTTTAGAGACTGTAAGACATAGTTCTATCTTGTCTCACATCTCTACCTCTGTTAATCTCCATTTGGGCCAAGCATCCTCAACATGCCTATTCTCATATTCCTCCAATTACAACCTCCAGGGTCTTCATGTTGCAGAACTCACGGAGTTGGATTCTATGTGAATTGTAAATCGGGTACAAGGTGCATAATGCCCTATTTACCTTTTCCTTAGCTTCCAAATTCTTTTATCATGATCTCCAAAATGCCACCCAGCATGTCTAACTCTGCGATCAACAAAACACCGTATGACCTCAACCTCTTTCCTGAGGTTTCTTGCATTAATGGAAGTTGCCCTGAGCTCTGATGTCCTTGCTTCTCTTGCAGCCCTCCCACGTCGAAGCGGTTTTTTCCTTCACCTTTTTTTTAAGTATTTTAAAATTTATTTTCATGCCTTTAACACCTTATGAATTTGTGTGAATCATTCAAGATTACATCTGCCTTCCTTTCAAACTAGCTATGAGATATTTGATTCACCTTGACAAACTGTTCATTCTACACAACTGGCAATCTCCACAGTTCATTCTCTCAGTTGGGTTGATTCCAACCTCCTCAGAAAAGGGTATCAATGGAATAAGGGTTTTTAATTTTTAACTTTTTTTTCTTTTTTTTTGAGACAGAGTCTCACTCTGTCACCCAGACTGGAGTGCAATGGCTTGATCTCGGTTTACTGCAACCTCCACCTCCCAGGTTCAAGTGATTCTCCTGCCTCAGCCTCCCGAGTAGCTGGGATTACAGGCACCCACCACTATACCCAGCTAATTTTTGTATTTTTAGTAGAGATGGGGTTTCACCATGTTGGCCAGGCTGGTCTTGAATTCCTGACCTCAGGTGATCCACATGCCTCAGCCTCCCAAAGTGCTGGGATTACAGGTGTGAGCCAACACGCCTAGCCCAATTTTTTATTTTTTATTATACTTTAAGTTCTGGGATACATGTGCAGAACGTGCAGGTTTGTTACCTAGGTATACACATACCATTGTGATTTGCTGCACCCATCAACCCGTCATCTACAGTAGCTATTTCTCCTAATGCTAGCCCTCCTCTAGTCCCCAAACCCCCAACAGGCCCTGGTGTGTGATGGTCCCCTCCGTGTCCATGTGTTCTCATTGTTCAACTCCCACTTATGAGTGAGAACATGCAGTGTTTGGTTTTCTATTCCTGTGTCAGTTTGTGAGAATGATGGTTTCCAGCTTCATCCATGTCCTTGCAAAGGACATGAACTCTTCCTTTGTTATGGCTGCATAGTATTCCATGGCGTATATGTGCCACATTTTCTTTATTCAGTCTATCATTGATGGGCATTTGCCAAGTCTTTGCTATTGTGAACAGTGCTGCAATAAACATACTTGTACATGTGTGATAGTAGAATGATTTATAATCCTTTGGGTATATACCCAGTAATGGGATTGCTGGGTCAAATGGAATTTCTGGTTCTAGATCCTTGAGGAATCACCACACTCTCTTCCACAATGATTGAACTAATTTACACTCCCACCAACAGTGTAAAAGCATTCCTGTTTGTCCACATCCTCTCCAACATCTGTTGTTTCCTGACTTTTTAATGATTGCCATTCTAACTGGCATGAGATGGTATCTCATTGTGGTTTTGATTTGCATTTCTCTAATGACCAGTGATGATGAGCTTTCTTTCATAAGTTTTTTGGCCACATAAATATTTTCTTTTGACAACTGTCTGTTCATATCCTTTGCCCACTTTTTGATGGGGTTTTTTCTTGTAAATTTGTTTAAGTTCCTTGTAGATTCTGGATATTAGCCCTTTGTCAGGTAGATACATTGCAAAAATTTTCTTCCATTCTGTAGGTTGCCTGTTCACTCTGATGATAGTTTCTTTTGCTGTGCAGAAGCTCTTTAGTTTAATTAGATCCCATTTGTCAGTTTTGGCTTTTGTTGCCATTGCTTTTGGTGTTTTAGCCATGAAGTCTTTGCCCATGCCTTTGCCCTGAATGGTGTTGCCTAGGTTTTCTTCTAGGATTTTTATGATTTTGGGTTTTACCTTTAAGTCTTTAAGCCATCTTAAGTTAATTTTTGTATAAGGTGTAAGGAAGGGTTCCAGTTTCAGTTTTCTGCATCTGGCTAGCCAGTTTTCCCAGCACCATTTATTACATAGGGAATCCTTTTCCTATTGTTTGTTTTTGTCAGGTTTGTCAAAGATCAGATGGTTGTAGATGTATGGCATTATTTCTGAGGCCTCTGTTCTGTTCCATTGGTCTATATATCTGTTTTGGTACCAGCACCATGCTGTTTTGGTTACTGTAGCCTTGTAACATAGTTTGAAGTCAGGTAGCATGATGCCTCCAGCTTTGTTCTTTTTGCTTAGGATTTTCTTGGCTATATGGGCTCTTTTTTGGTTCCACATGAAATTTAAAGTAGTTTTTTTCCAATTCAGTGAAGAAAGTCAATGGTAGCTTGATGGAGATAGCATTGAATCTATAAACTACTTTGGGCAGTATGACCATTTTCATGATATTGATTCTTCCTATCCATGAGCATGGAATGTTTTTCCATTTGTTTGTGTCCCCTCTTATTTCCTTGAGCAGTGGTTTGTAGTTCTCTTTGAAGAGGTCCTTCACATCCCTTGTAAGTTGTATTCCTAGGTATTTTATTCTCTTTGTAGCAATTGTGAATGGGAGTTCATTCATGATTTGGCTCTCTATTATTCATGTGTAGGAATGCTTGTGATTTTTGCACATTGATTTTGTATCCTGAGACCTTACTGAAGTTGCTGATCAGCTTAAGGAGATTTTGGGCTGAGATGATGGGGCTTTCTAAATATACAATCATGTCATCTGCAAACAGAGATAATTTGACTTCCTCTCTTCCTATTTGAATACTCTTTATTTCTTTCTCTTGCCTGATTTCCCTGGCAAGAATTTCCAATACTGTGTTGAATAGAAAATAATGAGAGAGGGCATCCTTGTCTTGTGCTGGTTTTCAAAGGGAATCCTTCCAGCTTTTGCCCATTCAGTATGATATTGGCTGTGGGTTTGTCATAAATAGCTCTTATTATTTTGACATATGTTCCATCAATACCTAGTTTATTGAGAGTTTTTAGCATGAAGGGGCATTGAATTTTGTTGAAGGCCTTTTCTGCATCTATTGAGATAATCATGTGGTTTTTGTCATTGGTTCTGTTTATATGATGGTTTACTTTTACTAATTTGTGTATGTTGAACTAGCCTTGCATCCCAGGGATGAAGCCAACTTGATTGTGGTGGATAAGCTTTTTGATGTGCCTCTGGATTCGGTATTTTATTAATTGCCAGTATTTTATTAATGCTTTTCACATCAATGTTCATCAGGGTTATTGGCCTGAAATTTCTTTTTGTTGTTGTATCTCTGCCAGGTTTTGGTATTAGGATGATGCTGGCCTCATAAAATGAGTTAGGGAGGATTCCCTCTTTTTCTATTGTTTGGAATAATTTCAGAAGGAACGGTACCATCTCCTCTTTGTACCTCTCGTAGAATTCAGGTGTGAATCTGTCTGGTCCTGGGCTTTTTTTGGTTGGTAGGCTATTAATTACTGCCTCAATTTCAGAACTTGTTATTGTTCTATTCAGGGATTCAACTTCTTCATGGTTTAGTCTTGGGAGGGTGTATGTGTCCAGGAATTTATCCATTTCTTCTAGATTTTATAGTTTATTTGCATAGAGGTGTTTATTGTATTCTCTAATGGTAGTTTGTATTTCTGTGGGATCGGTGGTGATATCCCCTTTATCATTTGTTATTGTGCCTATTTTGTTCTTCTCTCTTTTCTTTTTTATTAGTCTTGCCAGCGGTCTACCTATTTTGTTGATCTTTTCAAAAAACCAACTCCTGGATTCATTAATTTTTTGAAGGGTTTTTCATGTCTCTATCTCCTTCAGTTCTGCTCTGATCTTAGTTATTTATTGTCTTCTGCTAGCTTTTGAATTTGTTTGCTCTTGCTTCTCTAGTTTTTTTTATTGTGAAGTTAGGGTGTCGATTTTGGATCTTTCCTGCTTTCTCCTGTGGGCATTTAGTCCTATAAATTTCCCTCTAAATACTGCTTTAGCTGTGTCCCAGAGATTCTGGTATGCTGTGCCTTTGTTCTCACTGGTTTCAAAGAACTTATTTATTTCTGCTTTAATTTTCTTATTTACCCAGTAGTCATTCAGGAGCAGGTTCTTCAGTTTCCATGTAGTTGTGTGGTTTTGAGTGAATTTCTTAATCCTGAGTTCTAATGTGATTGCACTGTGGTCTGAGAGACTATTTGTTATGATTTCTGTTCTTTTGCATTTGCTGAGGAGTGTTTTACTTCCAATTATGTGGTCAATTTTAGAATAAGTGCAATGTGGTGCTGAGTAGAATGTATATTCTGTTGTTTTGGAGTGGAGAGTTCTGTAGATGTCTATTAGGTCTGCTTGGTGCAGAGCTGAGTTCAAGTCCTGAATATCCTTGTTAATTTTCTGTCTCATTGATCTGTCTAATATTGACAGTGGGGTGTTAAAGTCTCCCATGATTATTGCATGGGAGTCTAAGTCTTTTTGTAGGTCTCCAAGAACTTGCTTTATGAATCTGGGTGCTCTTGTATTGAGTGCATATATATTCAGGATAGTTAGCTCTTCTTGTTGCATTGATCCCTTTACCATTATGTAATGGCCTTCTTTGTCTTTTTTGATGTTTGTTGGTTTAAGTCTGTTTCATCAGAGACTAGGATTGCAACCTGTTTTTTTGTTTGTTTGTTTTTTGCTTTCCACTTGCTTGGTAAATATTCCTGCATCCCTTTATTTTGAGCCTATGTGTGTCTTTGCACATGAGATACGTCTCCTGAATACAGCACAATGACGGGTCTTGACTCTTTATCCAATTTGCCAGTCTATGTCTTTTAATTGGGGCATTTAGCCCATTTACATTTAAGGTTAATATTGTTATGTGTGAATTTGATCCTGTCATTATGTTGCTAGCTGGTTATTTTGCCCATTAATTGATGCAGTTTCTTCATAGTGTTGATGGTCTTTACAATTTGGTATGTTTTTGCAGTGGCTGGTACCAGTTGTTCCTTTCCATATTTAGTGCTTCATTCAGGAGCTCTTGTAAGGCAGGCCTGGTGGTGACAAATTCCCTCAGCAATTGTTTGTCTGTAAAGGATTTTATTTCTCCTTCACCTATGAAGCTTAGTTTGACTGGATATGAAATTCTGGGTTGAAAATTCTAAGAATGTTGAATATTGGCCCCCACTCTCTTCTGGCTTGTAGGGTTTCTGCAGAGAGGTCTGCTGTTGGATGATGGGCTTCAGCCCTTTGTGGGTAACCTGACCTTTCTCTCTGGCTGTGCTTAACATTTTTTCCTTCATTTCAACCTTGGTGAAACTGACAATTATGTGTCTTGGGGTTGCTCTTCTCAAGGAATATCTTTGTGGTGTTCTCTGTATTTCCTGAATTGAATTTGGCCTGTCTTGCTAGGTTGGGGAAGTTCTCCTGGATAATATCCTAAAGAGTGTTTTCCAGCTTGGTTCCATTCTTCCCCTCACTTTCAGGTACATCAATCAAATGTAGGTTTGGTCTTTTCACATAGTCCTATATTTCTCGGAGGCTTTGTTCATTCTTTTTCATTCTTTTTTCTCTGATCCTGTCTTCATGCTTTATTTCATTAATTGATCTTCAATCTCTGATATCCTTTCTTCCACTTGACCAGTTCGGCTATCAATATTTGTGTATGCTTCACGAAGTTCTCATGCTGTGTTTTTCAGCTCCATTAGGTCATTTATGTTCTTCTCTAAATTGGTTGTTCTAGTTAGCAATTCCTCTAACCGTTTTTCAAAGTTCTTAGCTTCCTTGCACTGGGTTAGACATGTTCCTTTAGCTCAGAGGAGTTTGTTTCACCTGTTTTTTCTCTGCCCCTGAGTATCTTAGGGCTAAGAGTTGGAATAGATGTCTTTGTGTCCCATTGTTGCTTTGAAACCATTTTACTGCCACCTTCCTATAGGTTATCTCTTCCCTCAAAATTCATTCCCTCTTCTTCCCCCCTTATTGCTAATATTTAATGTCCTCCCTCCCCTTTCATCCACTGGAAATTTTAGCTTTTGGTTCATAGTTCACGTTTCACCTCCTTCTGCTTAAAATTTTTTCCTTGCAGTTAACCCATTCTACACCTGCTTTCTCAGTTCCTTGATCTCACCTCCAACACCTTTTCTTGCATTTCACTCTGGGCACACTCCCATAGCCATTTCCCAAATTTATCAGAACCAAAGTCTGCACTATCTCTGAAATCTTGGCTGAAATATTCGACTTTTTGATTAATATCCTTTTATTTTGTGCTTTTTTTTTCTGTAGAACTCCTATAGCCACAATTTGTTGATTTAATGCAGACTCTCAATACCTTAACCCACTGATTTTCATTATCAATCAACCTCTTCTTTATTCTACCTTCCTATTTGACTAGCTTAAATTCTATGGGTGATTATTATGACTCTTTTGTTAATACCTAGCTTTACTTCTTTATTCATTCCGCTTGGAGAGGTAGAGAAACTTGTCTGATTGGAAAATTTGGGAAGAATATACTGGGCATGGTTAGCTCAATTCATTCCTTTTACCTGTTCTCTGCAGGTGGGTAATAAACCCATAAATTTCTCTGTAATCCTCTGACCTTGTGCCAAGATGGGAAGAGGTCTGCCCTGGTGCAGTGCTGCACTGTGGGTGGGTGAATGTGCTAATTCTGGGGTTTGGTATTAGGAAACTCATTTGCCCACACATGTAAAGTATATTCATTAATATATCAGCTTAATAAAGGTGACAATTTGGCTTCTTCTATCTTATTTCTTTGTCTCCTTTCTCAGTTGTTCAGAACTCTAGCAGGGAAGATTTTGGTTAATTTAATTTCCTCAAAGTCCTCAAATTCATATCTCCCTTCTCTCTTCTCTATATTGTTAATATAAACATGAGCAGTATTTTATGAATTATTCTGCACTTTATTGTTTTCGCTTAATTATATATCCTAGAATTCTTTCTCTATCATCACAGACAAATTTACTTATTTCTTTTAATAGATACATGGTATTTCAATATGTAGTAGTACCCCAAAAATGTATCATTTATTGAGACAGTGTTGCTATTGATGAACATTTTGGTTTTCTGTCATTTGATAATACAAAGTGCTACAACTGAAATTACTATATATACATTTTCTGTGTGCATGAGAGGAGAGGTTTTTCTGTGTGCACTTTAGGAGAGGTTTCACACTAAATTCATAATTATAAACTTCAATTGAGACAGTTAACATGACCTGGAAATATTATTTTATTTACCAAGTAAGTGCAGTTTTCCACTTTGAGTCAATTATTTTATACCTTCCTTCCCACTCACCTGATGACAATATTTTATATTTAATTTGAGGGAATTCATCAGACAGGAGCACTCTCATCTTCCCACTATCAAAATTTGTAAACTTAACTATGTATGCCATCTTTTCTTTCCTTCCCTAGCAATGAAGGATGTGTTCCTTCTCCCACCATTTGTGTTCTGGATCCTACTTCTACTTTCCTCAAGCCCTTCATCTTTTCAGTTACGCCTTCCCTGTCCTGTATCACCACTCTTTCCCATCCACATTTAAAAAGAATGCTTTTTAAAGCCTTTCACTATTGGTTATCCTCTAGCTACCACCATTTCTATGAATCCTTTCACAGTAAAACTTCTGGAAAATTAGCTTTATTTCTCACTTCTTATCAATTCTTCAACTCAGTCCTGACTGGTTACTATACTCATCACTTCACTGGCACTTCTCTTATTAGAGTCATCAACGATGTACACGCTGTCAGATGTAAAAGATATGTCTGTGTCTTCATTTAGCCCAGCTTCTTAGCACCTTTTAAAATACTTAAAGACTTTTTCCTTGAACACTCTTCTTGGCTGTCTTCAGAGAAATTGCAGAAACCGTATTCTCTTGGTTTCTCAACTACTTCACTACCTGTTCCTTCTCAGTCTGTTTATCTTTCTTTACCTTTTCTCTAAATACTGAAGTAAATTACAGTTCAGTTCTAGGCTCACTCTTCTTCATACATTTTTTATACATTTTCTTCCTAAGTAATCTCATTAATTACCAGAGTTCTTTTTTTTTTTTTTTTTTGAGACAGGATCTGTGTTGCCCAGGCTGGAGTGCATTGGTACGATCATAGCTCATGGCAGCCTCCCCCTTCCCGGGTCTCAGGTAATTGTCCTGCCTTAGCCTCCCAAGTAGCTGGGACCACAAGCACGCACCACCACGCCTGGCTACTTTTGTATTTTTTGTAGAGCCAGGGTTTCATCATGTTGCCCAGGCTAGTCTCAAACTCCTGGATTCAAGCCATCTGCCCACCTCAGCTGCCCAAAGTGCTGAGATTACAGGTGTGAGCCACTGTGCCCAGCTTTATTACCAGTGCTTTTAATTCCCATCTATAGACTGATAAGTCCAAAATTTATATCTCCAACTCAGAATATCTTTTTTTTTTTTGAGACAGAGTCTCACTCTGTTTTCCAGGCTGAATGCAGTAGCATGATCATAGCTCACTGCAGCCTGAAACTCCTGGGCTTAAGTGATCCTCCCACCTTAGCCTCCTGAGTAGCGAGGACTACAGGTTCATGTCCAGCTAATATTTGTATTTTTGTTTTTAAATAAAGACAGGGTGTTGCTACAGATGTTGCCCAGGCTGGTCTTGAACTCCTGGCCTCAAGTGATCCTCCCACCTAAGCCCAAAGCACTGGGATTACAGGTGTGAGTCACCATGCCCAGCCCAGAACTTTTCTTTTCACATATTCTGTTATTTAGGTAGAGTTGTATCATACAAGCATTTAATTTACATGCTGACTTTGAACGCTCTTCCTAATGTAAGATTTAAATTTTAACTGACATATCCACTTGGGTGTCTCACAGACACTCAATATGTCCAAAATGGATATCTTTGTTTTCCCTTAAACCTGTCCCTACTACCTTCAAACTTCCTTGTCTCAGTCAACCAATCCAGCATCCTCCCAAATTCTGATTACCAAGATTACCCATAAATCTTGGTGTGATATGTACTTAAAATAAAATCCACACTTCTTACCATGACCTAAACATTGTATGACCTACGTGTTATCCATATTTCCAATGTCATCTCTTTCCATTTTCCCTTTTGCCCATGGTGTTTCAGCCATACTGGTCTTTGATTGCCTAGAACAACCCGCCTCTGCAGCTTTAGGGCTTTTGCCTTTCTCTGCCTGATTCACTCTTCTGCTGTTTTTTGGCTAGGTCCTTATTTTTTCAGGTCTCAATTTGCACCTGTCTAAAGTCTTTCCTGACTTTTCTATTTAAGGTAGGTTATCCTCTTCCCACTACTATATTCTTATCTCAGCCTTTTATGGAGTTTAACTTGAATGTATTGATCTAAAACTCAAAGAAGAAGACATGTACTAATTAGGGAAGAATGCACATGGGCATAGGTAAATTTAGGGAACAGATGGTGTATTCGTCTGTTCTCACACTGCCAATAAAGACATACCCAAGACTGGGTAATTTATAAAGGAAAGAGGTTTAATTGATTCACAGTTCCACATGGCTGGGGATGACTCATAATCATGGCTGAAGGTGAATGAGAAGCAAAGTCACGTCTTACATGGCAGCAGGCAAGAGAGCCTGTGCAGGGGAACTCCCCTTTACAAAACCATCATATCTCATGCGAACTATCACAAGAACAGCACGGGAAAGACCTGCCCCCATGATTCAACTACCTCCCACAGGGTCCCTCCAACAGAATGTGGGAATTATGGGAGCTACAATTGAAGATGAGATTTGGGTGGGGACACAGCAAACCACATCAGATAGACAAGATATTGAGTTTCCTGCGAAGAAGGAAACAGGGCTATCAATTGAGAGTAGGGGCCTTGAGAATGGTAGAACTTTGTAATAGCTACTTGGGGTGAGAGGTGAGGTGAGATAGGGCATTTTCACCAAATAATTGGCAGAGTATTGTGTAAGAGAATTGGCAGAGTATTAAGGCTCCAGCTGAGACCAGTGTGAATTTTTTCCACAAGCTCAGGTGTGCAAAAAATACCACGTTATTTTTTTAAAGGCAATTTAAAATTAATTCTAAACCTCAAGTTAATGAGGGTGGAGGGTAATCCATTCTCAGTCATTATTGGGACTCCCAGAGTTGTCCAAAAGCCACAGGTATTGTGGAGCCCCCTTTTGACATTCAGATATAAATTATCAATCAGCTCATAATGCTTACTGCTGAAATAACCATTGCTACCAACCCTTGACCAGCCCTTTAGATCCAATAACTCTGCTGCCTGCTTGGGGTGTAGAAATATGTTTCTAGTTAGTAGTTCCTGTGCCTCTAGTCCAGCTTTCCTACATATCCTCTGATGTCTTACCACATCTCTGGTACTAACATTCTGGGATCTGACAACTTCTGACCTTTCCCAACAAAAGATGTAATATCATGGTTATAACTGTGCCTGGAGAAGCAGATAAAAAGAAAAATTTAAATAGTGTTCTAAGCCAGATTGGAGAGAGTCGTGGAGCATATACTTAACTCTAATAATTCGCTAAGAGATGAGCTGCAAGCTAGTGGGAAGTACAGAATCCTATTTTGCCAAATCAGGTAATTAAGTTTTGAAAACATTTACTGTAAAACTTTATAAAATGTGCAATTTGAAATATGTTAGCAACACATTTCCTGGGAAACTAAATTCTAGAGGATCAGCTTGAGTATAGTCTCAGCAGTTGACACAGCAAGCAGAGCTCAGCTGCAGTGGATTAAGGATGGCTGCAAATTCTTTGACATTCCTCCCATGGAGAAATGGGGTCTAATTCCTTAATCCTTTAATCTAGACTGGATTTAGTGACTTGCTTCATCAATGGAATACACTCAAATAACATTTTGGAATTTCTGAGACTGTCATAAAAAGCTGAAGGGCTTCTATTGGGCTTCCTGAAATGCTCCCTTTTGGATCCCTGAGCAGCCATGTGAGTTTAACTACTCTGCAGGAGAGAGTATGTGAAAAGGAACCTACCTAAGCCCAGCCTCCTTGTCATCCACAGGAAGACACCAGACAAATGAGTTACACTGTTTTGGACTCCCCAACACAACCCAGCCACCGGCTGAATGCCACCAAATTACCTTCTAGTTAAAGGTTTATGGAGCAAACGAATCACCTATTCAATATCTGCTTGAATTTCTGACTCAAAATACATCAGGTATAAAATGATGGTTTTTTTAAGCCACTAAGTCTTGGGGGAGTTTATTATAAAGCAATAGATAATTTTGAAAATAAATAGAACAAGCTGAAGTCCCAATAAGAACTCCATGGTTTCATTTATTTCTTTGATAGAATGGTCTTGGAAGTAACATCTAATTTTGACTGAGGTATCATCTCTAACCAGTGATCTATAAAGCAGTTTGGGATCTCTAGCCTGCCCGTGATCATATATATATATACACACACACACATAAACATATATAACATATATATAAACATATATATGCATGTATGTGCCCCATAGTTAGGTAAGTCAATTTACAATGATGAAGTAAATCGAATTCATAATAATAACGGTTAGGTTTAGTGATAAATTTTGTAATTACTGCTGTTATGTTTGTGGATTTTTTTTCTTTCTTTGAGACACGTTCTTGCTTTGTCACCCAGGCTGGAGTGCAGTGGTACAATCATGACTCATTGCAGCCTCAATCTCCCAGGCTCAAAAGATCCTCCCACCTCAGCCTCCCAAGTAGCTGGGATTAGAGGCATGTACCAACACACCCAGCTAATCTTGTATTTTTTGCAGAGACAGAGTCTTACTATGTCACCCAGGCCCGTTTCAAACTTCTAACCTCAAGTGGTCCTCCAACCTTGGCCTCCCAAAGTGCTGAGATTACAGGCATGAGCAAACACCCCCAGCCTGTTATTTTAAGTATTTAAAAAGTTAAAGAGGATTTGATATATTAGCTTGTGGTTTAAATTAGGAAACTTTAAGACAATTTGATGCTAGACTTAAGATTTTAATTTGAAATATGTAAGATAATTAAATGTTTAAATAGTGCTTGAATGTTTAAGATAGCCCTGATTGAACACATGAATGAGTTTCATTCATTAGACTAATAATAGTTATAAATCTTAGATTTTGCTTATTGAAACAAGTCTGCCTTGTTAGTTGTTTGAAGTGGCTCAGATAAACATATATCTTAAATTTGTCAATATAGTTTACAATGGTTAAGATAATTTTTTTGTAAGTGGGGGATTAACTGTTTAAGGAATTTTAGTATTGAACTTATAAATTAATTGAACATTAATCAAGAATAAATGAAAGGATTTTTATCCTCCAGCAGATTGGTAATGATTAAAAAAGTTGGGAAGATGAAGACCATGTTGCTTGAGGGAATGTAAAGCAGTAGAATCATTTGAAACACTATTTGGCATTCCTTACAACCCAGTGTTTCTACTCCTAGATATTTACCCTAAAAAGATTCCTACATGTATACACTAAGAGATGTGTCCAAGAATGTTCACAGTACCCTTGTTTGCAATAGCAAGACAAAACAAAACAAAAACTGAAAATAACCCAAATGTCTATTCACAGGAGCATGGTCATATAAATTGTTATTTATTCAAATTATGGAATATTATAAAGCAGTGAAAAACAAGTTAACTATAACCAGATGGAATAACTTTGGTGAGTCTTGGAAATATAATGTTGAGTAAAAAAAGCAAATTACAAACAAATGTAAAACATGACACCATGTAAGTTTGAAAGCAGACAACTGAACAATATGGTTTAGGAATACACACATACATTTGTGGGCAAAGCTATTATAGATAGATCTAAGCACATTCTACCAAGAAAAAAAAAACCTATTATGGAAAGCAAGGGAACTGTAAATATGAAAATACAAAAGGTAGTTGTTTTTGGAAGGAGTGGCAGAGGAAGAGAATGTAATCAGGAGGGGCTCAAAGGACCTAAAAGGCAATGTTCCTTTTCTTAAGCTGGTTTGTGGCTACGTGGATGTTTATTATTATTATTTTTTGGTTTTTCTTGAGACAGGGTCTCGCTCTGTCACCCAGGCTGGAGTGCAGTGGTATGATCACAGCTCACTGCAGCCTTGACCTCCCAGGCTTACGTGATCTTCCCACCTCCGCCTCACAGGTAGCTGGGACTACAAGCCCTTGCCACCACACCCAGTTCATTTGTTTATTTTTTGTAAGGACAGGCTCTTTGTGTGTTCTCAAGTTGGTGTTGAACTCCTGGACTCAAGCAATCCTCCTGCCTCGGGCTCTCAGGGTGTTGGAATTACAAGCATGAGCCACCACACCCAGCAACTGTATTATTCTTTAAATCATATATGTATACAGTTTTATAGGGCCGGGCCCATGGCTTATGCCTGTAATCCCAGCACTTTGGGAGGTCAAGGCAGGTGGATCACCTGAGGTCAGGAGTTTGAGACCAGCTTGGTCAACATGGTGAAACCCCATCTCTACTAAAAATACAAAACATTAGCCAGGTGTGGTGGCAGGCACCTGTAATCCCAGCTACTTGGGAGGCTGAGGCAGGAGAATCGCTTGAACCCAGGAGGCAGAGGTTGCAGTGAGCCATGATCACACCATTGCACTCCAGCCTGGGCAGCATGAGTGAAACTCCATCTCAAAAAAAAAAAAAAAAAAAAAATATATATATATATATATATATATATATATATATATATATATGTATATAATTTTATATGTGTCATTTTATATATGTGTGTACACACATACATACACATATATTTTTCTGTAGTATTGTAACCAAGCGGCTTAGCTTCCAACCATGTTTTAAAACTTCTTTTCTTTCTTCCTTTCTCCTCAGTCTCATGATGTAGCTTTGAGACAAACTACAATTGTTTATTTCTTCCTCTTGAAATATAGCCTCAGAATGTGCTGTGAACCTCCACTGCCTTCCCTTTCCCACTTTATGCTCCTATGCCTTATGCATATTTATTAACCCAAATGCTTGTTAACGCACACCATGCTCACTTACCTGGTCATATCTTTAGAAGCCTCAGGGGCTGGATCCTGACATGAACCAGACACCTCCAGAATTCTATCCCAAGCAAAAGATTATTTCAAGGCCAGAACTCACTCCCTGCTGGAGACTGACTACAAGATCCACTGAGATTGATGTGTAACCTGATTGGGCCCACAGTGATGCTAGCCCCTTCACCAGATGGAACAATAATTCCAGACAAGCCATCAGAGCAGGTCACACCACTTGACACCTTCTCGCCCCCTTGCCTCTCCTGCATTCCAAACCCCTCTCTTTAAAATCCCCATGTTCCCTCCGTAAACTGGGCAGTGCCAATTGTTGGAAAGAATTCTGGCACTCTTTTCCTTCTTAGCATGGATAAAAAGATTCACCCTCTTTTTATCACACCTCACTCTTGTTATTTTGGCTTCTTTCTACAAGTGGTGAGCAACCGGGCCCCCTTTGCTGGTTATAGTATGAACTATTTTATTTTTTTTAATCTACAATAAAATAAAATACATTCATTAGATTTCAAAGTGGTGTTTAATGGTTTAAGAAAAACTAGTTTTACATTTGCAACTTGAATATATTAGATATTATTAAAAGCACCACAATTGTTAAGTACTGCAGTACCTTTTCATCTTTGAAAGCCCTTTAGAACATTTGAAAACTCCACTGGCATAGTTGATACCTTTCTGGCTGTCTTTTCCCACTCCCCATTGGGAGCACCTACCATAATATTGATAGAGTCAGGAGACAGGGAAATTCTTAGCAGAAGAGGGTGGGTATCTGGTGAGGGCCCCACTCTCAAGCCTGGAACCTGGCCCAAAGTGTGAACATGCATTCCTGTTTTCCTGCTCAAATGTTGCCTTTTCCAAAACCACCCATGGCCTGCCCCACCCCCATCCTGTGCCCATAAAAACCCCAGTCTCCACCAGCAGAGAGCAGAGAAGAGGAGAAGCAGCTGGATGTCAGAGACTGCAGTTTGACGTTGGAGAAAAGCAGCTTGACTTCAGAGGGACAGCTTGACAGCATGGATTCAGAGAGGAGAAGATCACCTTCCTGCTCCGTCCCCTTTCCAGCTCCCTTTCCCACTGAGAGCCACTTACACAGGCAATAAAATCCTCTGCATTCACCACCCTTCAATTCATTCATGCAACCTGATTTTTTTCTGGATGCTGAACATGAGCTCAGGTACCATGGGTGCAGATGCAAAAGGCTGTCACACTGACCCTGTGCCCTTGCTGGCAGAAAGCAGCTGCCTCATGCAAAAAGGCAGAGGGCCACTGAGCTGTCAACACGTAAGCCATCTGCAGATGGCAAAGGTAAAAGAGAGCTGACTGTAACACTCCTGGGGCTTCAGGGGTCACCAGTTCCCCTTGCCTGGATGCTGCTTCAGGAACCACACGGAGTTTTGCTCCTGCTGGTGCCCAAAAGCACTCACACCAGCTCCTGCACCCACTCACCTGTGTGCGCCCTCCTTTGAGGGGTTGAGCACAACCCCTCACAGTTTGAGTAAGTGGAGTTTGCCCCTGTGAACACCAAAGTGGCTGGCTGACTCCAGAGCCCATACTCCAGATCCTGCCTGTGAAGGGATCAGGGAAAATTTCCTGCTTCAATATCTTAGATGAATTTTGGCTTTTACAAAAGACAGAAAGAGCTTGTTGAATATAAGTGACTTTTGCTTTTAAACTAAACTAAACAGCTACACAACTCTTCTGACAAAGGGAATACACAGCATGGCTTCTTGCTTGAAATGTGGGGGGAGAGAAAACGAGGAAATATAGGGAGGACAGGCACAAACTGATAAATTAACTTTCTATAGATGTTTTATACTTTTATAATTTTTCCACATTCAATTTTTTTTTCAGGATTTTTAGCGTTTATGTAATCTCTTTCTATCAGCATATAGTAAATAACACATTCATTTAAAAACCCCATATCCTGTCTTAATAGCATTCATAGCCAGAAGATTTTCTTCTCTCACAATTTTTTTTTTTTTTAATTTGCTTAAAATTGGTCTATCCCTGAAAGTCAGTCTTTCATCCTGGCATCTGAGTCCATGAAAAAGCCTTAAGTCATCCCTAGTGACTTTATAATCAAATTCCCTTCAACCAAATCCTTGTGTGGGCATTTGCTGACTTAAAAATTTCCCAATTGTGAATTGCCCTTTAGGTTCTGGGTTCTGTGCTCTTCCCTTCAGAAATTGTTTAGTGTTTTTCCTTCAGCAGAATTTTCTTTTTTCATGGATCTTAAGGGAATAATTAGGCATGATATAAATTCCAGAACCTCTTTACCGTTCTTTTCCTGCATTTGACATTCAATTTTCCTCTCCTATTTATTCATTCATTGTGTCCCTGTACCTTTTGCTACTTTTCATTTTGACTCCTTTTCTCTGTGTGTAAATGTTCATTCCCTGATTCCCAAAGTAAACGCATGACATTTAGTATAATATTTGGTTGCTTTTCTGCCCCCACATTTCTGCTGCATCTTTGTTTTGCTTGTCTCCAGCCCTTTTCAGTTTGTTTGTTCATACCTTTCTCATCTCAAACATAATTTATCCCTTTTACCAAACATTTTATCTTGGTGTTACTCCTTTTTAAGCTTTGACTCTCTTTTTGTTGGTCACGACTTACAAAAGTTTCGTCTGGGACAAAAGCAATAGATTGGCTCTCTGAATTCTCATTTGGTATTTTATGATAAGGAAGAATTAGTTATTATCCACATTTTACAGGTGCCTGAAGAAGATATAGAAAGGAAAATATTAACATCGTGCCTTAAACCATATGTTAAATCCTTTTTTTTTTTTTTTTTTTTTGAGACGGAGTCTCGCTTTGTCGCCCAGGCTGGAGTGCAGTGGCGTGAACTCGGCTCAGTGCAAGCTCCGCCTCCCGGGTTCACCCCATTCTCCTGCCTCAGCCTCCCGAGTAGCTGGGACTACAGGCACCCACCACCTCACCTGGCTAATTTTTTTTGTATTTTTTAGTAGAGACGGGGTTTCACCGTGTTAGCCAGGATGGACTCGATCTCCTGACCTCATGATCCGCCCGCCTCGGCACCCCAAAGTGCTGGGATTACAGGCGTGAGCCACCGCGGCCGGCCTGTTAAATCTTTTAGAAAGGCAAACTAGAGCAGAGAACTCCTACCCCCACATCTATTACAACCTGGTGCCCCATCACCTGGGTCCAGGGACCATCTTCATTAAAAGTTGTCCTTTGTGCCTTTCTACTCCAAACTCACAGATTTACAGATTTGGGCCCCGGAATCTCTATTTTTAAAAGAATTTCCAGGGTTATTCTTAGGCACAGTAAAGTTAAAAAAAAAATTAAGCCACTGATCTAGCTCTGCCTCCTAAGATAGCTGAGGAACTGATCCTTTCTGTGCATATACAATGTGTCTAATATAGTGCTCCATTTTATTCTTACATATGCATATTATAGCTAGTCAGGAACAAAATGACTTTAAACACTTGCCCCCAGGCAAGGGTGCAGGAGCATGACTGAAGTTCTATACTCATAGTTGTTTATTTTTTGAGACAGAGTTTCACTCTTGTTGCCCAGGCTGGAGTGCAGTGGCACGATCTTGGCTCACAGCAGCCTCCATCTCCTGGGTTCCAGTGATTCTCCTGCTTCAGCCTCCCAAGTAGCTGAGATTATGGGCACCCACCACCACACCTGGCTAAATTTTTTTTTTTTTTTTTTTTTTTGTATTTTTAGTAGAGACAGGGTTTCACCATGTTGGCCAGGTTGGCCTCTAACTCCTGACCTCAGGTGATCTGCCTGCCTCGGCCTCCCAGTGTGCTGGGATTACAGGTGTGAGCCACCATGCCCAACCCCACAAGGGGTTTTTAAGGAAAAAAAAACCTTCTAAGTTGTTTAACAAGAATTTACATTAAAGTAACATGAGCTATTGATTGGCTATACATTATCCTGGTATTACAAATTCCAGGAGCAGAAACATAAAGACAATGGGTGAAGCAGCTAGTCAGGAACAAAATGACTTGAAACAAATGCCCTCAGGCATGGGTTTGGGAATGGGGATTGGAATGACCGAACTCCCATTCTTCTCTCTGGGCCTGATAAATTGTGCATTCCTGACATAGCTTAGACTGCTCTGAACTATTTTTCTTTTTCTCAGTACATTCATTGCAATAAAAAATATAAATATTGCAGGAGCACAGGGAACTTTATCCTAAAATATGGCACCCTGGTATGATGAGTATTTTGAATTAAAGTGCCTCAGAAATCAACAGACTCTGGAAAAGACTTTTCTCCTATCTACATGAAGACCAGAGGGACTCACTAAGGAGAACAATTGTTTTTTCTTTCTCTCCCCATTATTTCTTTATTGCCAAAAAGACGACCAAGAATGTAACCACACCTGAACACATTTTTTCATAATACCTGTCTCTCAATCTCTACTCCTAGATCATTCATTCTCCCTAATAATCAGTTATCATCCCTCAACAGAATTTCCTATATTCCCCATCTTCCCTCTCTCCTTTAAAATAAGGCTATATAGGTATTTGGGTTCCACTGGAATATGGGGTAATTACTCTGTGGTTCTCCTCCATGTGAACATTAATAAATTTGTAGGCCTTTTCTCCAATCAATCTGCCTTTTGTCAGTTTATTTTTAAGCAAATCTTTTAAGGTCAAAGAAGTGTTCCCTTTGCCCCTACAGGATTATAGAAAACATTCTGTGTTTCAGTGGAAAACTGCACTGTCTCTTAGCATGCCCTTCTGGGTTACTATTGGATTCTAGCCTTGTTCATTTTCATTGAGTTGTTTTGCAGCTCTCTGTAGCCTGTTATTCATAGGTTTGTATATCTGTCCTGTCTGCTAGTGACCATGGCTGAAATTTTAAAATTGAAAACTGACTTAAAACGTACCAGTTCAAGTCAAAGTGCTGTTCTCTTCCCAGTGGGTACAAATTATTGATTTGAAATAAAAGTAGACAAACAAACAGAAAAGACTAACAAACCAGATATTCTGTCGCCTCCTACCCAACAGAGACAAGATCTCCATAAACTTTTTATTTGTTTACAGAGATCACCAAATAATCTGACAATAAAACCAAATTCCCAATGGGAAATAATTTATTGGCCATATAGAAACCAAAACTAAAGTCACCCTAGAGCAAAATTTAAATGAGAAAAACAGAATCTGTTAAAGCCTAATGGGTTCTTCTTGCCCAGTGCACAAGTAAAGCCAATACACTGAGACAGTGGTGTTGCAGCAGAGAAAGAGTTTAATTACCACAAGGCAGCCAAACAAAAGAATGGGAGATAATTTTCAAGTTTGCCTCTGAGAATTTGTGGGCTATGGTTTTTCAAGGATGGTTTGGCAGGCAGGGGGCTAGGGAATGGGGAACGCTGAATTGTTGTGTTGGGGATGAAATTGCAGGAGTGTAAAAACTATCTTCTTGTGCTGAGTCGGTTCCTGGGTGGGAGTCACAAAACCAGTTGAGTCAGTTTATTGGTATGGGTTATCGATCTGGGTGGCACCAGTTGGTCCATCACAGTGTAAGTTCTGAAAAATGCCTCAAACACCAATCTTAGATTTTACCTTAGTGATGTTATCTATAGGAATAATTGGGGAAGTTACAAATCTTGTGACCTCCAGCTACATGACTCCTGAGCAGTAAGCAGTTATGAAAAGACAAATTATGAAACAATGCCTTGTTAGAGTAAAACTCTACATACATCTTAGCAGAGGAAACAATGCCTGGTTGGAGTTTAACTATGCCTACATCCTAATAGAATTCAGGCCTCTACCATAATTCTAACCTTGTGGCTAATTTTAGTTTTACAAAGGCAGTTTTGGTCCCCAAGCAAGGAGGGGGTTACTTTCTTTTTTATTATTATTGTTATTATTATTTTTTTTTCAGGTAGAGACAGGGTCTTGCCATGTTGCCCAGGCTGGTCTCAAATTCCCGGGCTCAAGGGAACCTTCCACCTCAGCCTCCCAAAGTGCCGGGATTACAGGTGTGAGACACTACACCCAGCCAAAAGGGTTAGTCTTGGTAAAAGACTGTTATCACCTTTGTTTTAAAGTTAAACTGTAAACTGAATTCTTCCCATAGTTAGCTTGGCCTATGCCCCGAAATGAGCAAGGACAGTTAGCTTGTGAGCTTAGAAGCAAGATGGAGTCAGCTATGTTAGATATCTCTGTCATAATTTTTGCAAGACCTCATCGCTTTAAAAAAATAAAATCTCTGTAAGGAGCTCTATTCTGACTGGCTTATAGAAATAACTAAGTTATTATATAAATTGAATATTCCTAAAATTCCAGAAAATAAAGAAATTGAACTTCTAATACTTTTAGTATGCTAGATTTAAGAAGTATTTTTTACTGCAACTAACTAGGAAATGTTTTAAGAAGTCAAATTTGGCTGGGCGCAGTGGCTCACACCCATAATCCCAGCACTTTGGGAGGCCGAGGCAGGTGGATCATGAGGTCAAGAGATGGAGACCATCCTGGCCAACATGGTGAAACCCCATCTCTTCTAGAAATATAAAAATTAGCCGGGCGTGGTGGTGCATGCCTGTAATCTCAGCTACTCAGGAGGCTGAGGCAGGAGAATTCCTTGAACCCAGGAGGCGGAGGTTGCGGTGAGCAGAGATTGTGCCACTGCACTCCAGTCAGCCTGGCTAACGAGTGAAACTCCGTCTCAAAAAAAAAAAAAACCAAGTCAAAGTCACATAATTTAGGTAAGTCTTTGCTAAGCAAGGCTAGTTTAATATTTTTGGTTTAATAACAAAACAGCTATCTTCTATGATTTATCAGTGTTAAGTACAATATAAGCATCAATTTTTATTCTACTTGGGTGTATTCTTTCTAAACTTGTACAGGTTTACTGATCAAATAAGCTAGCACTACTTCTACTTAATATTTAAAGTTATAAAAATTATATATGTATTCAACCAAATTGACTCATTGCTCTAACAAAATTTTATTTTAGCAGTGATTATGTTTCATAGTATGTCAACTTGGAGATAATTTCCAAGATCTATTGATAACTTAAAACCTTAGGCTGATGTTAAATTGAATTAATTAATGGCTATTCATTGAATGCCTAGATAATTTGTAAGTTACTATAACATTGATTATTATCTATTTTTTTACTTGTTAATTGTTTATTTGTCAAGAGAGAAATTATTTCTTAGCCCACATAGTCATGTTTCATAGTTCAGGAACACAAGTCAGTGACAAACTTCTAGGCAATTTAACTCAAAGAAATTCTTCATATTCCAGAATTATTTTGTATTATAAAAGATACCAGCCTTCCTTATCTCCTTAAAATCTTTCATGGAATCATAATTTTTGTAGAAATCTGCACGTTTCCCTTCTTGGTTCAACCACAGCAAACTTATAGAGAGCCACAACCTCCAGGAACACAATGCTCCAACAATATGAAATTGCAGATGTTTGACCAGAAGGTCATGCATCTGAGGTTTCATCAAAGCACTGACAAGCCATGGCAGTTATTGTCCTTGATAAGTACATCAGCCTCAAAACCAGTATCCTTCCTGGCTGATAGAGAAATGAACAGCACCTACTAAGCATACTTTTAAGATTGTGCTTTTGCTTCTTATTTTTATATGCCACAGAAGGACAAACTTGGGGTTTCTTACTGTGTTCATTTTTGCCACCTTGAAAATTGGTATAAAGTATGGCTGTAGAAAGTTGTGTTAAACGTTTTCATGAACTCTGCAGGACTGCAAGGATGCTGGTGTGTAACATGGTTGTCCACCTCTTTTCCCTCCCACTCCCCAATTTTCTATGAAAATAGAAATTACGGCCGGACGTGGTGGCTCACGCCTGTAATCCCAGCACTTTGGGAGGCCGAGGCGGGCGGTTCACGAGGTCAGGAGATCGAGACCAGCCTGACTAACACGATGAAACCCCGTCTCTACTAAAAATACAAAAAATTAGCCGGGCGTGGTGTCGGGCGCCTGTAGTCCCAGCTACTCGGGAGGCTGAGGCAGGAGAATGGCGTGAACCAGGGTGGCGGAGCTTGCAGTGAGCCGAGATTGCGCCATTGTACTCCAGCCTGGGTAACAAGAGCGAAAGTCCGTCTCAAAAAAAAAAAAAAAAAAGAAAAAAAAAGAAAAAGAAAACAGAAATTACTTAGGTTAAAAATTATAATTAACGTATATAAATGAGACTACCTCGGAGCAATAGTTTCGGAGAAATACAGTTGACCCTTGAACAGTGTAGGGGTTAAGGATACTGACTCACCTCTCCGTAGAAAATCCACATATAAATAAATAAAATATAAATATATTTTAGAGACAGAGACTCACTTTGTCACCAAGGCTGGAGTGCGGTGGCACGATCATGGCTCACTGAAACCTTCACCTCCCGGGCTCAAAATCTCCTCCTGCCTTAGCCTTCTGAGTAGCTGAGGCGCCACCACGCCCAGCTACTTTTTGTAGAGAAGGGGTTTTTACCATGTTGCCCAGGCTGGTCTCGAACTCCTGGGCTCAAGTGATCTGCCTGCCTCGGCCTCCCAAAGTGCCAGGATTACGGGCATGAGCCACTGTGCCTTGCCTGTTCTAATTTAAAATTTAAAAAAAGCAAAAATTTTTTAAATTTAAAATAAACTAAAGAAGATGAAAAGGACATAGGTCCATTACTAAAATAATTATTTCTGGTTCCATGGTAACATTTTAGAGACAGCTTTGCTATGTCAAAAATAAAATTAGAGCTTTACAGGATGAATAATACATTGAGACAACAGAGGGACTTTTTTTTCCAACATTTCCAACCAAGTCTCTGACCCTATTGCAGCAAGTTAAATGTCCCATGTCTGTATAAAGTACTCCAGCAGATTTAGGATTGGAATGCAAAAATTACATTGTAATACTGAATAAAACTGGGGCTAATGTGAGGAAATATGAACTCTTGGAGGAAGTTCAAGCATCAACGAAAGTAGTCATGGAATTGCAGTTTGTTATTATAATAGATACTTAGAAAAAAATGTCTTCTGAAGAATGAAGGTGAAAAATCCTACATTCCCTATTCTAGAAGTTGAACTACTGTACCTAGTTCTGTTGTGACAGAATGTATTCCCAGGTTTTAAATGTTTTTTCCTTCTTTTCCTTCTCAGAGGGACAGCATCACAGGTGTAGGAGCTGCTGTTGTCTTTAATCTATTTCCATTATACGTTTAGGGGGTGGGGGAAGTAAAGAAGGGTTAGATTTGGGAACCCAAAAAGACAATGAAGAATCACACAGGGTTTTGTTAAAAAAAAAAAAAAAAGGAAAATTTAGTTTTTCATAACTAGATAACCAGTTTTAAAGTGTTCCTCTCTTTCTTGTCACTACGTTTTAATGTAAGATGCATTGAACAGACCTAAACAGGAAATTGAGTGGTGTAATTTAGTGAAATAAATGCAGGATTAAACTGCTGCATACAGAAAAAAATACTATCTACATTTTCCTAAATGTTCAGGTTTCTAAAAATATATAGGTATAACTTTAATTTTATGAACTTAATAAGTTGGATTTCCTGCCTTTTTTATTTCACATAAATTCACCAGGGAATCTAGAGGCAGTCTCTGAAGTTATCAGGGCTACTGCAAACCACCTCACAAAGATTCCATTTAAAAATCTTCCCTAGAGGACAAATTTAGTGAAAGTTCAGTTTATAATTTGCCTCCTGAATAATGCCAGAAGACCAAACTGACTCTGTCTGAATTCGATCCTTTAGCTCAGTGATTTCTCACCTGAGCTTTGGACCATTAAATAGTGCTTTAAGTACTTTAGCAAGGCATTCATACACTGTGTTTCTAATCAGGAAAACATACAACAAGATCTGTCCTTAAGCTGTTTTACTTTGCCTTATAATGGTCTCCATTTCCTTTCATGCAGCATTATCTTGATGAATTGCTGTTTTTAAAGATCACCTTTTGCCTGGAAAGTGTGCAATAGATCAGGCATGATGAGGGTCTGTGTGGAGGCTGAGATTTTGGTCAAATTTTGTATAACCCCGTTGCCTGCTGTATTAATATACCATGCTATTCCTGAATTTCCTCTTTGTTTCTAGTTTGTATACTGTATATTTTAGCAAATTTGACTGGGTGGATTCTTCCAACAATAAGGCATATTCAGTAGCTAAACTAGTACTAAAAATCATACAAGATTATCATAATCCAAAAAAATCTGTAGAGTACGGAAACTGTTGAAAGAAAGAAGAAAGAGAAAAAGGAAGGAAGGAAGGAAGGGAGGGAGGGAGGGAGGGAAGAGTTCTATAAGTCAGGTCACATTCCTTGAATTCAAATGTTAATTATTCCCAATGACAATTACTGTGGTAATTGATTTATAGAGGTATGTTAGAATTTGAATCACCTACATTTATCCCTAGAAATCTAGCAATAGTTTAAAGAAAACTTACATGGTAATTTGTCTGTACTTATTGCACTTGGAGGAACACTTAAAAAACACTACACATAAACAAAAACAAAGCAGGCACATCACTGTGGAGTACAAGTTCCTTAGAGTGACAATAACAATTAGTATGAAAAGAGCAGCGTTGGCTCCACTGAGGACTACCATTTCTTTAAAAGCAAAGGAGCAATTTAGAGGAAAGCTATCAAAATTAGTCACTGTATCAGTGAGTTGATTGTTAAATAATGTCCTGAACTGACTTTGAAATAACACATGGGTATAGCAATGTTACTATGTAGGGCAAATGGTAAAGAAACACCTTCTGAATTCGTTTTAATTTACCTTACCTTTTCTTTTTTTGTCAAGTAAGTTTTTCATTTTTTTCATCAAGAAGTCAAGAAAGCACCTGTCCCTCTGTTAATTTTTTTACAGTATTAGATTTATACCTCTATTAAAGGATTTCAAAACTGCTTTGTAATTATCGAGAACAGATCTCAAGTTCTCATTTAAAAATAAAGTTAATGTCATGCCCAAAGTCATGGAGAAATTTAGAAGTGGTGTTTAAAATAGAAATTTAGACTACTGACTTGAAATCCCATGCTCTGACCACGAGACCACACGCCTGCCCAAAGATACTTAAAATTTTTACTAAGCTATTCTTCTTTGTAATTAGATGCAGTGATTAGAGTGTCTTTTGCATTACTCTGCATTTTTCTTTTAAGTCAGGATTGTAAGCCACATAGGGCACTGTCCTTTACAAAACTAAACAAGGGATTTTCAGTTTTGCAATACAATCTCCTGATATTTGTTTATAGGTTTCACACATCAAAAACAATGAAATCTGTAATTTTTCAAATTACAATTCTCTCATTCTCTAAGTTATGTGCCTATGAGAATTTGCAAATCTTTTGAAGAGAATGTAATCTTTATGCTTACAAAATGTAGGCTTTCATATTTGGGTGCAATTACAAATCAAGGCCTTTTTTCCCCATAATAATCAGTTTCTCAAAGTTGTGGGTTTTCCTCATTTGAAAATAAATTAATGGGAATTTTAAGTTATAATTCATCCAGCTATTCAATCTTTTGAATCTTCAAAATTAGAAACCATTTATATTCTCAGTTCCCAAAGGAGAAATGACAGAAAGTGCTTTGTATCAGAGCATATAAATTACAATACTTTTGATTGGGGAAATAAAAATAAACAGTTAAAACTAGTTAAATTTAAATTAAAAAAGAAAGCTTTTATGTGTCTGCTCATTGTTTTATGTTTTTTCATTACAGGTATGTACTGTGTGACTTAAATATTGAGTTTATTTTTATCAAATACCTGTCAAGAAAGAAAGTCAATTCTGAAACAGCAGAAGCTCAAAGTTCTACAGATGGCTTTCAAAGGAATTTGAATTAGACATCATTTGATGTTGCAAAAAACAATGACATCTTTTATAGCTCTAAACATCAGTTTTTAAATTAGAGATTGATCTATAAAGGAGCTAAGTTTGCATAATCATTATTCATTTTAAGATAATAATATATGATAGGTACTAAATTATATAGTAGTTTTGTGTAGAGATTTATACATATTTTCTGATTGCCATCATCACATCATCTAATTATTTAGAAATTTCATTTTCAGAACCTTGGATTTTGGACATAGAGCTTTGAAAAATATTGTACTTTATTTTGAGATGAAAATGTGGTCATTCACATTTTCACAGACCTGCGTGGAGCAATCTGCAGGGTGGGGGTGAGATTTGGGAGTAGAGGGGAGGTGGTAATAGACACACACAAAACTTGTTAATTGCTATACAAGAAGCATGTGCTTTAAAAATGACAATAACAATCACAAAACCAGTTTATCATTGTTTTACATATTTATTTAGTTCACTACTATGGGCTTTTTGTTGGGGTTTCCCAGAGGGAAACTAAGGTAGAATCAGGAACAACACTGCCCACATACAAAGGGGGAGTCTTCCAAGTAGTAAGCCCCTGCCTCTTGATCTCAACTCTAGCACACACATTGGAAGGCAGGCCCTTTGTCTAATTTGCTCAACACTGTACCTCTATCATCTAGAGCAAGAAATGAAGGAATGGATGAATAATAAAGAATAATGATTCCTTTGGATACCTTTTAAATCATGTTACCAAGTTAACATTAATACTCATAGATAGACTGAAAGTGTTGTCACGGATCAGTGAGTGACGTAGGAAGTCTACACATGGAAGGTATAATACTTGAGAGAACAAAGTCATGGCTGGGGAAATGGCTCTCTGACAGTGGCCACTTGGGTAATCTGAACTTTTCCAAAATGGACATAAGTCATGGAAAGAACAGTGCTCTATTCACTTCAGAAACCTCCCCTTGAATGTGCGTGAAATATGATAGCTGGGCTTCCTTTAAAATTATACTTTGAAGAGCAGGGTAGAGAGGACAGGAAAATTAGATGAATTAGAGATGCAATAAAATTGGCTTTGTGTTAATAATTGTTAAGATTAGGCATGTGGGATTCACTTTGGTGTCTGAAATTTTCTATAATAAAAAGTCAACAAACATACACATCTCCACTTAAGAGCCTGACATAATAAACATTTACACTGCTTAATGTGTAAATATAGTCTAATCTTAGAAAGCACTTCTTACATAGATTAAGAAAATTTAAAAAAAGTTTTTCTTCATGACAAAAAAAATTGCTTTCAGCTCTAGATGCAACAAATCATGATAGAAATTGGTACTAGGCTGGGTGCCGTGCCTCATGCCTGAAATCCTAGCACTTTGGGAGGCCAAGGTGGGTGCACTGCTTGGAGTCTAGGAGTTCAAGACCAGGCTGGGCAACATGGCAAAAACCTGTTTCTACAAAAAATACACACACACACACACACACACACACACACACACACACACAATTAGCCAGGCATGGTGGCAGGTGTCTGTAGTCCCAGCTACTCAGGAGGCTGAGGTGGGAGGACCTGAGCCCAGGAGGTTGAGGCTGCAGTGAGCTGTGATCACCACTGTACTCCAGCCTGGGAGACAGCGTGAGATCCTGTCACAAAGAAAACCTCCAAAAACCAAAAAACAAACAAACAAACAAACAAACAAACAAAAAACCCACAAACAACAACAACAACAACAAAAGAAACTGACGTCACTATACATCATTAATATCAGGTTTTTAATGATCTTGGGGGAAACTAAGGAGCTATGCATATTACTTATCTTTACGCAAAGTCTGCATGATTCTCAGCACATTTTTGTACTCACTTGGACAAGGGCTGAGTAAGTCAAGGAAAGTCATTGAAAAAGAGACCAAATAACCACCATGTATCTCAGTAACTCACCTGCCGCCAACCATCTGCCAAAAAGACTTAAGTGCCGTCCTCTTGTCAGGTGGTAGAATTTATCATTTCATAATGTTTTTATGTGATTCTCATTGTTTGATCACAAGTCAGATTTATTTATCATCTAAAATTAATCTTGGATCCTGGCTTAACAACCTTTTAATGATTTTCTAGTTCTCTTAAAGTCTTGTTCCTTAACATGGGATTGTGTATTTTCCTGCCTCTTTAGAAACATTTTTGGGACTCCTTTAGCTTGGTGATTTGTGACCTCATAAATAAATACTAGTTAAATGAATATTAGATAATTAGTGTAAAATGAGTTTGACTTTGAATTGTCAATTATCTTTAGGCACAATCATTAGTGTGGTGATGCATTCAAATAAGAGTTGATCAAACGGAGTAAAGGAGGTGATTTTTCTAGTCCAATCCCCACACTTTCCCACTCAAATGATAACTTCAAGATTGATTTGTGAATGTTTGGCATGAAAGCTTAAAAAAGACAGCTACATATTATAGGGTCCTAAAGGCCAGGAATTATTTCTCTGTAAGTACCTTTTTCATTTTCTCACAACACCTAATAGTTCTGTAGCATAGCAGGCCTCAATGCTTTTTTCTGTAATAATTACCATCACTACCACCAGACATTCTGATATGAAAATACACGGTTCTAACCTTTAATAGTGTAAATCTGAAATTTTAAAAGCTAAGTTGTTATTGAATTAAGAAAATATAAAATGACATCAATACTAAGGCCAAAAAAACCCTTTAATAGAAAAGGTCAAAATTAAGTGAGCTGTTTACTTAAAATTATACTTTGACTCATATTCATACAGTATATTTTGTAGAACCCAGCTGACCCTCCACCCCAAATCTATCTACTTACAAAAAGAGGGGTTTATGATTCAAATGCTATAGAAGGAGGAAATCTAATTTTGACCTTGAGTCAAACTGATGCCAAAGGGAGTTTATGGTTTTCTCTACTTTATAAGCTGTAATTGCAAATACAGTTTCCTTCATCTAAAAAACCATTCCACCCTGAAATTTTCAAACAAAAATAGTTTTCAGAAACATTGGCAAAAGATATCTTCAAAGGAAACTAACTAGTTTGAATTAAAAGGAAAGGGAGGAGAGAGATGGTGGATTTTTTTTTTTTTTGATGGTGGATATTTTTAAAGGGATTATGTTTTCAATATTTTGGGCACAAGATGTCTAATTCCTATTTTTTAAAGCATTTCTCATTTAAAATTTAAAGTAGATTAGTAACTTAAATGTGCTTAATTTGTAAATAAGATAAAAATAGCAAAAACGCGTATAAGATAACTTTAAGAGAAAAACAGTAATATAAAATCCTTTCTCTAAATATTAAGGAGAAACAAAGTTATCAGTAAATGCCATGAAATACTGAAATATAAGGGTCCATATCATATAATTAATACAAATGTAGTAATGGTATGAAATTTAGTGACCAAAAGTATTTTTGACTATTTTTGTCAGAATATTTGATATTATAACTTCATAATAACTTTAATTTCAACAAATAAATTATGTTAGTTGCCCCAATCCTGTTATTATGGTGTATGTATAGGTTAAACTTAAAATCCTAACTAACTTTGAGATTAACTGACTAATCACCTTTGCTGCAACTATTGGCTAACATTCAACATAAGACATGTTAGGTATCCAGTTTTACAAAGTTAGTATAATATTTCAGTAGATGAGAGGTTAGGGTAGCGCATTCAGTGGAAATGTCATTGCTTCTTACTCCTCATCACAGCAGGTTCCAAACTTTAATTTTCTCACTCCTTGTAAACACATAACTCTTTTCTTTGCATTGCGTATATATACATAGTTTTTTTTTTTTTAAGGTTCTCACACCTACTTTTGATTCCAGGGATTATTGAACATGGACTTTCATCACCAAAATCATATTCGACTGAGGTAGCACAAGGGAACACACTGAGTTAGTCTCAATATATTTTGAGCTTACCTTTGAATTAAATATATCAAATACAGAAATGGAAACTGGAGACATCTGAATCTTTGAGGTATCTCAGATATTGGACTGAAAGTTCATTTGTCTTTTAAATGGCCATCCTAATGTTAAGTTCAGAGGTTCTTATTCATTTCTAGAAGGAAATAATTAAATACATTTTTTAAAAGGAGCGGGAAAAAATATTCAGAGAAGCATAAAATTTTCTGAGAAGTAACTTTGTGTCAGGACAGGCTAAAACAATAGGCTTAGAATGGTAAAGCCAATTTCTGAAGTGATAGCCCCCAAAAATCCTGCCAAAAATAAATTGACTAACCAAGACAAAATAAAACAAACTCAAAACAAAAACAATCAGAAAACAAAGGTAATGTTTCAGAATTGTTGAAGTTATAACAGCCATTGTGAATATCCAATAAGACATATACCATGAAGTGAGACCGAAAGTTATTTTGATTGTGGAACCCTTAACAGGGTAAATGTTCTGCAGGCTCTCTTCAGGAAAAGATAAAAGATGTATGATTACAGTCTGTAAAATATGTAAGATACAAAAGTTTCAGAGAATTAGAAGCTGATTTTAGAAAAGTAAGATTAGGTGAATATTCTCTGAAATTTGAAGAAAATATTCACAAATAAAATGGAAGTCTTTCTGATGTGGTATATATTGAAAATAAATGGTATAAAGAAAAGTTTAAAAACTTAAAGGGTACTTCTACCTTTGATCACTAGGAGGGAAAGTTAGAGATGGTTTTGTTAAGTCCTTAAATGTGCAGGGTGACACTACTCAAATCATTCCCTAGGGCCACTAGCAGAAAGAGAATATTAAAGTTGGGCTAGGCTCCTACCCAGCAGAACAATTCATAGAATCTTAATCTGTTAAGCTGGAAAGGACATTAAAGAACACCCAGTCCAGCCGCCTCATTTGACAGATACGGGAACTGAGATGCAGAGGGGCTGAGTCATTTGTCCAATGTTATGCACTTGGTGACAGGCTGGAATAGAAATATGGTTTCTTAATCCCTGGTCTGAAGTTTTTTCCACTATGGAATATTGACTAATCGGGGGCATCTCTATGCTTACTCAAAGCCAAAAACTATGTTATTCATAATGTGGATTGCCTTCTTACACAGGTAAGTGGGTTAAATAGAGCTAAATGCCATTACAACTATTGTGATTATTCGAGCTGGCTGACTTGATCTACCTGCTGGGGATCTATCTTCAACCACAAAGACCTGCAAAGGAGTCCACTGTCCTGTAACGTAATATTGTTACTTTGGGGTCAAAACAATTATGTGAAAGTTCTTGCAAGAAAAGTTATCTTTTAGACACCCTTGTATTCTTACCATTTCCCTAAATAATGGTACCTTATCTTAGAGAAAAATGGAGCTTAGATACCCACATACGCTGGGCTGAACTCAGTTGGCCATTCTTGATGTTTCCATGTGGAGAGATGAGGAGATAATCAAGGAATAGAATCTTCTAGTATATGGCTATGCTTAGTTTATGTCATGAAGAAGAGAAGGAGATTGTCTATCAGGATGGAAAATAACAAATTAGAATGTTAATCAATTAAACATTTTGCCTATAAAATTGGACTGTAATTATTGACACATCCATTAATAGAAATGCTTTTTTCCATACAGTAATCCCATGCAGGGTACTCGTATGGTCCTTAGCCTTTAATGCTCCTGGTATTTCGTGATAAATATTTACTTTCAAGTTAGAAAGAAAAAACTCACATATTTAAAAAAAGAGGAAGGTACTTCAAATCCATTATGTTTTACATCATTTTCTTTCTATTTAATTCTTCTTTTAGGTTTAGAATAAGTGTATATCGAATACATTTTTAGGCCAAATTCCCAATGGCTAAGTATTGGATCAACATTTTTTGGAGGCTGATGCTAGATACCATCATAGAATGAACTCCTTAGATATAATACAAAATGTGAACTGTAACTGCAATTATGCTTATATAATAAAAAATTTAGTAATCAGATTTTAAAAGTTTGACATCATGGTACAGGAATGAATATTCATATTATTGTCAATCTATATCCCTATTTCTCAATTTAACAGCTTAAAGATTCTTATTTGTTTTCTGTGTAAGCTTACTAGCTTTCACAATCTTCCCTAATTTTGCAACACTGCTCTTCCAATACTTACAGCACATAAGGAAATTTTAATTCTAAGTTATATCTGTACATTCAAAATGAATATTCAAATATTAAACAGTACATTAGGATGACCTTTCTTGTTGGCACATCCCTTCTTTGCTGATTGTACATGGTAGTAACCTATAAAAGACACACATGATGATGACAGTGATGTAGGTTTGTGGCTATTTGACTTTCCAAAGGCCAAAGAGGAAGCTGTAGTTGAAACCAAACAGTAAATCTTGGCCGAATATAAAAATTGAAGTCAAACTTCACTACGTCTCTAATTCAGAGTTTGGTGGAACATTTCAATAAACACAACTTATTTTTTCTTTATAGTTTATTCTTTTCATCCTTTTCTGAAGAAATGACTAGACATTTTAAACTGAAATCCATGAATTCCTCTGAGATCCACAAGATGGTGCTATAAAGTGGCATTTAGAAAATTTTGACAAACCATATGACTTCCAGGAGCAAATACTTATTAGGCACGGTCAAATAATTATAATTTAACAATATCAGCTACAGATAAATGGTATTTTTAAAAGGCAATAGTAAACTAAATTCGTTAAAATAAAGGAAGTATACCTTTACTCTTAATGTTGTTTTTAAATATTCTGTCTCATAAATTATATTTTTGTTGACTCTGTTTTCAATCTCGGGTTTTAAGACTATTTTGTGAGAAGATTAAGAATTGATTTGGATCTCAACAAGGCTAAATCATATTAGAGAAAGTACTGAACTGAATTGGAGACCAATCCCTGCTCTCCACCTGAATTGCTGTAACCAGTCTTCTTTCCATCTCTTCCAGTGGTTCTCAACCAAGGGCAATTTTGCCCTTGGCAGGTCTTTGGCAATGTCTGGAGACATTTTTGGTTTTTCCAGCTGCATGGGTGGGGGTGGAGGGAACTGCTGCTGGCATCTAGTGGGTAGAGGCCAGGGATGCTGCTAAGCGTCCTTTAGTGCACAGGACAGCCTCCCACAACAAAGAATTACACTGCTCAAAATATAACAGTGCCAAGGTTGAGAAATTGACCTATTCATTCACTTCCTTGTTGTTGGTTTGTTTGTTTATTCATTAATTCGTCCACGCATTCATTCACTGATGCATATACTTATCCACCATCAGTCCATGAATTCATTCCTTCAACACATTTTTTACAATGTGCCTGCCATGATTCAAGACTGGACTAAGGGCTGTAATGGCTCATGCCTGCAACCGCAGAACTTGGGAGGGCAAGGCAAGAGGATTTCTTGAGGCCAGGAGTTTGAGATCAGTCTGGGCAACGCAGTGAGACTGTGTCTCTAACAAAATTTTAAAAATTAGCTGTGTGTGGTGGCATAAGACTGTAGTCCCAGCTACTTAGGTGGCTGAGGAGGGAGGATTGCTTGAGCCAAGAAGGGCGAGGCTGCAGTGAGCCATAATCACACCACTGTACTTCATCCTGAGCAGGAGCAACCCTGTATCTAAAAAAAAAAAAAAAAAAAGATACAAAGATAAGGACTATCCTGTTTCTATTTAATCTGACAGGAGAGAGAGATGCTTATGAAATAATCTAAACAATAATATGATGTGATTAGTGTTTCATTTCTAAGTGTAAGATGTTCTAGGAACAAAGAAATTATTTAATGAATCCTAGGAAAGAGGATAGAATTCAGGAAGTCTTCACAGAGATGGGGGTTGTTTATTGGATGGGTGGGTGAGGCCATGGAATGAAATTTTGAGCAAAGCACAAGCAAAGCCAGAGACATGTAATAGTTTAAAGTGTTTGGTGAGCAGGTACTCTTAGGGTATGAAATTAGAATGAGGAGGGTTGGGAAAAGGAATGGAGAAAATACTTAAACAATTGAGCAGGGCCACTCTGGGAAGGGCCCTGGACTTCATCCTCCAGGTATGTAAAGTTTAAAATAGGATTGGGGGCAGTGGCTCATGCCTGTAATCCCAACACTTTGGGAGGCTGAGGCGGGTGGATCACGTGAGGCCAGGAATTTGAGACCTGCCTGACCAACATGGCGAAATTCATCTCTACTAAAAATACAAAAATTAGCTGGGTGTGGTGGCACAAGCCCATAATCCCAGCTACTTGGGAGGCTGAGGCATGAGAATCCCTTGAGCCTGGAGGCAGCGTTTGCAGGGAGGCGAGGTTGCAGTGAGCAGAGATTCTTCCACTGCACTCCATCCTGGGCAACAGGTCGAGACTCTGTCTCAAAAATAAATAAATAAATAAAATAAAATAGAAGAGTGATATTAGACATGTAATAATTACCCTCTTTAGGCCTGGGTTTCATACCCTTAATGTGAGAAACATGTCAGGTTTCCTCTAGCTTTTAAACCATGTTTTATAATTAGACAGTCAATCCATTAGATATATTACATACTGTATACTATTAGATTTATATTACAACTTGCAATAAAATCACATCTATAAAGAACATTTTTTAATATATAAAAACTGTGTTGTCACAGACATTTACTTTCATTATGATGAGCAAAATATTATATATTCCTATTAAAATGTTTGGTGTTTGTTTTAAGGCTGGACATACTTGAGTAGATCAAGTTATTCTGCAGAATAGAGTCTTCCAGGCCAGGCACTGTGGCTCACGCCTGTAATCCCAGCACTTTGGGAGGCCGAGGTGGGCAGATCACGAGGTCAAGAGATCAAGACCATCTTGGCCAACATGGTGAAACCCCATCTCTACTAAAAATACAAAAATTTGCTGGGCGTGGTGGTGTGCACCTGTAGTCCCAGCTACTTGGGAGGCTGAGGCAGGAGAAGCACTTGAACAAGGGAGGTGGAGGTTGCAGTGAGCCAAGATCATGCCACTGCACTCCAGCCTGGCGACAGAATGAGACTCTGTCTCAAAAAAGAAAAGAAAAGAAAAAAAGAATACAGTCTTCCAGTTGGTTTATTACTACGTCAATAGCTAATTGAGGTTGCACCAGAATAAATTTTAAAAATATTTTCCCCTCCAACTTCTCTACTCTTGTATTTTTATCAATACATTTTAGACAGTCTAATTAGATACAACTAGTTTAGCAAGTTTTATAGTTTGAAAAATTACTTCAAAAGTATTAGTGTTTTACAGAACACTAAAACTGTGGCGAGTCCTTTGTGTCTTACATTAATAAATAAAGAAAACCTGATATGAAAAGTTGTGTGGGCCGGGCGCGGTGGCTCACGCCTGTAATGCCAGCACTCTGGGAGGCCGAGGTGGGTGGATCACGAGGTCAGGAGATCGAGACCATCCTGGCTAACACGGTGAAACCCCATCTCTACTACAAAAATACACAAAAAAATTAGCCGGGCGTGGTGGCGGGCGCCAGTAGTCCCAGCTACTCAGGAGGCTGAGGCAGGAGAATGGTGTGAACCCAGGAGGTGGAGCTTGCAGTGAGCCGAGATTGCACCACTGCACTCCAGCCTGGGCGACATAGTGAGACTCCGTCTCAAAAAAAAAAAAAAAAGAAAAGTTGCGTGAATTTTTTTTGAGTAAAATCAGTAGCGATAAGATGAATATTTGATATAATTTGATTCTGATTTACAAAATATATGTTTTTATATGTTTTTATATTTGTAATTTAAATTTGGCTTTAAAATATGGGTGGCTGAAGCCACTGCTGCACACAGTTCTGTAGTCATTCAGAACTTAAGGTCACAGAATAGATCAAATGGAGTAACATGAGATATAAGTTAAAAAAAAAAAAACCAAAAAGGTGAGGGTGCAGAGAACAAAAATGGCCCCCATATCTAAATAAAATACAGAAAACCCAGAAATCTCCTATAAGGAACACGTCCATCCTTTTGCCCAAAATAGAGAAATGAAAATACTGATGTTTAAAGTCACAGAGGTATTGGGAAGGGCAGGGCTGTATTACAGTCTTCAGAACTGGTTAATGATACAGTAACTGAGCCACTTTCATTCTTGCCTGTTGTTTGAACTATAATTACCTGCCCTATTTGATTGCATCTTTTGGAATCCTCCTTCCTCCTTCCCCCAAATCTTGATCGTTATGGTTTCTATACCACATTTCCTCCAGTATTAATTCAAGTCTTTGATGGAACATTTCAGATTTGAATATTCATCCATATTTATTTCCTCTGCAGAAATTAAGACCCATCCAATAATTTACAAAGCAATGTGGATTTTCCACAGCACTTGCTTTTCTTAGACAAGGTCTCACTCCTGGGCTCAAACTATCCTCCCACTTCACCTCCCGAGTAGCTGGGACTACAGGTGAGCATGACCATGCCTGGCTAATTTTTGGATTTTTTTTTTTTTTGGTAGAGATGAGGGTCTCCGTATGTTGCCCAGGCTGGTCTTGAACTCCTGAGCTCAAGCAATTTGCCCGCCTTGGCCTCCCGAAGTGCTGGGGTTACAGGTGTGAGTCACCGTGCCCAGCAGCACTCGCATTTTGAGACCACATCATAGATCTCTTTTCGAGAGAGGGCTAATTTTCAAAAGATAAGAACATTGTATGATGTTATAAAAAAGGGGTTCAAGCCCAAGAAAAGTGTTTGAACTAGTTCGTGGTTTTGAAGGGACCTTAGGGTTAGGCACAGGCTGTGGAAGAAGTAGATACAGGGTGGGTGGGGGGCGAAAAGTGCAGGACAGTGGGACACCCAACTCTCCACCCCAACCCCCTGCTTCCATCAGCCACTCTGCTTTCGTCTCTATTGTCTTATTTCAGGTGAGGTGTAATTTTTTTTGAGACAGGGTCTCGCTCTCCCAGGCTGGAGTGCAGTAGCGTGATCACAGCTCACTGCAACCTTGACCTCCTGGCCTGAAGCCATCCTCCTGCCTCAGCCTCTCCAAAGCTCTGAGGTTACAGATGTAAGCCACTGTACCAGGTGGAGGCAGAATTTGAACAAAGGGTTATGAGGAGATGCCAGATGATCTCTAAGGTCCCTTCTGCCCTGTAGTGGCAGGGAACTTTTGTTTTCAAATCTTTGACATGAGCATAGACCTTTAAGCTAAAAGAGTTGAATAATAACTGAGAGACACAGGATAGGATAAAGAAAACTTGTAGGCTAGGCACGGTGGCTCATTCCTGTAATCACAGCACTTTGGGAGGCTGAGGCAGGCAGACTGCTTGAGTTCTGGAGTTCAAGACCAGCCTGGGCATCATAGCAAACCCCGTGTCTACAAAAAATACAAAAATTAGCAAGGTGTGGGAGCACATGTCTGTAGCCCCAGCTATTAGCCAGGTGTGGTGGCACGTGCCTGTAGCCTCAGCTACTCAGGAGGCCTAGGTGGGAGAATCACCTGAGCCTGGGAAGTAGAGGCTGCAGTGACCCATGATCAACCACTGCATTCCATCCTGGGCAAGAGTGAGAGTCTGTCTCAAAACAAAAATAAACACAAAAAACCATGTTAAAAAAAAAAGGCACCAAAATAAAATTTAAAAAAAAGAAAAAGCACCAACAAATTAATTTTTTCCCCTTCTTCCTAAGAAATCAAAAATTTTCTATTTAAATGTAATGAAAAGATACATTCATAAAAGTTAAATTCCTTCCAACGCTGAGCTATATAGTAAAAACCAAACAAACTAGCATGAAACCCTCAGTTTGAGTGTCCTGCAGAGACAGGGCTTGGAGATCTACCCAAATGCAGGAGAACTGGTTCTCTCCACAAGGAGCTCCTTTTCAAAAACAAGGGGTGCCTCTGAACACCCACCTGAATTAGGATGTGGCAAACACGACATGCAGGCTTTTGTTTTGGGTCTCTGATTTCTGTGCATGTAGGACCTTCCCCTCTTGGTGTCCGTAAGAGTTGCCATTCATTTGCATATACATAGGGACATTAAACAACAACAGCCCTGTGAAGGTGTGGAGAGCATGACTGGCCATTGCTGGACTGACACAAGATGTTGGCAGTTACCGTTCACTGGTTGGCATTTTTAAGTAAATATTTATTGATAAAAACCTCATAAAACAACAAAAATTCACGTTACTTAGGGGAAAATGTGTCTAAGCATTCCCAGCATTTTTTGAATGTAATGATACATTTTGTGAATTTTAGTAGCTTTGGAAATAACCTTAATGTTGTCCCAAAAGTTAAAACAAATTTTCAGCAGAAATTCAAAGTCTGTTTTAGGAATTGTTTTTCATCTGCAATATAACTAAGAGTTATGAAGAAGCAGCTTTGGAGAGAGGCTCTAGAAAACACTTCATTTCATCTGCATTATGCCCAGGTTCCTTAATAAAGGAAAGCACAACTGAATGACTACATGGAAGGTATAAAAAGGCAAAGAATGAATTAAGGGGCAGGTGGATCATAGACTTTTAACTTTTGGCTAGTTACATGAGATACTCCAGCTGTGAATGCATAGCAAGTGATTCCATTTTAAGCTAATAACTATGCTTACATTTTAGCCTACTGGTCTTTCTTGAAAGAGACATTGGCAGACTAAAGAGAAAGAACCCAATCCATATTGTGTAAAGAGAAAGTGATTTCAAAAATATTAAGGTGAAAAATAAATTGTTAATTTTCAAAATTCTATGGTTCCCCACACCCTTCCTTCATCCAGACAAAAATGGCTAGTGATCATTTTATGTAATTAATACACAGGTGTGTGGGGAATGGAGGTGTTTCTGTTAGTTGCTGTCACTTTTTTCTGGACATCAACCTCCTTTTCTTCGCTTAAATTAATAGCACAGCTTCTGTCACTCCAAACTAATAATGGCAGCAGTGAAACCTATTTGCTATTTTAGAAAAATGACTAGTAGAACACATATTTCATAATATCACATGATAAAACAATTTAAAATTCACAGGTAATTAAAAACACTTCACTGTCCTATAGTGACAACTAAGATCACTTTAAAAAATCCCTCATTTATCAGACCACATTTATATGCAAGGAGAAATAAAATCTTTTCACGTTCCATGAGGGAAGAAGATAGAATGAAGTCTGACGTAGTGCAAAAATGTGATTAAAGTGAAACAAGTTGCAATAAGAATTAGACTTCTGTCTTTCTAAGGATAATTCTCTATTCATGTTTTCCTGAACACAAACAAATGCTACACCAAAAAAAAACAACCCATAATATAGATAGTATTAATTAGGAGGTTCTTTAAAAACATTTCAAAATTCTGCTGCACAATAGGAAACCTAATTTTCATACTCTGAAATGTATCAGGTACGTAAAGTTGATTCTTTTCCTAGTTCCAAGAAGGTTTTGCCTTCTTTTTCTTTTTCTTTTCTTTTCTTTTTTTTTTGAGATGGAGTCTCGCTCTGTTGCCCAGGCTGGAGTACAGTGGTGTAATCTTGGCTCACTGCAAAGCTCCACCTCCTGGGTTCACGCCATTCTCCTGCCTCAGCCTCCTGAGTAGCTGGGACTACAGGCGCCCGCCACCATGCCTGGCTAATTTTTTGTATATTTAGTAGAGACAGGGTTTCACTGTGTTAGCCAGGATGGTCTCGATCTCCTGACCTTGTGATCTGCTCACCTCGGCCTCCCAAAGTGCTGGGATTACAGGCGTGAGCCACTGCGCCCAGCTCTTTTTTTTTTTGAGACAGAGTCTTGCTCTGTCACCCAGGCTGGAGGGCAGTGGCACAATCTTGGCTCACTGCAACCTCCACCTCCCAGGTTCAAGTGATTCTCATGCTTCAGCCTCCTGAGTAGCTGGGATCACAGGCATGCAGCACCATACCTGGCCAAGTTTTGTATTTTTAGTAGAGACAGGGTTTCACCATGGTGGCCAGGCTGGGCTCAAACTCCTGACCTCAAGTGATCTGCCTGCCTTGGCCTCCTTAAAGTGCTGGGATTACAGGTGTGAGCCACTGCGCCTGGCTTGCCTTCTTTTGAAATAAATTGGCTGTCTCCTATCTATGGAGGTCTAGAAACTCTTGAACAGAGTATGAATTATATGTCTCCACTGGCCTGGAAATTTCTATCCTTGACATTGTTGGTTTTGTTGCCCATTTTGTGGGGCAGAAGAAAGGATGCAGGCAGGGCGGAGTGGCACAGTTTCCTCTCAGGCCTACAATCAGAAACAGGTTGGCACAAGCGGACAATCCCAGGGCCAGGATCAGGGTGAGGTCAGTGAGGCTGAGTTGAGAGGCAAGTGCAGGGTCGGATCCTGTCTTTACTTAAGATTTTGATATTTTGTTCACCACATTTCTTTTCTGCATTAATTTTTATTTTAAAAAATGTCGCATCCCTGAGTTTTTTGGCACCTACTTACATTTTGTGCCCAGGGTGAACGCCTCACTGACCTTACCTTCATCCTGGCCCTGCTCAACCAACACCTGGGCTGTGGGCTCAGGTAGATCTGTGAGGCCACAGTGAGCACAGCCTCTCCCTTTTACCCTCTTCAGCTCAGTTGGGTCAGGAAAGTCTCCTACAAGAACTAAGTTCTCCCTGCTTGCAAAAACGAAAACAAAGGGTAAAGAAAAGTGTCCTCTTTGTCTAACAGGAAGCCAATGGGAGTGTTACAGAACAGCAGTTGTCGTAGATAGAACTGACCCATGGGAGTTTCAGTTGCTCTATTCCAGGGCTTATATCTTTCTGGACAGGAACCATAATGAGCAAAAGAACTAATGCCCACAAGGTGAATTTAGCAGAAGAATCAAGGAGTCAGAATAATACATTAATTCAAAAAGTAGGAAGACTCCCTCCAAAGAATGCTAAGTTAAATAAAAATGAGAGACTTAAGATGCACACAGAAATGTGACATAAAGCTCTTTTATGTAGTGAAATGGGCAGGAGTACATGCGGTACACCTAAAGTAACCGATGGTAACTTTCCATTCTTGAAGAGAACAAAATAATACTTTCAATCGTATCGCTAAACTTCTCATGGGACAGGTTGGTATGTGTCTCCTTGTATTTTCCAAAAATACATGCTTACCCTCCTCAGGCAGGGGCCGGATGCTGCCCCCCACAAAGAACACTGGGGCCCTGCTTTCTCTCCATTTGGGTTTGAAGTGAGTAGAGTGGAGAAAGGGATGCTTTCAGAAATGTTATCTTACTTAATGCCCCCATAGCCTGTAGCTCCGTAAGGAACAGTCTCTCGGGAGAAAGAGAGGATTAGGAGCTGTGGGGGGAAAAGCTTTCCTTCTGGCAGTTTCTACAGCTAGAACCATGAAGCCCCCAGGTGTCACACTGTTTTCTCTGGAGAAATATTATAAGATTAGATGTAATGTTATTACGCTGTCTCATTTGGCAAGTAGTATCATTATCCGATTGTTTGGAAAGGTGAAATACAGGGGATTCTGGTTCTTTGCCCTACCATGGAAGGAACATTTGGACACCACATTACTTTTTTTGGAAAACGGAAGCTAAAGCTAGAGGCCAAAAAAGCTCTCAAAAGAGAAGATGAAGAAAGTTAGGAATATTGGTCTGATTAAAAAGCTCTCAAAATTATCTAGTGAATGCTGACATTAGATAGGTATTGGTCTTTAGGTAATAACATGGGTATGTATCTACTTTATGCACTTCTATGCAGATTTAGTAGAAAAAAATACCTAAATATATATTTAATTCCATAGGATCCCAGTGCATTTTGAGGATTTAAACAGATAAGCCAACCTCAAAGGGACTGATTCTTGCAACTAAAACACAGACACCTCTGGGGTGAAATGTGGCAACAGTTTGACAGGCATAGCAGTAGCTTAGGCCAGAAAGGATTTATCCAATTAAAATTATGGGATGAATTTTGGCTGGCAGAATGTAATTACCAGCCTTGGAATGGATCCAGGATCCTGAGGTTAACACCCCTCCTCTTGCCAACAACCCTCCTACCTGCCAACACTCCGAGATGGAGAAGGCTGGATCTGACATAATCGCACATAATACTGTTGTGACATCTAAGTACAATGATGATGATGTGAGAAGCATCATGAACCTGATTTTTTTTAACACTCATTATGTTACTTATTTTTATGCCACATTAGGCTAGAAACCAAATGTCCACATAAATGTTAATTTCCTCAAATCTGTGTTTAAAAATTATAATTAGAAAATAAAAAATAGATTTAAAAATTAATTTATTCCGTCAAAGTAGTTATTTAGTGATTATTTCACTACAGGAACAAAATTGGATCAAAATGGTGACATTTAATCCTTGCTACACGAAAAAAAAAAAAGCAGGTCCTGATTTTTTGGAAGCGAAATGTGTTTTCAAGGTTGAGTGGCCTAGAAAAAAAGGAAATGCGGAAGCCTGATTCATATTCGTTGTAACTTTGACTAAATGGGTATGCGCAAGGACTGCTTTTGTCCCGGGGTGGGTCCAGTTCACAGTCACGGGGGGCACTAATCCTCCAGGAGGGGATTTACCAGAAGGGTGTGTGTGAGTGCGTGTGTCCCTTCCAAGGAAACGAGAGAAGAGCCCCCTGCTGGTGCATGATCAATAGGCAAAGACCTGATCATTAGATGCCAATGCCCCTTTAAAGTCATTAATTGACTAGAGAATTGTGGAGGGTCTGGCGATACGGAAGAGCAAACGAAAAGGCAACACTGATAAAAATCTGAAGCGTTCAAGGACGCCAGGCACGTGGTGCCGGGTCAGGGAGGGAGAGGCAGAGCCAGCCCGGTCGGTGTGCGGCTGGGGTGGGGCGCGCTCCGGGCGTCCGGGAGGCGGAGCCGGCGGCAGACGCTGCGCGCGGGCCACGCGCGGCGGCGGAGGCTGCGCGCGGGCCACGCGCGGCGGCGACTTGGGCTGGGCGGTCGCCCTGCCCCACCGCCCTTCGGCGCTCGCAGGTCCGCTCCCCTCCCAAACCGCAGAGCGGCAGGCGCGGCCGCTGGTTCGAGAGCTCGGCCGGGGCAGCGCAGCCGCCGGCTGCCCCTCGCTCCCAGGCGCCACAACCCCGCGCCCTCGCCGCTGCTGCGTCCCGCGAGACCTGTGGGGAGGCCGGGAGTCACTTCGGGTTCCCTTTCAGCCCACGTGGTCCTGGGACACTCCACCCAGGAACCTAGTCGGCACCGCGCAGGGAATCCCAGCAGCGGGGTTCTGGCCCCAGCACGCGTTGCGGCAGCCTGGCGAGCGTCCTTGCGGCCTCCAAGTGCCGGTGGGGTGCGTGCGCAGGGGGCAGGTGAACTGCTGCACTTTGCACTTGCTAGGCTAGGTTCTCCGCGGGTGGGGAGGCGCGGGGGCGGGGGACGGCCGAGTGTTTAATCTATCACCAGAGGTCATCCAATGGTAATTGAAGGATGAGCTGGGAGGACTAGGATCTCCCTGTCCCAAACACAGAGTGTTTTGGGGGGCTTGCGTTTGGGTCACTTTCTGAGCCTGGTACTGCCGCTCATTTCAGCTTCGCTGTGAAGGTGAATTTTTCTAACACCATCTTTGTGTGATTTAGCTGTCCACAGGGAATCAAAATGTGGAATGAGAGGATGAAACTAATCCTTTCTTTTGCACTGTTAGGGGTTGCCATAAACACCATTTGTTAAAAAGCATAATTATGTTGGGAAAGTGCCTGATGAGACAATTAAGCTGCATAAACACACTGAAAACAAATGAAAACCAGAAGACGCCCACACCCCTTGTGTAAAGCAATTTTTTGTTTACATAGAAACGAGAGGTCTGGGTTGCTTTATTACAACAATGTTATTAATATCTAGAAAAACCTAATGACAGAATTTTTATGAATTTTCAGTGATGAGATGATGGACATGATATGAAAACCTGCCTGCAAACCTGAGCTAGCTACGAAGCCTGAGCTCTCTCTAGGTTAAGATGATTAGGCCAACGAATGATCCTGGCGAACAAGCCAGTGGATTTATTGAGGGAGAGCACCATTATTTGCACCAGAGCACTTTTAGCTTAAACTCTAAAGTTTAACGCGTGTCTCAGAGTTAGACCACTGTGGTTGGTATCCCTCACACAGGGAACAGTGGTTGGTATCCCTCACACAGGGAACATTACCTGTCAGAAAAAGACCCTCATTAAATATTTGTTGAATGAATTCATGAGGGCCTCATCTATTTTTAGTTATGGTATTTAAAAGAGACCAAAGTTATGAGGTCCTGAACTTGAAGAGGGAAATTATTTTCTTATTATTTTAAGATGTTTTAATTCCTTTAGATCATGAATATCATTTGAAGTATGGAAAGATGTGTCAAAAATGCTATTCTAGAGTACTAAAAAGTATCAAAGCAACCTCCAAAACCTGTATAATTAATTTTCAACAAAAATCACATTTTTGATATTATTGAATAATATGTATCAGAATATGTATCATCTTTCAAGTTACAGAATTTTGTAAAAAGACTTTAAACTGATTTAGAAACTTTGGTGGAACAAGGAGGAACTTAGACAATTGTCATGTAAACCATCCAAATGGCTTCCTTATTTATTTGTATAATGTCCATGGCATGGCCTGTAGACACTTTCATTTTTGCTGCAAGAATTTCTTTTATAAGAATCCACATATTAAATAATCTTCCTCATTTTCTTTTTCTGCATTTCCCCACTAAGTCTAGTTTAACAACAAAAAAAACATACCTGTTTGTAAAATAGTACAGACCTTGAAAACAGGGATAAGGCTAAGGAAAACTATGCTTAAAATGGGATAACATACTTTAATGAAAAACTTTCACTTACATGATGAAATTCACGCTGAGGACCCTGCCAGGTATTTTCCAGTGTCGTTACAAGGTTTATATGTATGTGACCATGTACACATGGTTTCTTATTTTAGTCAATCTGGAGATTTTATGCTTTAGAATTTTTCTAGGAATGAAATAGTAAAGTGCTCATATTATGACTGCTTCGTTTCCAAAAAGTTATGATTTTTTTATAGTTAAAACATGAAAATATGAATCAACTCTAGAGACACATAAAAATTTTTCTCCTATTCCAGAAAAATCATGTCTTCTTCCAGAGTGGGGCTCCGTTTGGCTGCCTGTTTACTAAACGTTTCAGAAGCCGGAAGAAAATACATTGTTGAGAACATAGCAAAAGCAGCTCTTCTTGACAAAAATGGTAGGAAAAACAGACAATTGAAGCTGAATATTATAGTGTTTTGATAATTTAGTAATTTTTGTACTGTGCACACTGTATCTACAGAACACTTTTCTTTCTTTCTTCCTGAATTTTCCTCCTTGCTCTTGAGCTGTTGCAGCTCTGCGCAACTCCAGGATACTGAGATAGCTCAGTTACTCAGATGTGCACATATGCTCTTTTCCAAATGTCTGCATACGCTCAGCAGCGCAGCTCTTAACATTTGCGTGTGAATCTCTGAGATGCGTGTTGTTCAGGATATTGACAGGCTCCTGGGGAGGATGTATTTACATAAAAGTATAATGTTTCCCTCATGGGTCGTTTATTTGATCATTAATAGAATGAGCATAATCGTACCTTATGCTTTTTATTGAGCAGATTAAATGAAAAATAAACTTGCCAAATACCAACTACTTTTCCCAGCACTCCTGCCAGCAAAGCCCATGCAATCATTACAGTATTATTATTTCTACCCTCTTTTCTCTGTATAGACACTGTTAGGCAAGTGCATTTAAATGATGCGCTTAAGATCACTCAGCAATTTGGTGACAGAAGACTGGAACTCATGCCTCCTTATTCCCTCGGCCAGTATTACTATGAAAGATACTGCTCTTTAAAAAACATTTCATTTTTTAAAATGTTCCTGTGGTGACACATGGTTAGGTATTATTTGTCTTTACTTTGACACACACACTAATACACACAACAGTGTATACAATCATTTAAATAGAATGCTGTTATTAAATCAATAACTTTTTGGCAACAGGTGAAACCAACCCTAAAGCATTTCAGACAGTAAATTTTAATTTCCGATTGTCATTTTTAATGTGGTTACTGCTTTTCATAAGAAAGAAGTGTTTTCCCCCAACCCATCTTAACTGTGAGCACATTTAAGTTACTGTCTTGCAACTTTGCAGGAGCTAGAAATGTCTATGAAAATTCCTGATAATTGCTGATAAGAAAACTTCTTTGGAGTTGGTATGCAGCTGTGATTTTGCATGCTTTTTGTGGAAAGAGCCAGCTCGGGCTCTTCATTGTCAGAAACAGTACATCTAATGGGATTGGGTTGCCTGTCTCTGTGATTAAGTGAATGTGCAGAGACATTTGTGGAAGACACACACTGATGGATGCCTGGGTCTCAACTCACAGTTTTTATCAGCTTATTAGTGGCAGCAGCTCAAATGGAATTATAGCTATTATACTCCATTACAAATACCAAACAATTTACTTCTGCTGAGATTCACACTGACAGCTCCTCTTGCCAGCAGTAATTTCTTTTCTATATGCATGCTTAAGAAATTGCAGGAGAGTGTTTTATTCTTTCAGCATTTGATTCAATTGAATCATATGAAACTGAGAATAAAAGCTTTTCAGGAGAAGATTTAGGATGAAAAAAATTACATCATATCTCGTTTCTTCCAGGAGTTAGAGTATGTTGAAAAACTATATAAAATAGGAAGTTGCATGATCTTCTTCTTACTTCATCTTTTGTAGTTTTCAAAATGCAAGGAAGGTAGCACTAGTTAAGAAAATGAACCTTTTTTTTTTACAAATATTTTAAAGGCATTTATTTTTAAGTGAGTGGAATAAAACCATATAAACTGTATTTTTTTTTTCTAATTAAGCAATGTGAGCACATTTAAATGGCCTAGAAAGGTCTTAGGTAAAGGAATCTGAGTAATAAATTTTAGACCTACACCAGGGCAGGACTCTACAGATGCTCGTTTGGCCATGAGTGAGTGACATATGTTTATCTTCTCACATTATTAAAATTAATAGTGTAGGGCTGTTCTAAGCTCTGTAGTTCCTGGGTGTAACTTGTTTTTCCTTTCCTCTGAAAAGATTAATTGTTAAGCTGCCAGGGGACAAGGAGACAAGGTATAATAGCATAACCAAAGGTTTAATTACCGCCTGAAAACTTTTGTCCTTCACTTTGAATTTGCTTTTGTAGGCTTAAGGGGGACTTTTAAGAAGCCTGGACCATGCTTGTAAACTTCAAAAATAACTCTAGGGTTATGTATGGCTGCCACACAAGGGAATGTCAGCTTTCTCCTCCAGGTTACACATATTCAAGAGAGTCACAAACCACCAAAAGCTGGAAGTTGTTAACATCTGAAGGCTGTTGGTGGCCTCCGAAAAGGAGATGGTGGACTCAGAACAGTTTCTAATGGACAGGTGCATGCGTCTCAAAAACCTCTGCTCTGGGCACTAATTGGTCTATTCTAGTTTTACCAGATGTCAGATCTTGACCCAAACAGTTTAGTTTCTGGATTTTGGAAGGAAATATTGACAAGGCCTAGGTGATGAGATTGATAAGGAACAGGATTTAGAGCCATATGATTTGGCTATTGAAGAAAGGAGCTACCATCTTAGACTGAGTTAAGGGAATTTTGGCAAATTCAGTAGCAAGTCCAAAAGAGTGTCTCTTATAGACATCAAAAGCTTGTGTCTGAGCTGAGCCATCTGGTTATACAATAAGATGCTGTAAGAAAAGTGGACATTGCCTCTCATGAATTTCATGTTTATTCAATGTCACTTCCAAAAGTCACATCCCAGAATTTTTCCACTAAGCTAAATTTAAATATACCAGAAGAAATTAACTATTAAGGTTTTATCACAGAAAAAAAATTCTTGCACTTCTGTCTTGTTTTTTTTACAGGAAAGAAACATCCTCAAGTTTCAGTGCTCAATATATTTTCCGATCAAGACTACAAGAGATCAGTCATTACAATAGCAACTTCTGTTGATAAGTTGGGTAAGATTTCAGTTTCTTTCTTTACATATATGTCTTTTTTTTGGTTCAGGTAGACCTGAACATTCTCTAATCATTGATTTCCTCTGTAAATATGAATACTCCCCTCTATTAAGTAAAGAGTCTACCACAAAGCTACACTTAATCATTTTTCTGAACATGTAAATCTCAAAGAGTCTCCATTTCCTCTTTGTTACAGTGAACCTTGGGGTCCAAGATTTCATAACTTTTTTTTTTTTTTTTTGCTGAAGGTGATCACATATCCTTTGGGGTTAAGAAAAGACATCTTCAGGTTTTAGCCTGTGAAGTAATAGTGTTGAAGTCAGCTTTCATTTCACTGCTAAGCTGGCATAGAATGAAACATGCTAAGCAGTGCATTCTGGGTTGGGAGCTTGAGATCTGGAGTTGGGCCATGAGTTGACATGTCTTATAGGGACATTGTAAGGTTTAGTAGAGAGCTTACAGATAACTTCAGCAAGCATAGGACAGATTATCTTTTTTTTTTCGAGATAAGAGTCTCACTCCATCACCCAGACTGGAGTGCAGTGGCCCGATCTCGACTCACTGCAACCTCTGCCTCCGGGGTTCAAGCAATTCCCATGCTTCAGCCTCCTTTGTAGCTGGAATTACAGGCACACACCACCATACCTGGCTAACTTTTTATATTGTTTTCAGTAGAGATGGGGATTTGCCGTGTTGGCCAGGCTGGTCTCAAACTCCTGACCTCAAGTGATTTGCCTGCCTCAGCCTCCCAAAGTGCTGGGATTATAGGATTGAGCCACTGAGCCCGGCCTGGACAGATTATCTTGAATGTTGTCTTAATACAGGATAAAAATCTGCTTTTTCCTCTATTGCTAAAATGGTCATACTGTATTACTAATGAAAACTCAGAGTAATATCACAAAACTCTTAGGTGTCTATAATATGCATTTAGCTATAATAATTCAATGAAAAATATAATTAGTGGATAAGAGCAAAACTAAAATAAGTAAGCTTTAAAAAATTTATGCAAAAAAAAAATTTACGTGTTTGGGCACAGTGGCTCATGCCTATAGTTTCAGCACTTTGGGCGGCCAAGGTGGGAGGATTGCCTGATGCCAGGAGTTTGAGACCAGCCTGGGCAACATAGCAAGACTCAGTCTCTAAAAAATAAAAAATAAAAAAAAATTATGTTTGTGTATCTATTTTAATATAATTACTCATAAGGCATTCTGAAAATAAGGAATTTGATTAAATTAATTGGAGACAATTGAAAAAATTTAAAGTAAACAATTGTAAAAAAAAATCAAATAGTATAAGACCAATAAATCTTGTATAATTCTCCCACTTTGGGGAGGAAAAAGCTGGAAGAAATGTCAAGTTTTATGACTATTGGGAGGTGGGGTGAGGGGAAAGGTTAGATTTTGTATTTTTCATTATTTTGGACAAAAAATCTTCTACACAGATTACAGAAGAAAAACAACTAGGGGACCAACAAAATCATAGCTTTTTCTTTAGATGCAGTTGAAAGCTGAATGATTGTTTTTCACAATTTTGCATTTTTAGGCAGTTCTGTTCTGGCTGCCTGCCTAGAGGCCTTCCAGGCTATCGATATGGAAGTTCAAGAGGGAATCCACCCTTGCCTGGGAGCAGTGGACTTGATTCCGATTTACCCTCTCTCTGGTGTCACAGTGGAATAGTGTGGAGTGGTGGCCAGAAGTAAGAGAAAGTTTGGGGTTATGTGTTCTTTCTTACTGGAAACCATTTTTACAAACTGAAATAGCTTGTGAGAATCAAATCACTCCTCAGCCCCCGGGAAAAGTTGATCTTGAAGAACTGTATCAACAATACACTGTGTGTTTGTGACACACCCCTCCACTTCCTACCCCATGACATTATGGAACACTAAATGTTGTGGGATATGGCAAAAAAAAAAAAATCAATAATTTTATCCCTCACAAATTCACAGTAGATCTTGAGGAAACAATAGCAGTTTCTAGTAAGTCTTTTAGGCTCTTCAGGGCAGAATGATGGTGTGTTTTGCCTATCTATCTGTGTCCTATTTTCTTGAGCAGGGGTAATGATGAGGTTGAAAATCCACTTAAATGTTAACTCTTACCCCTTTTTCCTTTGACTTTTTTTTTTTCCTTTTTTCCCTGTGCACAACTCTAAGATTTTCTTTAGAGCTGAACTGCCACTTGAATGATTTCAGCCCCAGGGGTAAGGTTAATTTGGAAAAATTTGAGCTATGTCACTTGAGGTGTTTTTGAATTAGGCAAATTGGGAGAAAAGAAAGACCTTTTGCCTGGACTGTCTAACTGTACCACGGTTAATTACAAGATGCAGAGGCTTATAATCTTCGGGGAAAAAAAGCCGCCTTAGGATAATTGCATTCTTTTCTGTATGACCTCAGAAATCCCTCTATGATGTTGCCTCATTTTTAATTAATGGTGAATTGTCTAACATTTGGGATGTAGATTTGGACTTTAGCTGAGCTACATTAAGCACCAGAAATAGGAAATGAGACTTGCTTCCAAAGGAGTACCTCACTACTTATGCTGCATTTTATGTGACCTGACAGTTGAAGGGTTATCCAAGGGAAATCTTGGCTCCAGACTTGCTTTACGTTTTATCCAAGAAAGAGTTAAAATTCAGCATGGGGGGGTGGGGAAATATGTTCCACACAAAAATGAAGAGTTCAGAATTGTCCAGACCAGAATAATGATTTTAATTGTCTTCAAAACAATTATGGACAATTACATTAAATCTCAAATTAGCTAGTACATGAAGTTCTTCATTACATCAGGACTGGTCCACCCCAGATGTTCATCCTGTGTAGGAGACAGTTGAGAATCAGTGAGTCTGGACACAGGATTTCTCCCTTCCCTTGCCCTTTGCTTCATTGGCAGCTACTGTACCTCATGATTTAAACATGGACATTTCTAATTAAATGAGAGCTCAGCTGCATTCTTGAACTAATTTATAACATTTGATTTGAAATGTAATAGCTTCAATCTTCATCTGATTAAAAACAGTCCTATACTGTACATGGTTACTATTTTGATGCTCTAACATGCAGTTTTTATTTTTACATCCCCTTTTCTACACAGCTGTTCATCTAATATCATCCAAATTTTTTTTAAGTTTTTTTTTTTTTTTTGTAACAGCATGCTCAGGCATTCTTATGAGGCAGAAGTATTCGCATTCTAGGATCCCGCTGTTCTTAGAACAGTGAAAGGATGTTTTTCCCTAGAATAAGGCTTTCCCAGAGAAACCAGCTTTAACATAATAATCAGCTAACTTTCTCTGGACAAAGGGCAATAAATAGCATCCCAGTGACATAAAAGAGTTGATACTGATATGTGTAATTTATGTATACTTTGTATGCAAAAATGCTGAATAACGTATTTCAGAACTTTTTAATATCAGCTGTAAGTTTGCTTATAGCTTCAGGAAGAGGTTCTTAAGGTGGGTCCAGGATGAGGTTCTTAAAGTGGGTCCAAAGTTGGTATTCAGAGGATTTATAAATAACTGTCAACAATTTTTGCAAGTTTTTACGCATGTGCATTGTGTATATATACATAGAGACATACACTCACACATAATTTTGCATATCATTTTAGTTTGAGGACTTTTAGAATAAAGGGAACAGTGATGCAGAGGCCCAGAGGTGAGGGCAGCCTGAACTTGAGCACCTGCAAAGGACTTCAGTATGGCTGCATGGAACTTAGAGGTGTGGAATGGGAAACACATTCCTGGGAATGTTATGAAATGAGTCTCAAGAGGTAATCAGAGGCCAGATTATGAAGTTTTATTTTTTTTAAATTTTTTGAGATGGAGTCTTGCTCTGTCGCCCAGGGTGGAGTACAGTGGTGCAATCTCAGCTCACTACAACCTCCGCCTCCCAGACTCAAGTGATTCTCATGCCTCAGCCTCCCAGGTAGCTGGGACTATAGGTGTGCACTGCCATACCCAGCTAATTGTTTTTTTTTTTGTATTTTTAGTAGAAATGGGGTTTTGCCATGTTAGCCAGGCTAGTCTTGAACTCCTGACCTCAAGCAATCTGCCGGCCTCGGCCTCCCAAAGTGCTGGGATTACAGGCATGAGCCACCGCACTTGGCTAGATTATGAAGTTTTAGATGTTAGGTTGAAGGGTTCAAATCTTGTGCTAAAGGCAGTGGTAACCACTGAAGTGTTTTAAGCAAGAAAATTAAATGATTGGCTTTAAGTTTTAGAAAGATCACTCTGCCTGCATGATAGAGAATGGACAGGAAGCAGGCTGACCAGTTTGGAAGGATGATATTGGCCTAAGAGAATAGACAATGGACAGATTCCATGGGCTGTTGCTGGTGAGGGACAGAGCAGTGGTGTGGTAATGTTATAACTTAAAATGGCAGAAGAAAGGAGGTTTGAGGGAAAGAGCATGAATACATTTTTTTTACATGCTGTCATTTGACAGCATGTAAAAGGTTGGCAGAGGTAAAATAATAATAATGTTCTAAATGATTCATCGTGAACAATGTTTACATAGGTATAATAATGTAACCACTAACTATTGGTCCAAATTTTGATATAAATATATTGAGGGGATGGTTGGTTATACAGTTTAGAGCTCAGGTGAGATGTAGATCTAGTCTATATTTATTTAAAGCATACAGGTTTTTCCCCAATATTTTGGACATTGGTATTTATTTATTTATTTATTTATTTTTTGAGACAGAGTCTCGCTGTGTCACCCAGGCTGGAGTGCAGTGCACGATCTCGGCTCACTGCAAACCCCGCCTCCTGTGTTCAAGCGATTCTCCTGTCTCAGCCTTCCCAGTAGCTGGGATTACAGGTGTGAGCCACTGCATCTGGCTGGTTTTCATTTTCTATAAAAACTCACAATTGATCTATTAGGCTACATCCCATTTTTATCACTATTAGGTCTCTAAATTTTTTTTTTTTTAAGACAGGATCTCGCTGGGTTGGCCAGGCTGGAGTGCAGTGGCATGATCCCGGCTCACTGCAACCTCTGCCTCTCTAGTTCAAACAATCTTCCCACCTCAGCCTGCTGAGTAGCTGTGATCACAGGTGCATGCCACCACACCTGGCTCATTTTTGTATTTTTTATAGAGACAGGGTCTTGTCATGTTGCCCAGGTGGGTCTTGAATTCCTAGGCTTAAGCAATCCCCACCTCAGCCTCTCAAAGTGCTGGGATTACAGGCATGAGCTACTGCCCCTAGCCAGGTCTCTAAAATTATTTCCTTTCCTCCTTCTCTCTCTTTCTTTTTTCTTCCTTCCTTCCCTCTCTTTCTATTTGTTTTTATCAAAATGATACAGGCATGTAGCTAAAAATCACATACTGTAGGGGGGTTTATTCTAAAAATTCTAAGTACCTATCTAACCCCCTTTACCTCCTACCATACACACACTTCAATTTCCTTCTCCTCAGAGCCAGCTGAGTACTTTCTACTCTTTTACCTTATTGATTTAACTCTAGATATCGAAATATCACACTTAAACACTGGTACGTCTTGGTCTTTCAGTTTTAGGCATTATCTATTGACTTCTCACTGTGGAATATGAAAATTTAGCTTCCCCTTACCCCACCTCTCATCTCTAACACACACACACTCACACAAACACAGACACACACCACTCACACTTCCCAATCTTCCAACCTCTCAACATATTTATATCAAAATTTGGGTCAATAGTTAGTGGTTACATTATTATAACTATGTAAACATTGTTCACAATGAATCATTTAGAACATTATTATTATTTTACCTTTTCTGCATAACTTTATACTTTTGCTGGAGTTGGTCATTATCTTTTTGATAATTTGTTTGCTTAGAGTTTTATATACTTACCACTGGTTTAGCTCCAAATTCTGTCAATAGTTACATCTCTCCATGCATTCAGATAGAACACTTCATGCATTCATTGAGGGTTCTATCAATTCCATCTTCTTAAAGAAGTATCTTCTAGAATACTCTGACCTGTTCCAGTTAGGACTAGCTGCCCTCAGTGTGTTGAGGATAACTGTCTTCATAGGATCCCCCTCAGCCATCATCATGACTTTCATCTTTCTCCATGTTGGATGCCCTGGTCCTCAACCTGAATCCCATGTCTTCTCTTTTTCTTTTTTGACTTTCTTGGTTTATGGTGTCGTTTTGGTGGAACACATCCTTTAGTAGCTTTCTGAAAAAAAATGAAGTACATTGGTGACCCTTTGCATATCGGAAAGTGCCATTATTCTACCTTCACACTGAATTGTTAGTTTGTCTTGCTATAGAATTCCAGGTTAGAAATAACTTTAATTTAAAGATGTTGTGTCACTGAGTTCTTGTTTCCACATTGCTATTGAGACTTCTGAAACCATTATGACTCCTTATTTTTTGTATGTGACCTTTCATTTCTCTCTGGAGGCTTGTGAGGTCTTTGCTTGGTTCCCAGTGTTCTGAAATTTCCCTGAAGTGCTTTTGTATGGGTCTGTTTCCATCCCTTATGCTGGATACTTGGTGAGTCCTTTTATTCTTTGAAACTTTGTCCATCAGTGCTGGACAATTCTTTTGAATTATTCCATTGATGATTTCTTCCATTTTCTCAGTTCTTTCTAAAAGCCCCATTATTTGGAGATTAGAACTCTTTTACTGGTCCTCTACATTTACTTTCTTTCTTATTTTCCATCACTCTATTTTTATAACACTTTCTGGTGAATTTCGTCTACTTGCTGTCCCAGCCTTCCATAAGTTTTTATGGCTTCTATATTAATTTCCAAGTGCTTTCATTTACTCTGTAAATGTTCCTTTTATTTTACTTTTCAAGAGAACATCCTGGTTTTATTTCATGAACGTATCATTAATGGATCATTTCGGTTTCTTCTTCCTGTATAATCTCCCCTCACCTTGTCCCCTTCACCCTGTTGCTTTTGCCTGTATTTTTTTTTTTAAAGGCTTTCCTTAAATGTTTGATAATGCCGTGTTGGCTGCTTATTCTGAGTGGATGCTGGAAGGCTGAATGGACACTCCAAGTGTGCAGGTGGGGTTTGTCAACTGTAGGCTGACATGGCTGGGTCATTTCTTTGGGGAACTCATACTTCAGTATTTTTTTGGTCTTTCCTCTTGAGCTGTTCAGGTTCCCCAGAGGAGGATCTTCCAGTGTCCAGCCTCGAGTGGAGACACCACTGCCAGTGTTTTAGAAGCTGAGTTGCACAAAAGGGCTGAAAAAATCTCAACGTTTAGATTGTCAATATAAATGTTCTTTTAATTCCTCTCTTTTCATTACTCACCCCAGCCCTCAGCTGTGTCCATATTCCCCAGCCCAGACACCTTGTGTTTTACCTCTTACATATTCTACCAGGGTGTGGCAGGGCAGGTGCCTGTCTGTGTGGATCAGGGATGGGCTCTGACCGCTGCTGAAGCCGACTTCCCACCCATCTTCTGGTTTTGAGCTTCCCCTTTGCCTTCCCTCCCAAAGTGGGGCTGCTGGTTCTGCCCTCTATCAGGCGTCTGTGGGATGCATCAGGTGCTTCTCTGCTGCTCCACTTGCTGCCTTGAGTCTGCCGAATCACATCCCCCTCACACATTTTCTCTGCAGCTTCCAGTGCGATTGCCTCCTCTTTATTTCTGTTGGTTTGAGTTAATGCTTGGGAAAAAAATTTCTTTATACCATTTTTTTTCCTGGGGGTTTTTGGAAGAAATGAAAGTAAACATATGGATCCACATTTTCATGTTTTCCTGGAAGTCCCTACTTCTCTTGGCGATTTTAAATCATCTTGGATCTTTCAGGAACAATGCATTCACCTCACTTGGAATCATTGGTAAATTTTCAGGAGCATTCTTCTTTTGTCTGACTTCTACTCAGTATTGAAGATATTTAGTCTGATTTTCTGTACTTCTATCAAGTTTCTATAGACAATTTCTCTGCAGGATACTGTGGACCCTGATGCTTCTTGTATGTGTTCCACGTCTTCCTCACTCTGTGCTTTCACATGCTAGACCCAGTGTCTCTGTAACATGACCCTGTTGCCTGTTGACACACAAACTTTCATGAGAAGGATTGAATGATGATAGAGGGGAGGGGTCAGCGCAGAAGATTCTTAGGCAAATTCTCCCAATGCCTTGACGGTGAAAATAGGCTTACCTAACCTGTAGGCTCATAATATTCAGCTGCAAGAGTCTAGACCATAGTTAATGAATTTTATAAATGATATGGAAACTTGCTTTTTGTTTCATGTCATTGATCAAATGAATGTTTGCACAATGCCGTATCAACTAAGGTCATTATTTAGAGAACTGGAAAGATAAATGCTAGCCATATAAGCTACATGAATAAAGAAATAGTGCTGGCATGATTGATACTTATTGTTTTGATTTTTTTAAAAAAATATATAAAACATTAAGGACTTTGATCAGAATGATCAGCCTTGTAGATTTTTTTCAATTATTCTTATGACTTGGAGGATGTGTGCCATGACACATTCACACAGCGTCAACACTCCCATGGTAGTCTTGAGACCCTTTGATTACCTTATTACAGATTGTCAAAACATGGGCTGATCTGGCAAATCAGGAACAACTTTTCACTTTGAGAATTTCTACTCTGATTCTCCAGTTGCTATGGAGATTGTCTCATAAAACAGTGTTGGATTTGGTTGAGATCAGTCAATTTAGATGCTGGGTTCTGATATAGTTCTAACCACCATCAACACTACCCTCATTGCCATAGCATAAAAACAATAGTTGATTTTACAAATGTGTGTAAACATATTTAGGGCATAGCATTTAGTTGAAGAATTACAGGAATACTGCCACCATAGAAAAATCTTAGAAAACAAGGGATTGTGCATTGGGAAAGTACTTAAAATATTAAGATTGATTTCCAGTGACTTTAGTACATTTTAACTATGAAGGAGAGTTACCGGGTTGCTCATAAATGCATATTGCCACAGGCTGAATAAATGCAAGAGGAGTCTACCAACTACTGTAAAACAGAGGTACTAATGAAGAAGGAAAGGCCAAATGGGAGAACTGGGATAAACAAACTTAATCTTCCATGACCAGCAGTTATGGATGAACCCAGCCATACTTGAAAAAGCTGCACTCTTTTCTCTTACTGTGGCTCTGCTACAACCTGCAGTGTGAGTGAGCAAGCAAGTTAACCCCATCGGGCAACACTTGGCCTGTGGGGGACCAGAGCTGGTGGATAAATGCTTGCCTCTTTTGTCCCTGAGATGGACAATTCTGAGGCCCATCTCAGCAGGATTGAGTCCCAGTTGCTCACAGCTTGATACCATACCCTGCTATGGACTTTTACTCCTTCCCTGTATCACTCTTCCTTTTTTTTTGAAACAGGGTTTGCTTTGTCACCCAGGCTGAGTGCAGTGGCATGATTGTGGCTCACTGTAGCCTTGACCTTCCAGACTCAAGTGATCCTGCCACCTCCACCTCCCGAATAGCTGGAACTACAGCATGTACCACCATGCCTGGTTAATTTTTGTATTTTTTGTAGGATGGGGTCTCCCTGTGTTGCCCAGGCTGGTTTCAAACTCCTAGGCTCAAGGGATCTGCCCACCATGGCTGGCCCCCTGTCTCACTCTTGATGTAAAAGCAATAGGGTTTATTGAAATATTGACAAGTGTCTGGGAGTGGTGGCTCATGCCTATAATCCCAGCACTTTGGGAGGCCAAGGTGGGAGGATTGTTTGAGCCCAGGAGTTCAAGACCAGCCTGGGCAACATAGGGAGACCTCGTCTCTACAAAGAATAAAAATAAAAAACATTAGCTGGGTGTGGTAGTGCGTGCCTGTAGTCTTAGTTACTTGGGAAGCTGAGATGGGAGGATCCCTTGAGCCCAGGAGGTTGAGGCTGCAGTGAGCCATGATGTGCTACTTGTACTCCAGCCTGGGCAACAGAGCGAGACCCTATCTCAAACACAAAACAAACAAACAGAAAAAGAAATATCAACAAGAATAAATGTCTTATAAGAATCTCCTAATTGGAACAAATGGGGGGATACATGAAATCCATGCTGCCTGACTATACACTTCTTGTAATTGTTTCCCAATCTAGAAGCCACAGTTGAGATTTACAGCTAAAAATTAGGAGCCCCCTCCCCAGCCAACCACTTCACCTAGGTAAAAGGTCTCTTAAGACACTCAGTGTTAAACCAGGAGTCATTGTGGGAGACATGAAACATTCACCCCTTACTAACAAAGGGAGCCCCAGGGGGCCTCAAAGTTGAGGGGTTTTAGGTTTTCTGATTTTCAGTAGATATCTACAACACTCAGAGTTTGGTATTTTATATGATTGCTGATAGTGTTTTAGAGATTGTGGATCTAGTAAGGGTTTATAGCAACTGACTGAATACTAGGCCCTGGTATTTTTGAGCTCAGGCCCCATAACTGTGGAGATGTTTTTCCTGAATCCCTTTTCCTTTTATCTTTCCTTCCTAGCTTTTATAGTGGCTTCCAGTGTCAAGGCCACTAGGATTAGAAAACTCTGAAGAAATGATATAATGATGTTAATGACGTTGATGGGCTTGTAGATTAAGTGCAAGTCTCTCCACACTGTCATGCACCCACCAACCCATCCACCTATTCTCTATTGGTAGAGTAAGAGTGTGCTTCTCGGGAGACTCACAGCCTGCAATAATAATGACAACAATGTATTATGATATTACAATAATTATAGCATCATTAATTATCGTTTATTATGTGACTATTAAAGTTACATAGGTTGAATAATTCATTCTCCAATTTTAATTACCTAAACATATGTAGTAAGATAATATTTTGAGATACTAATTGTTGTGCTTTTCTTTTCCCCGTAGCCTGTGTGGGACTGTCTGAGTTACCTACCTTGAGGGGATTATAGGATTGTTATAGTGACAATGCAGAAGTAACAGTGTTCATGTTTGATTTATTTATTTATTTTAGAGACAGGAACTTGCCTGTTGCCCAGGCTGGAGTGCAGTAGTGCAATCCTAGCTCACTGCAGCCTTGACCTCCTGGGCTCAAGTGATTCTTCTGCTTCAGACTCCTGAATAGCTAGGACTACAGGCATGTATCACCATGTCCAGCTAATCTTTAAATTTTTTTTTTGTAGAGACAGGGTCTTGCTATGTTGCCCAGGCTGGTCTGGAACTCCTGGCCTCAAGTGATCCTCCTGCCTTGGCTTCCTAAAGCTCTGGGATTATAGGCATGAGCCACCACACAGCTAGAATTTCTGACAATCGAAAGCAGAGGCTTTGGGAAAGCATTGCACAAAGTTTATATAACGTAGCAACGAAATTAGAAAGAGAGTAGAGAAAGAAGAAGGTCACTTCACTCCCTCCCCTCAGGGAAATAAGAGTATTGGGGTAGGTTTAAGAGGAGAGCGTGACAAATAATACACGTCTTCCTTTCCCACATTTGGAACCAGTCCCACAGAAGAGAAAGGCAGATGAGAAATGGAGACTACAATAACTTTATTACTGATCAAACTAGTATTGGCGGCTGGGACTACCCCACCAGAGAATTAGACTAACCCAGCCAGTCACAGGCAGTACCGGGCAGCCAAGGCCTGAGGCTGGACAGCTTTATGGTGAGGAGGAGTGGCCTGTAATGTGTGTTTCCTGCTGAAAACCAGCTCCTAAGAAGGAAGAGGGAGGCAGGGTGGGCCTGTGCACATCCAGTTTCTTTCCCAAACTTCCCATCAGAGAATGAAAGTTAGGAGGGAGCGAGGCTGGTGTTTTAGTTTACTAGGGCTGTAGTAACAAAGTACCACAGTCTGGGTGGCTTAAACCACAGAGATTTATTGTCTCACAATCCTGGAGGCTAGAAGTCCGCGATCAGGGTGGCAGCAGGGTTGGTTCCTTCTGAGAGGTGTGAGGGAGAACCTGTCCCATCTTGGCTTGCACTTGACCTTCCTCATGGTCACGTGGCATTCTTTCTGTATATTGTCTGTGTCCCAATTTCCCCTTTTTATGAGGACCCCAGTCATATTGGATTAGGGACCCAACCTACTGTAGTATGACCTCATCTTAACTCATTACATCTGCAATGACCCTATTCCAGAATAAGGTCATATTCTGAGGTACTGGGAGCCAGGACTTCAACATATGCATTTTTGGAGAACGCAATTCAGCCTGTAACAGACAGCAAGATGAGCAGAGCTCTCTCCATGTGGAAGAAAACATCAGTAATGGGCAGAAAGCATTTTTCTCCAAAACATAGTTGAAAGAGGTTGGAGAAGGGTGTGTGGAAATGGTCGTTATCTGAAAGGTGGGGATATGAAAAGGGGGAGGGCAGGACTTGACTCCTTTGGCAGGCAAATGGTGAGAGGTAGTGCCAGCTTTGAGACCACTGAGAGATTATTGTGTGTTGTCTGTGGCCAGCAGCCAAGAAGAGGCTTGAGAGCTGAACACACACAAGGAAAGCAAAGTAACTCATGCAAAGCATTTGTTTGTCCTTCTGAGGAGCACCAAATAGGTGGAAGAGCCAAGTTAACTCTTTGTTGCTGTGGGGAGTAGGCTTAATGCTGAAGGCTATTTATACATTGCTGATATGTTATCCAGCAGAAGGATTCCTGGCCATCCCCAAGGCTTTGCCATGACCCATCTGAACTACTCTTTGGGGAACCTTTAGCATCTCTATAGCTTCTCTGAAAGAGAGTGAGAGGTCCTTAACAAACGGGGAGCAATATATGCAAGTGAAAGGTCAATACCAATTCCACCCACTCAGGGTGTATATGTGTAGATCTGCCTGTCAGTCTCTGATCAGCATGAACTAACCAATAACATCACATTCCACTGTGGTTAGACAGGGAAGCAAGATGGGAAGTGGGCAGGATAAGAATTTGAAACTGGACACACTGGCTCATGCCTGTAATCCCAGCACTTTGGGAGGTCGAGGCAGGTGGATTGCTTGAGCTCAGGAGTTCCAGACCAGCTTGGGCAACACTGTGAGACTTCATCTTTACAAGGAATTTTAAAAAAATTAGCCAGGTGTGGTGCTGTGTACCTCTAATCTCAGCTACTTGGGAGGCTGAGGTGGGAGGATTGCTTGAGTCTGGAAGGCAAGGCTGCAGTGAGCTGTGATGGTGCCACTGGACTCCAGCCTGGGAAACAGAGGAAGACCCTGTCTTAAAAAAAAAAAAAAAAATTAGGGAGCTGAACAATCTGAGTTCAAATCCCACGTCTGCTACTTGTTTGCCAACTGGCTTGAGAAAATTTTTTAGTCTCTTCTTTTTCAGTCTCTAAGAGTTTTTGTATCTGTAAAATGGGAGAATAGTGTCATCCTATCAGGATGGTTATGATAATCGATGACTGTGTAAAGCCCCAGGTCCTCTGCCTCCTACCGGCTGTCATTATTTTTAGTGATTCTCCATTGCCTTGTGGAGGGGGTACAGAGCAGTTGGAGCCCAGGAGAGTCTCTTTCACCATAAAGAGAGTGGATCCCCCTTTTCTGTTTTATATATCAAGATTCCAAATAAGGTACCTTCTGAGAAAAGGGATTGCACAGCAAGATGTTAGAAAATCACTTGAGCAAGAGATGTCTGAAGTGCTTTCAGCTCTGAAATTTAAGTTCTATAGCAGACAGCTTCTCCTTCATCAGTTCTTCATTTGCAAAATGATATTCAGTACCTATTTCAGAGAAATATTATGAAAATAAATGGAGACGTGTTTGTGAACATCCAGACAGTCTTGGAGTGCCTGTTATGTTTCCATTTCCTATAGTAAATGCTATTGTGACTTTTAGAGAAATATAACAAAGTACCTTCCCCCAACAAAACTGAGTCCATGAAATAACTGTGTGTGAAGCTATTAGAAAGCACCACAGGACACAATAAAATGAGTTATGGAGTACAGTATAAGTTAAATATGTTAGGCCACTCAGGAAAGTATAATTCTTTAAATGAATTATATCACATCTGCACAAAGTGGTAAATATATCAGCATATGCCCTACAAAGGAATAATAAGCTTCTGTATACATATCTCTATGAAACTATATGTTATATGCAAGGAAATAACAACCTTCTTGGATTATTGGTTATGAAATATATATGTAAAATATACCCCAAACTCCTGATATACTATATACTTTCATGAATACTTGTATCTGTATCTCCATGAAATTGTATGTTATTTTAAGAGTTTGAGGGCACATTATTTTTCTGTTTATAGGGAGGAGAGTAGATAGGTCCAGTTTTTTCATTCCATAGCTGGAAAGCAGACCTCGACACATTAAGAAACTCACTTGTAGTTTTTTCTATCAAGACAGTAATAGAACAAAGAATCCTCACAACCATTTATTTATTAGACCTTGCCTGATTTTTTAAAATTAATTAATTCTCTGTTTCAAAATTTCGAGTACTACAGTTAAGGTTAAAATTCACCTCTGATCACTACTCTCATTCCTGGTTCTCTGAATGTCCCCCTGCCAAGTTATGGTAAGAGTATAGCATGCCCCAAATCCAGAATTTTCTACATGCTTTACTTACATACATGTATAAACCAATAAATCCAATATAGTATTGCTTGTGTATGTTTGTATTAGAAATGCTCTTATACTATAATTTTTTCATTCAGCAAGATAGCTTAGAAATATATCCATGGTATTACATATAGTTCTATTTCATTCTACCTGCTTTATAATTATCATAATATGAATATAACACATTTTGTCTGTTCTCCTGTTTGTGGACATTCAGATTGTTTCTTGTTTTTCCTAGATCAAATAATGAAATGATGAACATTCTTGAATAGTCCCTCTTGTGCACAAATGCAAGGCTTTTCCTAGAGCAAATACAAAGGAATGGAAATGTTAGGTTAAAACATTTAAAAATGTTTTTTCCAGATTAATTTTATATGAAAATCAATTAAGTGCTTATCCTGACCTCATTTCCATAATAAATAAGTTTTTTCTTTGCATTTTATTTTTTACTGTCATGCCAATAATAAACTGACAACTCAGAGATGCAAGTGAAATTTTTCTTAGCAAGGCCTGTTCATTTGGAGGCATAGGTGTTGTTATCAGCCTATCGTGGTTTTTAAGTTCGTCCTTTTGAAATGAAACATGATGGAGTAAACAGTAGCATCCAGTGATGTGCAGTAGAGTTTTGTTTCTTCCCTTAAATTGTTTTCTGCTACCTCAAGAAAAAACAGGCAACAGAACGTGTCAGTCGAAATGCAATTTAGGAATTGCACTTGATCTCATTTTTCAGCCTGATGTTTCTGCTCTTTCATCATAAAGATCAGCTGCATTTTATTTTTTTCAGTCCCTTAGAATAACATCCAGTTCTAGTCAGCATGTTTAATGTGCTTCTCAATGATGTTCTAGCACAATAAATTTCTGTATCTCGTGCATGTGTACATATGGTAAAAATTTCTTCAAGTTCTAGCCATGTGGGGGAGGAATATTGCGGTCGCTTTGTTAATGCAGTGTTTGTGTTGGAGCGGTTAGGGCCCCGCGCTTTAACTCTCAGCACTGGGCGTAATGAGACGGCTTTGATGGTGGTGTAAGAGTCTAGTGGGATGGTCACAGCTTCACACTTCAAAGCAGAGCATATGGGACGAATACTGGTTAGCTTTGTACTCTTTGGGGATGGTTGGGAGACAATTCTTAACAGCTCTGTTTAATGAAGACATTGGAAAAGAAATGTTCTATCTTTAAAATAATTTTGAATTGCAAAGAGAGAAATTTCCACCACCCCCCTTTCATAGACTAAACTAAGAATAATTTTTCCTAGTCTGCACTTAATTAGAGGCAGTGCAGCATCACACTGCTATACTGTATTTTCAAATGCCACTCTTTTTAAACATACTGTAGCGAGATTAATCGGCCAGTTTTAGTTTATGTGCATGAGTTTAGGCAAAAACTTTTAGGGCTATCTGTCTTATCATCTGAAATTTTTATTACTTCCGGTAGAGAATTTTACCTTCTTCTCATTAAAAAATATGAAAGTAAGAAATCAACTAAATAAAAAAAACTTGGCTATATTAACAGCTATACTAAAACTAGAGGATGCTTGTAAGATTTTAAGTCTAGCACCCAGTTTAATTTTTAGATTTTGAGCTTTTTTTTTTTCCTACTTGATTTGAGTCTCAGGTGATATGGGTTGGAAAATGCTCTTTTTGATTGGTTTGTGCTTAGGGAAAGGTTTGATACTTTTTTGAGTATCATTTGAATCCAGGTTTAAGAATAATAATGAACCATGCATTTATGCAGTAGGTCACAGAAAAGAGAATTTAACTTTTCCTAGAGGAAAGGGAATGACAGACTTGAGGTCTTTTTTCTAAGTTCTGCATTTTGGCTGGCATCAGAAATATAACAAAACGAATGAGTTATATTCCTTGAGCTGCTGAAATGCAGTTCTGTTTAACAATTCAATTTCAAGTCCATTTATATCGGTAGTCCTAAATTGCTCCTGAAAGAAAGAAAAGCAGAAGGGAAAAGAATGATATTAAATACCACTGTAGACAGATACATTTAATTAAGCAGATTCTTAAGTCCTGAATTCATGTACTACTTTTACTGTTGTATATTCTTAATAAAATACTACATTTTAGCCACAATTATGTCTGTTATAGGCTTAGAAAAGACATTTGTGTTATGAATATGAAGCCTAAACTTCTCATTGCACTGAGAAACATCTAATTGCATCGATTCTCCTGCAAAGAGGAATATAACCAAACTCACAGAAGTCTCTAAAGTTAAGCCTGAAAAGAAAGTGCTAGATATTCATATTTAGAAATGACTAAAAATTATTTTATAGCAAATAAGGTCAGCCAAACACGAAGGTTAAAAAATATAAATTTTTAAAAAGCATTTCAGTATTTCCTTAAATCAACCCTTTTAGAATACGACCAGAGAAATTGGGAAGGGCAGAACCACTGACCATAGCGGTGGGAAAAGCTTCTTAAATTGGGGGAAAAAAATAACCTAAAAAAAACTGGTCTTTTAATAAAGAGTGATTTAGGAAGCTGCAGTTTTGTTTTGCCTGTTTCAAAACTGCATGATGGCCTTATGTTCTTTCTGAACAGGTGATTCATATATATGCCTTGTCTAACAAAGCTGATCAGCATGGATATCCCACAGGTACATGTGGTTTTGACTGCTGTGAATATGACCACTACTCTAAGGACAGAGCATAAAACGTTAACACGACTGTGGAAAATTGATCCCATGGTTTCTCACTAGGAATACAATATGTTCTCACTGGTGTTGAACTCTCTTCTCGTTTTGTTAGCAGAGTGACTCCTTACTCCCATTTGTTGGTTTAGAATGGACACTGATATTCCAGGTTTGCAGCACCAACATCAACAAAGTGCTTAGGAAGCAAAGTCAGTTCATTCAATTTGATAAACCTTTATTGAGTAACTAGAAGGCACTGCCTTCTGGGATTTTGAAACTCAGAATGGAAAACAAAAGCTCAAGATTATTTAATACAAGTCTATTAGATTTGATACTATCAATAAAAACAAACAAAAGCTGTAGAATATTCTAACACAAGAATGGGAGAAATGAATTCCCGGAGAGGGAGGACACAAATATGAAGCAGGAGTTAATTCAGGAGTTTGGGTTTCCTGGGACTCTTTCACAAGCTCAAGTTTGGTTCCACTGTAGAGGGAAGTGGAACAAACAGCTAAGAGAGCTACAGTGAGCAGTGGCTTTACAGCAAATCTGAACAAAACTATTGCTTTAAATGATAATGCCACTTACTTGAAAACTGATGAGACAGTTTTCCACAGGCTTGAGCTTGAAGTATTCAGAATTATTATCTTCTTTAAGAGGCCAATATGATTTGCTTGATGTGGACATTTGAAGTTACAGGGGATGATTTTTATGCAGATTAATTGAGAAAATCAAAATATAAAATCAAAATTAGCCTTTTTGAATATACAATTCATATCACAAATAAAATAGCTTGGTAGTAAGTAATTCTCTGACTAAATATGAGATTTTTTTTGAAACACAGGCCATCTAAATTTGTTTTCCAACAAAATTACAAATACCTACTTACTATAGGCCCTTGGATTGCAGTCATTAGAAACACAAATGTTATTTCCTTGAGTATGAAGAGGGTATTGTACTGTCTTTATTGCTAAATATTATTTTGGCCTTGGTTGTCTCTTCATTGTAACGAGAATAATGTAATATTTCATTTTCTTGCTTCATTAGAGAACAAAAATCAAGCTTGATTTCTTCCATGATGTATTTATGTAGATGACAGAATGGAAGAGGAATTGTTAAAATATGGGAGCATTCCTAGTAAGTAGGAACATGCCAGCCTAGGAGGGTATTCAGAACTCAGGATTCAGAACAGTGGCTTAGGCTTGCAAAAGGGAAAGGGAGCTATTTATTGAGTTATACTCTGTACCAGACATTGGGCTACATGGTTTTCTTAATTTATGCAATCTCTATCCGTCCTATGGGATAGTTTCTTTTTCTTTTTTTTTCCTTTTCTTTCTGTTATTTTTCTCTCCTTGCATCTCCTTCATTTTCCTTTTGTTTTTAGTAAATAATTTTAAAGCAAATTCCAAAGATCATGGTATTTCACTCCTTCATAATTAATATACATCTCTAAGCAATTCGAATATTTTCTTACATAACTGTAATGCCACCATCACACCCAACAAAATGATAATTTGATGATACCATCTAATACCCAGTGTATAATCCAGGCAAATATCTCTTTATAGGGGCCTGTTTGAATCTGGATCTAACATGGCTCATACATCACACTGATTGTTGTATCTCTGAGTCTGTTTTGATCTACACCAGTCTCCCTGTCCCCCGAAATCCCCCAGTTTTTTCCCTGCCATTTACTTGTAGCAGAATCTGGGTCAGTTATCCTATAGAATTTCCACATTCTGGATCTGTTTGCTTCCTTATGGTGTCATTTAATTTGTGTCTTTATCCCTCACATTTCCTGTAAACTCTGTTAGCTCCAGAGGTCTGATTAGTTGAAGTTTAATTTTTTTGGCAGGAATTCTTCAAATGTGGGCTGTGTGCTTCACACTGCATCACACCAGGAGGCTGCAGTGCCTAGGTGTCTCACTTCTGGTGATACAAACATCAGCTGCCTTTGATGTTGTGAAGTTCCTAATTGACTTTTCAGGACGGTTTCATCCATTCATAATCTTTGCCTAATACAATCATATTTTTAGGTGCTGAAAAATTGTGATTTTCTAATTCTATCATCACTTCCGCATTTATTAGTTGGATTTTTTTCTATTAAAATTTTTTTCTCATCAGTTTGGACTATCTAGCTACCCTAAAATACTGTTCATGCAGGAAGGACAGGATAAACGCTTATTATTATTTATTGTTTTTTGAGACGGAGTCTTGCTCTGTCACCCAGGCTGAATTGCAATGGCGCAATCTCGGCTCACTGCAGCCTCCGCCTCCTGTGTTCAAGTGATTCTCCTGCCTCAGCCTCCAAGTAGCTGGGATTACAGGTGCATGCCACCACACCTAGCTAATTTTTGTATTTTTAGTAGAAATGGGGCTTCACCATGTTGGCCAGGCTGGGCTTGACCTGTCGACCTCAAGTGATCCACCTGCTTCAGCCTCCCAAAGTGCTGGGATTATGGGCGTAAGCCACCGCACCCAACCTATTCTTTTTTTTTTTTTTTTTTTGACTGAGAAATTTCTAGATAAGGAATTGGTGATTTAGAGAAAGGTTTTTTTTTTTCTTTCTTTTCCATTTTACATATAGAGAGGTTAAGACTCAGAAATGTAAAGTAAATTGTTCAAGATCTCCCAAATAGCTATTAAGGAGCAGAAATGGTATTCAATCCTATACTTTCTGGACTTAAAAGCATATGTTGTTTCCACTAAATTAAAATGCACCCCTGCCCTTGAATCTCCAATTGCAGACAGCTGGGGGTTGCTACCACAAATATCTCCCAGTGCTTTGCCCTTTAGGAACCAGATTAAAGAATCTCCTTTGTAAGCATTCTGCCTATATAAACTTAGGCAGTGCTACAGAACTGTAGCTCCAAATGGAGGTGCTGGCCTGGGTAGGCAAAGAGCTGGGCAGGGCCAGGAAACATGTATTTAGTAGGACAGGTTTTTGGGCATCACAGTTTGTGCTTTTAGGCTACTGCAGCAGCCCAAATGTGAGTTACACTAAGTTATGGCTGGAGCACATACATGTGACCAGAACATTTGGAGAGTTGTCAGAATTTAGTTCTAACCTTTCCTAAATATTCTCCCATTTCTCATGCCACCTCCTCAACCATTGTAGATTTGAGGGGAGAATTTAGCTCACTGCCTGTGTTAGTCCATTTGCATTGCTATGAATGAATACTCCAGACCTGGTAATCTATAAAGAAAAGAGGTTTATTTGGCTCATGGTTCTGCAGGCTGTACAAGCATGACACCAGCATCTACTGGACTTCTGGTAAAGGCTTAGGAAGCTCTTACTCATAGCTGTAAGGCAAAGGGGGAACAGGTGTGTCGCATGGTGAGTGAGGGAGCAAGAGAGATGCTGGCTCCTTAAACAACCAGCTCTTGTGTGAACTTATAAAGTAAGAACTCACTCATTACCATGGGAGGGCACCAAGCCACTCATGAAGGATCTGCTACTATGACTTAAACTCCTCCCATTAGGCCCCACCTCCAACACTGGGGATCACATTTCAACATGAGATTCGGAGGGGACAAACATCCCAACTATATCACTACCTAAACATTATCTTGCAATTCCTAAACTTCAGTTGACTGTATCCCTGACCTCTAGCCCCGCCCCATTCCAGGAGCTGTGGCCTTTTAGTACGGCTTACCTTGCTCATTGTGACTTTATTGCATTTTTTACAAATTAAAGGTTTGTGGCAACCCTGCATCAAGTGAGTCCATTGGTGCCATGTTTCCAACAGCGTGTGTTCACTTTGTGTCTCTATCACATTTTGGTAATTTTCACAATATTTCAAACCTTTTCATTACTATTTTATCTTTTTTTTCTTTTTCTTTTTCTTTTTTTTTTTTTGAGACAGGGTCTTGCTCTGTCACCCAGGCTGGAGTGCAGTGGCATAATCATGGCTCACTGCAGCCTTGGTCTCCCAGGCTGAAGCAATCCTCTGATCTCAGCCTCCCAAGTAGCTGGCACCACAAGTGTATGCCACCATGCCAGGCTAATTTTTGTATTTCTTGTAAAGACGGGGTTTCACCATGATGCCCAGGTTGGTCTCTAACTCCTGAGCTCAGGCAGTCTGCCTGCCTCAGCCTCCCAAAGTGCTGGGATTACAGGCATGAGCCATCATGCCCAGCCACTATTATGTCTCTTATGGTGATCTGCGATCAGTGATCTTTGATGTTTGGGGTGCCACGAATCACAACCACATAAGAGATAACTGATAAATGTTGTTATTCCAACTGCTTCATCGACTGGCTGTTCCCCCATCTCTCTTCCTTTCCTTGGGTTTCCCTATTTACTGAGACACAACAGTATTGAAATTAGGCCAATTAATAACCCAACAATGGCCTTTAAGTGTTCAAGTGAAAGGAATAGTCTCACATCTTTTATTTTAAATAAAAAGCTAGAAATGATTAAACTTAGTGAAGAAGGCATGTTGAAAGCTGAGATAGGTCAATAGCTAGGCCTCTTGTGCCAGCTGGCCAAGTTGTGAATGCAAAGGATAAGTTCTTGAAGGAAAATAAAAGTGTTACTACAGTGAACACATGAATGATATGAAAGCAACACAGCTTTATTGCTGATATGAAGAAAGTTTTAGTGGTCTGGATAGAAGATCAAACAAGCCATAACATTTCCTTAAGCCAAAGCCTAATCCAAAGAAAGGCTGTAATTCTTCCTCTATTCTGTGAAGGGTGAGAGAGCTGACAATGCTACGGAAGAAAAGTTGGAATCTAGCAGAGGTTGGTTCATGAGATTGAAGGAAAGAAGCTCCCTCCATAACATAAAAGTGCAAGGTAAAGCAGCAAGTGCTGATGTAGAAGCTGCAACAAGTTACCCAGGAGCCTGGCATCTCTAGCTAAGAGCAAGGATGAAGGTAGGCTGGCCATGGTGGCCATTCCTGTAATTCCAGCACTTTGGGAGACCGAGGTGGGAGGATTGCTTGAGCCCAGGAGTTTGAGACCAGCCTGGGCAATATAGTGAGACCCTGTCTCTACAAAAAATTTAAAGAAAAGGATGAAGGTGGCTACACTAAACAGATTTTCAGTGTTGATGAAACAACATTCTATTGGAAGAAGAGGCCATCTAGGAGTTTCATAGCTAGAGAGAAGTCAATGCCTGGCTTCAAAGAACAGGCTGATTCTCTTGTTAGGGGCAAATGCAACTGATGACCTTAAGTTGAAGTCAAATGCTTATTTACCATTCTGAAAATCCAAGGGCCTTTAGGAATTGTACTAAATCTACTCTGTCTGTGCTCTATAAATGCAACAACAAAGCCTGGATGACAGCACATCTGTTTACAGCATGGTTTACTGAATATCTTAAGCCCACTGTTGATACCTACTGCTCAGAAAAAAATATTCCTTTCAAAATATTCCTGCCCATTGACAATGCACCTTGCCACCCAAGAGCTCTGATGGAGATGTACAAGGAGATTAATGTTGTTTTCATGCCTGCTAACACAACATCCATTCTGCAGCCCATGGATCAAGGAGTAATTTTGGCTTTCACATCTTATTATTTAAGAAATACATTTTGTAAGGCTATAGCTGCCGTAGATAGTGATTCCTCTGATGGATCTGGAAAAAGTAAATTGAAAACCTTGTGGAAAGGATTTGCCATTCTAGATGCCATTAAGAACATTCATGATTCTTGGGGGGAAGTCAAAGTATCAACATTAAGAGGAGTTTGGAAGAAGTTGGTTCCAACCCTCATGGGTGACTTTAAGACTTTAGTGGAGGAAGTCACTGCAGATGTGGTGAAAATAGCAAGAAAACTAAAAGTAGAAGTGGAAACTGAAGATGTGACTGAATTGCTGAAATCTCGTGATAAAACTTGAATGGAGCCCAGCAAGGTGGTTCATGCCTGTAATCCCAGCACTTTGGGAGGCTGCAGCTGGCGGATCACTTGAGGCCAGGAGTTCAAGACCAACCTGGCCAACATAGTGAAACCCATCTCTGCTAAAAATACAAAAATTAGCTAGGAGTGGTGGAACACACCTGTAATCCCAGCTACTTGGGAGGCTGAGGCATGAGAATCACTTGAACCTGGGAGGCAGATGTTGCAGTGAGCATACATCATGCCAGTGCACTCCAGCCTGGGTGACAGAAGAAGATGCTGTCTCCAAAACAAACAAAAAAACCCAACAACTAGAACGGATGAGGAGTTACTTCTTATGGATGAAGCAATAAAAGAAGTTTCTTAATGTGGAATCTACTCCTGGTGATGATGCTGTGGACACTGTTGAAATGACAACACAAGATTTAGAATATTACATAAACTGAATTGATAAAGCAGCATCAGAGTTTGAGAGTATTGTTTCCAATATTGAAGTTTTACTGCGGGTAAAATACTATCAAACAGCATCACATGCTACAGAGAAATTTTCGTGAAAGGAAAAGCCAATTGATGCAGTAAACTTCACTGTGGTCTTATTTTAACAAATTACCACAGCCACTCCAGCCTTCGGCAGCCATCAGCCTGATCAGTCAGCAGCAATCAAGATGAAGGCCAGAATGTCCACCAGCAAAAAGATGATGACTTGCTGAAGCCTTAGCATTTTTTAGCAAAAAAGTTTTTGGTTTTTTTTGAGACAGGGTCTAGATCTGTCACCAAGGCTGGAGTACAGTGGCATGATCTCAGCTCATTGCAGCCTTGACCTTCCAGGCTCAAGTGATCCTCCCACCTCACCCTTTTCAGTAGCTGGGACTACAGGCATATGCCACCACACCCAAGTAATTTTGTTTATTTTTTGTAGAGTTGGTGTCTCACTATGTTGCCCAGGCTGGTCTCAAACTCCTGATCTCAAGCAATCCTCCCTCCTCAGCCTCCCTAAGTGTTAGGATTACAGGCGTGAGGCACTGCACCTGGCCAATAAAGTATTTTTAAATTAAGGTATATATATTGGTTTCTGCAGACATAATACTATTAAACACTTAAGAGATTACAGTATAATATAAACATAACTTTTATATGCACTGGGAAACCAAAAAATTTATGTGACTTGCTTTATTGTGATATTTGCCAGCGATATTTGCTTTATTGCTGTGGTCTGGAATCAAATCCACAATATCTCTGAGGTATGCCTGTACCTTAAAGCAGTGTTAATGAAACAGAAATCACTTAGGGCTAAAATAAACTTAGGAGATTTTCTTGGCTTTATGGTATCTACAATACCAGGAACTTCTAATGCTGGAGTCCCTACCTGACTCAGAGAAAGAACATTTCCCAGGCTGGGCGTGGTGGCTTATGCCTCAAATCCCAGCACTTTGGGAGGCTGAGGCAGGCAGATCACTTGAGGTGAGAAGTTTGAGACCAGCCTGGCCAACATGGTGAAACTCCGTTTACTAAAAATACAAAAATTAACCAGGTGTGGTAGCGGGTTCCTGTAATCCCAGCTACTCTGGAGGCTGAGGCAGGAGAATCCTTTGAACTCAGGAGGCTGAGGTTGCACTGAGCCAAGATCATGCCACTGCACTGCAGCCTGGGCGACAGCGTGAAACTCCATCTCAAAAAACAAACAAACAAAAAACCAGGCTGGGCACGTGGCTTATGCCTGTAATCCCAGCACTTTGGGAGGCTGAGGAGGGCAGATCACGAGGTCAGGAGTTCAAGACCAGCCTGGCCAGCATGGTGAAACCCTGTGTCTACTAAAAAAAAAAAAAAAAAAAAAAAAATTAGCCAGGCTTGGTGGCACGTGCCTGTAATCCAAGCTACATGGTGGGCTGAGGCAGGAGAATTGCTTGAACCCAGGAAGTGGAGTTTGCGGTGAGCCAAGATCGCACCACTACACTCCAGCCTGGGCGACAGAGCGAGACTCCATCTCAAAAAACAAACAAACAAAAAACCACCAAAACCAAAACATTTCCCAAGACTTTTTACACCCCAGTGGTACCCAGTCTTTTTTTAGTGTCTTCTGCATTTCATTTCCTCCATTAACATGGCAGCCTGAATTAGAATTAAACAAATAATACACCCTGAAATTGCAGTTGGGAAGGTCTCCTATGCTTATTGTGGCCAGAGGTCTCATCTCAGCTCTGATTTTGATGATCCGTGATACGGAACAAATAAAGAAGGCCTGCACTCCTGCTATCCCAGGCCAGCCCCAGAATTCCCTGAGCACCTACATTTCGTATATCAGACAAAAATGTATGCCATCTCTGTGTTTGCTTACAGGGGACTATAATTAGCTCCTAGAAAACAAGCAGAGGTCCGGTGAAGGAGTAATCTAGAAAAGCCCAGCAATTCTATATTTTGCCTTGAGAAGATAAAATCATATCCAGAGAATCCAGATATGAAGAATGGCAGAGGAAGATGAAAAATGTTCTATCATTTAGAGTAATCTCCAATTGTGTTTAAATATTAGGCTTCCTTATGTAGCATCTGGCCCAGAGCTGTCCAATAGAACTTTCTGTGGCGATGGAAATGTTCTTTATCTGTGCTGTCCAGTATGGAGACCACTAGCCATGTGTGGTTGTTAAGTACTTGAAATGTGACAAGTGCAACTAAAAAACTTCATTTTTCATTTTTTTCTTTTCTTTTTTTAGTTTTTGTAGAGATAGGAGTCTAACTATGTTGCCCAGGCTGTTCTCAAACTCCTGGCTTCACTCTATCCTCCTGTGTCAGCCTCCCAAAGTACTGGAATTATAGGTGTGAGCCACTGCCCTGGCCCATTTTATTTAATTTTAGTCAATTAAAACTTTAGTTCTAGAGATAAATCCTAATTAAAATTTTAATTGATTAGAATTAAATTTTAATAGCATACATAGCTAGGGGCTACTGTATTAGACAGTGTGGTTACTGGCCCTTGCCCTCCTAACTTTTTATACCTTCTAACAATATTTACAAGTTGGGGCTATTATAACATTGTTCAAAAATTGAAGGCACCAATTTCATTAATCCTACATATACATTTCCACTGTGAAATTAGATTTGTAATGGGTTAGAAATTCAAGCCTGCTTGTATCAAGGCAAGCTTTTATTGTGAGACTAACTTCAATGGAGCATTCATTCTGTTTAAGCTTTGATGTTTAAAATTTGTATAAATCATGTGCTTTAGTGGTGATGGTTGCACAACAGTGTGCAACTTCATGCCACTGATCTGGACACTTAGAAATGACTAAAATGATGAGTTCTATGTTAAATATGTTTTACCACAGCAAAAAAATTATATGCTTTGGTTTTTAAAATTTGGCTTGATTGTGATTTTCTTTGGTTAAAATTCCCTCTGCCACAGGCCTTGCTGAGGATCTGGTGCTGCATGTTCCTGGCTGCAGCGTGTTTCTCTTTGGCGAAGCTGACCTGCCTGAGAAGCGCAGTCTTGTGCAGAGAAGGAAGCAGCTGGGCTGGTTCACGAGGAGGGATTTCAGTGCTCTTCAGCCTGACCTGGGAGCTGCCCCTTCCCAAAGATGTGGTTTAACAGGTTCTGAGCATGGTTTTTGCTTTGCTCTGTTTTTTTTTTTTTTTTAAACTTGAGGTCCCCTTTATGAGCCACACCCTGTTAATGCAGGAAGAGTTATAGGGGTGGCTGCTTCTTGAAATGGGTGAGGCTCTCCTTTCTGCTGTTACTCTCACCCAGGCCCTTTTAAGCTAACCTGTGAGCCTAGAAGCTCCCGTCAAGTATTTGATGAGGGCCCCCAGAAGTGATATTCAAGATATATCATTAGCCCTGCAACGTGATCACTGATGAAAAGAATGCTCGTAGCTCCTGGCACTGGGGCAGGGTCCTGGAGGCCCCTGTCTGTGAATGGTGTGGGGTGTGTCCTAGGGTGTGATGGAGACACCTGGAGAGGGAGGACTTAGGGAGAGATCACTTCTAGCTGGTAGGAAGGTCTTTCAATACTTAAACATCAGTGTAGCCAAGTTGGTGCTTACAGCTGGAAATCAGTTCTAGAGGAACCCTGGAAAAAAGCTGTTCTAGATAACGGACTTCTAGAATGCAGAGACCAAAGACTGGAAAAAGAAACTATTCCTTCCCCTGGCTTTTATCAACTTTTGCCTCTCTGTGCTGCTCCTGCCCTCACTCCCTGCCCCACCCTAAGGGATGTGTCAGGAAAAGGTGGAACTCCTCTCTGTTGTCTGTACTTCCACCATCCTAGTGTCACTTATTTGAGTCTTAATTGTTCCATTTTCAGACTCTGTTGGGGCCACAAATTAAACCATGTAAGGTCACATTTTGATGGTCAGTCAATAACTTAAGCAGTTACCAAAATACTAGGTATCCAAGGAGCGAGAGGTGGGCGAGCATAAGAAACACATTTCTCATGGCACAGCTCTGCCAAAGCCCTGCAGAATCATTTACACATAGGTCTTTGGTTAGTAGCCCCTGGCACAGAATTCTGATCTTAAACAAATATTGTCTATAATCAAGTAGAGCAATGCAATTAAAAAAAAAAAGCACAGGTTTTGGGGCCATGCTGAAATCCCAGCCTTGCTATTTGCTGGCTGTGTGACCGTGGTTCCTTGGTCTCATTATGCTTTGGTTCCCGTATCTATAAAACGGACGTAATAATGTCTCCCTCTCATTATTGTGAAGTCGAAATGATGTCTGTAAAGTGCCCAACACAGTACTAAAGGGCTATTTTTTTCTTCCCTATGAAGATGAGATTTAATAAAAGTGATATTACAAATGTATTTCATTCAACATTTTGTCATAGAAAAAAGGAAGAGACTGATTGCTCTCTGCCAATTTGAACCTCACATATTTTCCCATGATTTGTCTCACAAATGGAGAAGTGTAAAGTTTTATGACTAAATTTTCAGAAATCCATTTCCTGGTTTCTAATTTGAGCCTCCCTAAAGACTGAAGAGATTATACCGCAGATGTAGTCACTTCAGTGCCAGGTGGACTGGTATTGCAGTCAGGTGGACGGGAATTAGACATAGGTATACTGCTGTGAGATCATTAGGTTAAGCAAACACTTGAATAACTTAATTCTCATTTTTGCAGTGCTGTTAGAATAAATGGGTCTATATTTGGGAAAAACTTTAACCTGATATAAAAATCATATGTGAGTTAAAGACCAAATGCTAATATTATCACTAATTATGTTTAGTTTCCTAAGAACAAACTTGATATGTAGTTGTTTAAACTAAAGGGAGGATTGCTTCCCAATCTGATCTATCACCTGCCTGTGGTTGGATAATCTGTGTCTCTGCCTCATCATTATCTATTTTATATTGTTTGATTTGAAATGGTCAACACACTGGGATTTCTGATTTTTTCTTTTTCTTACTTTTTTTTTTTTTTTGAGACAGGGTCTCATGGCATTTGCCTAGGCTGGAGTACAGTGGTGCGATCTCGGCTCACTGCAGCCACAACTTCATGGGCTCAGGTGATTCCCCCACCTCATCCTTCCAAGTATATTTTGTAGAGACAGGGTTTCACCATGTTGCCCAGGCTGGTCTCAAAACTCTTGGACTCAGGCCATCTACCCACCTTGGCCTCCCAAAGTCCTGGGATTATAGGCGTGACCCCCCGTGCCTGGCCCATGATTTTATTCTCTGTTTTTACTCACATGGAGATCTGTAATTTACATAAAAAAATTCATAAAAATCTGCAAATCCCACGTTAAAACATTAAGATGCCAAAATTGGCACAATGAATGTTTAAAGATGATATTTTAAAGGTAATATTTAATACTGGGGAAGATGTAGTTAGAGACATTTACACTGTTAATGATAGTATAAATTGGTATAAACTTTTTAGAAGTGAGCTTGTGATATGTGCGAAGAGCTCTAAAAATGTATATAACTGCCTTTCAGGAATTCTAGATCTAGAGATAAATCCTAAGGAAATAGTAAAAGGTATATGTACAAGTATGTTTATCAAAGCATTATTTATAATAGCAAATACTGAAAATAATGGAAATGTTTGCTATTTGGGTATGTTTATGTAAACTATGGCATACTCAAGCATGATGTTTTAGAAGAACTTTCAGAGACATAGAAAATGCAATCTAATGTAGAGAGAATTTACAGTTAAATTAGTTAATGAAACAGATATTAAGTACCTACTATGTGCTAAGCAGTATCACCAGCGGGCAAAATAGAACTTATCTGTCCTCAAAGAACTTACATTGTAGTTGGGGAGGGGCAAAGAGACAGACGATAAATAAAAGCCTTAATAAACAAATGAATTATATAGTACATTAGAAAATAACAAGTGCTACAGCCAAAATAAATATTGAACAGGACAAGGGCATTAAGAGTTCTAGAATGGGGCCGTATTGTGATTATAAGTGGAATAATCCAAATTAGGCTTCATTGTAAAGGCAATATTAGAGCAAAGACTTGAAGGAGTGAGGCCACTAGCCACGTGGAGATGTGGAGGAGAGTTTTAGGCAGAGGGAATAGCCAGTGCAAGGGATACCAGGTAGTATAGGCAGCATGATCTCAATATTGTAAAATATATATGTACATATTTTGTTTATATTATATGTAAGAAAAACATTTTTATATTCTTAAAGCTTCCAACATATTTTCATAATATCTCTAAATCAACCCTGTGATTATTTCCATCATCTTCCCTGAAGGGTAATTAGTAAGATTTATTAGTGGTCAATTTTATAAAAGCTAAGTTTCAGTGCCTGTATTCAGATTATATTTGATGGCATATTCATGATAAGAAGGGAAAAGGAGCACAGCTTTTCCCCTATATGCCTTTTTTCACTGGTAGCCATGACCAAGGGTAGAAACCTTAGCTTGTGGAAGAAACAGGAAAATTACAGTTTGCCAAGTTTGGGCAGTCTGTTTGTCCATCATTTAGTAGGCTCAAAGCAGGTGCTAATAGCAGAAAAATAAAGTATTTCAAGGAGGATCAGTGAATAAGGGATGTGAATAAACAATTAGTTTCTAATATTCCTCACACCAGATAGTAGAGTTTAAGACTTTCTACTAAAATATTAGGTTACCTTAATTGCACATATTCTTCCTTAAAAAATAATCCAGAAAGAAGTAAATTGCTTTCTTTCTTTCTTTCTTTCTTTTTTTTTTGAGATGGAGTCTCGCTCTGTCACCCAGGCTGGAGTGCAGTGGTGTGATCTCAACTCACTGCAACTTCCGCCTCCTGGGTTCAAGCGATTCCCCTGCCTCAGCCTCCCGAGTGGCTGGGACTACAGGCACGTGCCACCATGCATGGATAATTTTTTGTATTTTAGTAGAGACGGGGTTTCACCATGTTGGCCAGGATGGTCTCGAACTCCTGACCTCGTGATCTGCCCACCTCGGCCTCCCAAAGTGCTGGGATTACAGGCATGAGCCACTGTGCCTGGCCATAAATCGCTTTCATTTTTTGAAGCAATATCTACTGAAGTAGAATTTATAACACCTCTTTCTTTAGGGTAGAAATGTTATTCATCTAATTTTTCAATGAATTTGGTTCCCAACAATAGCGATTTCCCTCTTGTTTAAATTTAATTGGCTTTATATATTTTTCTAACTTTTTTTTTGGTTATGTCAGTGTTTCCTAACATATTTTTCCCTCCCACCAAAACAGAAAAACCTCAACACATTGTTGCTATGTTTATGTTTTTCCCTACAAAAATGAAATAGAAATGATTGGCGCTATCAACTGTACAGTACAGTCAACAATCCAGGACAAATTAATTTGCACAGTACCAGAGAGGAAGCAGAATCTATAAGGAAACAGGTTTCTGTTTTGAAGTTCCCAAAGAATATTATAAACAGAAGAGAAAAAGAAGTGAGCTCAGAAATGATTAACACCCATAGTCAGTGCCAAACACACAAAATCTTTTAAGCCAAATTCCTTTTAAAAGTTTGTAGTTGGCCAGCTTGTGGGGAACATAAATAAGGGCAAAGCAGTAATAGTTGATACTTTTAGATCTATAAATAAATACTTTATACATATATATTTAAAATCCTAAACATTTATGGGGTAATTTAAACACTGCTGTCTGATATGTTGTATGAATGGCCTGCATGTATGCATCATTGTTTAAAAATGCAGGGAAAATTCTTTGAACTGTAGTTTCATATGATGCCCTAGGAGTCAGAGATGGAGGTAATTGGTACATCTTGGAATCAGGGGCTTCTGTTTAGTTATTTAAATGGGTTACTGAGCACTTTCCTGCTTACTTCTTTCTACTATAAATAAGAAATGCATCATCAGGCACTTTTCTTGACATTGAATACTCCAATTTACTCCACACCAAAACTTTATCTGGTATTTGAAAAATAATTTCTAGTTTTAGAATGAGTCTCGTTTTAGGGAGCCTATTTTTAAAAATCATTTGCTGATGCTGGCTAGGAAGCCTAGTTGGGATGATGAAAAATGAAAGTCTCAATGTGTCACTAAGCATGTAACCTATAATTGGAGCATGAAGGACTTAAGACTTTGCCTGAACTCAGGGAGGGCACTGTTCTATTATTGAAAAACCTGACAGCAGGCAAGTTACTTGAGTTTCCCTCTTATCTGGACTGGCTTAATTATGGGAGGTAAATTTGTACCTATGTTTGTAATCTCTTCTGAATTATTTCTACTCTGAAAGATTTAAAGGCAATAGAATGAGGTTCACAATGCCTCACAGAGCAAGGAAACGTCATAACCATTTTACAGAAAGAGAGCTGAGCAGAGGCAGTGTCCTGTTGAGGTGGAACTTGAATTTGGACCCACGGGAGTACTTCCTAGCCCTGTGGCACGTGGTTCTCACTTAGCTTTCTTTTCTGTGGATTCAGCCACACGGAGACAAGTCCTGCATTCTTCCCGCCATGGGAGCATTGGACTTAGCAATTATGTTTGAGTTTTATGGCTTTAGTCATCAAATGTCCTGTTTCAGCTGTGGTTTCCCTTTAGTGCATGGTCTAAAAAATTTAAAATACCAATATATAATGATAACTAATTGTTTTTGGTATAATAACTGTTTATGTTTTTGAACCTGAGTTCTGAGTCTGGTTGCCTTGCTCTGTTTGTTACTCTGAAGCAAAGTCCACATTTAGGCTAGGGTTTTACCTTATTTTAACTTTCTTCCTGTTTTTATACTCAGCAACCTGCATGGTTCCTGGCACTCACCAGGTTTTCAGTAAAAAAGTATTTTTTTTTTTTTTTTTTTTTTTTTTTTTTTGAGACAGAGTCTCGCTCTGTCACCAGGCTGGAGTGCAGTGGCAAGGCGATCTCTGCTCACTGCAACCTCTGCCTCCTGGGTTCAAGTGATTCTCCTGCCTCAGCCTCCTGAGTAGCTGGGACTACAGGCACGCGCCACCATGCCCAACTAATTTTTGTATTTTCAGTAGAGACGGGGTTTCACAATATTGGCCAGGCTGGTCTCGAACTCCTTACCTTGTGATCCGCCTGCCTCGACCTCCCAAAGTGCTGGGATTATAGGTATGATCCACCGCACCCAGCCTGGTAACAAAGTATTTAATGAGGGAGTTGAATTGGTTGAAAAGAATCTGTTTATTCAAACTGTAATGCAGTCCACAAATTTGAAGTTTTCTCTTTAGATATAAAAGTGCTAAATATCCTAAAACACCATCCCAGCTCTCTCCTCATGTATGCTTTAATACTGGCCACCAAAGAGGAGTATAATATAATGAATGGAACTTCTGAAGACACCCCTAAACAACTTTGGCACTCCTAAAGTGAAACACTTTTCTGTAGAGTTAAAATATATAGAATCCTTTCACCTTTAATTGATTGAAAATGATGGTGCCTGGAACTATTTTTGAGAATAATTTTGATCTAAAGGGAAAAAAAATACATGTGTTTCTTCTGAGTGCTGCTTTTCCATTTTCCTAATGGGCTCTTCGCTATTGTTTTGTCTGAATGCAGTTTTTTATTTGTGTTATTCCAGACATGGTCCTACCACAAGCATCTTTAAACCAGACATTAATAGCATAGTTCACAGTCATTACTGCCAGTGCTCAAACACAAATATTGCATTTGTGTTTGCAAAAGCTACACATCAGATGTTAATTAAGTGCATTTGGTTTTTTTCTGCTTAAACAATCTGGCATAAAGAGTTTACATCCATATCAGTTCACCATAAGGTCTCAACAATATCTAAATCACCAGCCATACAGTATATGATAAATACAGTGTTTCCACACAAGAAAATAACAGAATTGTCAGGAAGACATCAGGCCTGTTATATTTCTCTGTGAAATAATAGCGACTGAATCTCAGTTTCTTTTTCTTTTTGATAAAAAAATATTTAACTAGGAGTAAACACCAATATTTAGAATGATAAATTTTTCATTAAAGCACACATGGAAAACGAAATCATACCAAAGATTTTTTTCCTTGTTTTTAGCTTGCTTCAGGGCGTTGTGACAGTTGTGTTGGAAGAAAATTGGAATTTCAGCCTTGCAGTGAGGGGATCCGTGCTGCCACCAGAGCAGCTGAGTGCCAATCTGCGGGAGGCGGGAGTGGAGCGAAACTGCAAACTGAGAAACAAACTTTCACATCAGGTTTCTAATTTTAGAGCAAAAAGTGGAATTACTTTAATTATATGACATTTAACTAGAAATACGATTTGCTGGGATTAATTATCTCTCTCATTTAAAATACCTTCTTAGTAGGTTTAAATTAACATAAAAAATCAAATTCAGCATTTAAATAAGGTCAATGGGACTGCTGGATTTAAACACAGAATTTGATTCAGTATAATTGGATCACCGTATTGGTTTTGACTTGGAAGGATTAAATGGAGGAAATTGGAAAAGCGTGAATTTGGGCAGAAAGAGAAATTTTCTCTTCTTTTTCTTTCTTTCTTCTTTCACCTTCCAAGGGAGAGAAGTTTCCCCACCTTGGAGAGGAAACTACTACCCTGATTAGGTCAGAAACATCTCAGATTCATTAATTGTCTCCGTTTTATCACTACTTGAATAAGAAATAGTAATAAAACAAAAATATTGTGTAACTAAAGCTTACTAGAAGAATTTAAAATACATATAACAAGGGTCTGTTTGAAAAATGATTATTCTGTGTTAAGTGATTACCTCTTATTTTATTTAAAAGCATATGAAAGTTATTTCTGATGTTTTATTTTGCTTAAAAAATGAACTTTATGCTTTTGAAGGAATTTTAAAAATAAGAGTTTCATTTCAATCAAGTAAGTCGCTGTTGGGACACTGAACAGTGTACGTGTCATGTTCTTTATTGAACTCTTGTCCTTAGGGCTTATGTCTAAGCTTACTTTATCTTTAATAATTTGTCTTAGGCAATGAGTTCATTTATAGCAAGAATGATCAACTTTGGAAATTCTACTAACAGGGGGAAGTTATTAGACATGCAATGGAAGAGGATGTCTTGGAATTTGCTGGGTGAGGGATTCAGGAAAAGTCCCAGGGCTACAGGGATGGAATGACCCATGTCATGGGGAAAGCCCCAAGTCCACATGCAGGAACTTCCTTTGAAAGTGACTTGCTCCCTCAGGCTGATGAATTGCATGTGAATAACTGAATGTGACTGGGCATATCAAAGCTATGGGACAGCAAAGCGTAATGGTGAAGCACTACAGGCCTGGTAAGGATTTTGAATAGTCATGCTGATGTAACCCCCAGTGTTATATACTCTTCAGCAAAACCTGAGTGTGATCCAACTATTTGTTGGAACGATGGTAAAGATATTACCATTCCTTGAGTCAAAATAGGATAAGTACATTAGATTTTAGGACATAAGGCTATTTGTAACATGACTTATTGGGGGGTAAATGAGAGAAAAATGTTTGGAAGTTTTCTGTTAAAGAGTGGCAACATTAAGATTGACAAAAATTCCAATTATACTCTGTGCAATGTTAAAACTGATATAATTCTTAAAGATATTTAGGGTAAGTGATTGGGACATGAGATGATGAGAGAGAGATGTATTGACTGTTAGGAAATTTAATTTTTATGAAATCAGCATTATGGGGAAATACTGTAATCTGATTCATTCCTGCAGAATTCCCAGGAGGAAGAGGCCCAGCCTCGGGAGTTGAAATGTTTCATTATGTACATGTGTGGGAAAAAGATGAAATGTGGTTTCCGTGTGCTGATTTTCTGTAAAACATCTATTAGTATGAGAGTAGCCAGGCTAGGCAACAAAGCCCCCAAACCATCGTAGTCTAGGGAAAAGTGAACCCAGAAGGCATTTCTCTGATGGATGCTGACATCAGGAGCAATAAGTTTGAAAGTAGCAAGAAAAAGTAATGACAGTAAAATAATGTTGAAATAGTAGCTAAGGAATGATCACATGCTGAAGATGAGGTCAGTCCTTTATTCCTCATCAATCCCTGCTTAACTTTGCTTTTAGAAATGTAAGGTTCCCCAAAAATGAGGAAACTGCAAATGTAAGCTTTTTATACCAATGCTAATTTAACCAAGTTGTCCATCTTATAGTGTAAACTATAATTAGAGCCACGCTATTTATGTAATGTGAGCCGCACCATCCCTGAGACAGGGAAAGGCGGGACATTTGCCCCTGAGCTCTAGAGTAACAGGGCTCTAGAGTGTCAATGGCCATCTCAGCCTCTTGTATAGCTGGGGATGGAAGAAAGAGGTGCCTCCAACAGGTTTCACAAAGAGAAAGGCACGAGGTTTATAAGTCTGTGTGAGGGAACTCTTTTGTCTTGTTTGGCTCCAAACCCTGCCAAACTCACATCATCACAAAACACGTGAGTCCCTTTGCTTTTCCCAGTTCCAAGGCTGTTTGTTAGTTTTTAGTGACCTCTTTCCCTAATTAAGACTGGTTTTGAGATTCATTTTAATCTGATATTAACCTAATTCAATAATGACAGGAGTTTGTTTCGGAGAGAGGGAGTGGTGGGTACAGAGGTGTGATTTACTCCTGTCTCTGAGACTCTTAGGCCTGTCATTGAATTCAAGCCCCCATGGAGATGGCCTTGGAAATGAATGAAGGTCTAAGGCCTGTTGCTGCTGATGACGCTTAGCTCTTAACCGTGCTTTTCTTTCTCTGTTGGTATTTTGGAAAGTTCGAGCTCTTTTAGGAAAAAAAAAATCCTTCGGATAGTTTAGAGTAGATAAAGTTACCTGATTATAGCCTAAATACTTTTGTTATGGAAAAAAATATTATCAGCAAAATAAAATCAGATACTAAGTGACTAAAAAATGGGAGGGTTACCAAAAAAAAAAAAAATCAGGTACTAAGTGACTAAAAAATGAGAGGGTTACAAAATATAATCTCTCTTTCAAAGCATGATTGTTCATTCTTGCCTTACTACTTTTAAGATGATCTGCTGCTCATAAACCAGATATAGAATTTTGAAATGTTTATATTGGGGAGATGGCATGATGGTGTTGGGCATGACTTCAAGGAAGTACTTATTCTTTTGGAATTCAGATGGAAAGTCTAAAGGTTTAGAGAACATACTGTTTTTGAGCAAAGAGAAGGGTATTGGCAGAAGAAATTTTATTTGAAAGAAAAGAAAATTTGTAGCCTTTTTGTATACTAAAAGAAGCTATGTGTCAATGATGGCAATTTTAATTAAATCCTTAGTATTTATATTGTTCTAGTATCAGATGCTCCCCATAAAGCACAGAGAAATGAATTTTTCCACAAATTGAGTTTAGCAAGAAAGACTGTGATCTTCTTTAATAAGAGCGCAAAATGTGAATTTATTTTAAGGAATTAAAAATAAAGAGTTTGGCTGGGTGTGGTGGCTCATTCCTGTAATCCCAGCACTTTGGGAGGCCAAGGTAGGAGGATCACTTGAACCCAGGAGTTTGAGACCAGCTTGGTCAATGTAGTGAGACTATCTCTATTAGAAAAAAAAAAGTTAAAAAAAAAAAAGGCCGAACTCAATCTTTTTATAGGATCCAGTGATCTAATTTTTTTTACTTACATTTGATTCTTGAATCTGACTGCATTTATATTATTCTGGAATTCCAATTCTGTGTGTGTTTTCTCTGTCAATATGATTACAACGAAGATGGAAAAGATGATGGACTAGGTATGGTTTTTAGACGTGAGGAATTTTAGTTGCTCTGGTGAAGAGAGAAAATGCTGTCCAGTTAGACCTGATAGGTCTGTCTCTCAGTCTCTGAGAGGTGAGAAGCAGCAGTGCCCAGGTCTTGCCTTGCTTTGGCGGAGGCTGTGTGGCCCGATAGAAGGAACAGCAGACAGTGGTTTGGAGGGCTTGAGTTCAGTCCTTGCTCTTATTTTTCATGTAGCCATAATTTCATTAGCTATGAAATAGGACAAATCGTTCCCTCCCCAACTAGGGGAATAAATGTCTATAAGCTGTAATGTACAAATGAAATGTATTATTAATAGTTTTTCTAGGTCTATTCTAGAGCTTTGCTTTAGTTTTGAGCATCAGTATTAAACAGATGAGAGGGGATAAAAGCACATGGTGCCACTGATTCATATTGGGTTGTAGGGGTTGATTCATTTGCCGGTTACCTGAATTAACCTCTCCAGGTTCCTGTCACAGCATTACAGGCTGCTGGCTTTGAGCAAGGCCTATTTAAAACCAAACATCTTTTTAATGGGTACAGTGTGTCATTTGGAAAGATGAAAAATGTTCTGGAGATGGATGATGGTGCTTGGTTGCACAACAGTGTGAATGTACTTAATTCCACTGAATTATACACTTAAAAATGGCTAAAGTGGCAAATTGTATGTTATGCACATTGTGTTTTATAATTAAAAAAGAACAAAAAGTATGTATTTATCCCACAAAAGTTAAGAAAAAAATACAAAAATCCCCTCATATCTGAATAAGATAACTTTACTAAGTCCATTGTCTTAGTCCATTCTTGTATTGCTATAAAGAAATACCTGAGACTAGGCAATTTATAAAGAAAAGAGATGTAATTGGCTCATGGTTCTGCAGGCTGTACAAGAAGCATGATGCTGACATCTGCTTGGCTTCTGGGGAGGCCTCAGGAAACTTACAGTCATGGTGGAAGGGGAAGGGGGAGCAGTTATGTCACATGGCCAGAGAAGGAGCAAGAGAGCTGGTGGGGAGGTGCTACCTACTTCTAAATGACCAGATCTCACAAGAACTCACTCACTGTCATGAGGAGAGTACCAAGAGGATGGTACTAAACCATTCATGAGAAATGCACCCCCGATAATTCAGTCACCTTTCACCAGGCCCCACCTCCAACACTGGGTATTATGATTGAACATGAGATTTGGGTGGAGACATTGATCCAAACCAGATCATCCATATGTTCTAAATAAAATGTTGGCAAATTTCTGTTATCTACTAATAGATACAAATATGTATGACCTATTTTTCCCTTTTAAAATCTATTATGATGGACTGTAGTGCTCCAGATGAGGTTTAGTTAATGGTTTAAAATAAAGTTGATTAAATGTGGCCTTTGATCCAGCTATCCATTAAAAAGCAAAAATTTACATTTTTATTATAAATAAATAATTTTCTTTTTCTGAGATAGAGTCTCATTCTGTTACCCAGGTTGGAGTGCAGTGGCACAATCTTGGCTCACTTCAACCTCCACCTTCCAGGTTCAAGGGACTCTCCTACCTCAGCCTCCTGAGTAGCTGGGATTACAGGTGCACATCATCACACTCAGCTATTTTTTTTTTTCCAGTAGAAACAGGGTTTCACCATCTTGCCCAGGCTGGTCTTGAACTCCTGAGCTCAGGTGATCTGCCCACCTCGGGCTCCCAAAGTACTGGGATTACAGGTGTAAGCCACCATGCCTGGCCAATAAATAATTTTTAAAACAAGCACAGACACACCTCTTACTTCTCATTCATATTTGAATTTGTCTTTTCTTTCTCTGTTCCCCTTCTGCCTTTTAGAAAATCTGAACCAGCTGTAAATTGCAGAAGGTGTTCTGGTGGATGGGTACACTATCACCAGCTCTTCCTCTGCAGGAACTGGCATAAGTCACTGGGATGCATCTATAATAACTAAGAAGGACGATCCCATTGGCTTGAGAAGACCTGACAGAATGAGCTAACAAATACCCCGACCCATACGCAGCTTTTCTCAGATTGGCCTCTTAGAAGCAGCCCTACAGTTTGTGCCAATGTTTCATCAGTATTTGTTTTTTAAATCTTACTACAAGGTGGACAATGTATGGAATATGTGCTTCATAGTTCATATTTACCCTCCCTCCTTTCACCAACTGTGAAGAGGCCAAAATTGATGTGAACAAATAGACTTTACTTTCTATCAGCCCCTTTGTGTTTTTATTCTACCCAACTTTAAACTTTAACTTTTAGTTTCTTAAAAGAGGGATAAGGAAAGCAACAAGCTAGGCTATGAGGTGATAAGGTTTTGTGTGTGGGGTGCAGGGGAGAGGGGGAGTTGTCATTGGTTTCCAGCCTAAATTGGGGCTTGACTCACGATAAATTAAAAGTATTTAAACATTGGGAGAGGGGAGTAAGGAAAATATAACTGAAATAAAACAAAAGGGAGGTAATATTTTCATTTCTTGACATAATGAAAAGCCTTGCTCTGTAATTGGTTTGTACTGTCTTGGAAGTGGCGTCCGTGGTCAACAAAGGACCACTCTGTGAGAGATCTGCAAGGAATTTATCATTCCCCCTGGCTGAGCCAAAGCAGGCTTGATATACAGTTTTGTTTCGTATAAATATTCTCATGTTACTGTTTATTCTGTGGGAATGTGAGGATCTCACTGACAGGGTACGTGCTCCACTGCCTTGCTTTTAAAGGCATTTATTTGACTCTGTTGTTTGTACTTGCCCAGAAACTTCAGAGAACAGCCCAGGAACTTGTTTGATAAGCATCCAGACCGTGCTCCCGAAGTATGTTGTGCTTGGGGGGTTAGGAAAGCTTATTGTTTTAAGCGAGCCTGCACATGGCCTCCAAGGAGCCCATTTTTCATAGATAAAACAATTAGAACACCCTCAGCAATCTCTTAGAATGCTTCTCCAATGTGTAATAAAATGTCCTGGTGAGCAGGGCTCTGGTTGAACTCAGACTGCCTTTGGATTACTGTGCCACTTCTTTTGTTCCTATTTGCAGTATTGTGAGGCAAGTTAGTGTATTGTGAGTTAAGATGTGAGATACAGACCTAAACATGGGACTAATTTCTTTCTACATTTTTAGTGTGGGTGTTAACCTATTATCTCTCAGCTCCGCATTCATCCTTCCATATACTTTTTTTTTTTTTCAAGACAAGGTCTTGCTTTGTTACCCAGGCTGCAGTGCAGTGGCATGATCATGGCTCTCTGCAGCCTTGACGTCCCAGGCTGAAGTGATCCTCCCACCTCAGCCACCCAAGTAGCTGGGACTACAGGTGCACACCACTACACCTGGCTAATAATTTTTTATTTTATTTTATTTTATTTTTTGAGACAGAGTCTTACTCTGTTGCCCAGGATGGAGTGCAGTGGCATGATCTCAGCTCACTGCAACCTTCGTCTCTTGGGTTCAAGCGATTCTGCTGCCTCAGCCTCTGGAGTAGCTGGGATTACAGGCGCACGCTGCCACACCCAGCTAATTTTTTGTATTTTTGGTAGAGACGGGTTTCACCATGTTGGTCAGGCTGGTCTCGAACTCCTGACCTCAAGTGATCCGCCTGCCCCGGCCTCCCAAAGTACTGGGATTACAGGTATGAGCTACTGCGCCCAGCCAGTTTGTTTCATTTTTATGTTTAGTAGACACAGGACCTTGCTATGTTGCCCAGGCTGGTCTTAAACTGAGCTCAAGCAGTCCTCCCGCCTTGGCCTCCCAAAGTTCTGGGATTACAGTCATGAGTCACTGCACCTGGCCCCATACTCTACTTTCTGATCCTGGGACTCTGCAAACCACATTTCTTCTTTGCCAGCCAGTTCCCTATTAGGCTCTGCCAATATGGGGTCCTGGACTGAGGAGGCTGCAGGGGTGGAGGATGGTGAGGGATTGCTCCTTCCTTTTGACCTCCTGTTTCTAGAAGCCCCACTTCAGCAGTGACTCTTCACCTTGACAGTGGCTCTTAGTTCCAGGCTCCAGCTGTTCTTTCTCCCCACCCCCCAACACTTGTCAGAGCTTGCCTTGTTGCACTCCTCAGAAGCCCCAGCATCAGCTGGGCAGTGCCACCTTCCTCAGACGCCTGAGCCCCAGCTCTGCAGGGCCTCTCCTTTCAGCTTCTAGGCTCTGAGGACCCCTGCTGTAGTGAGTGGTGCTGCCTGCAGTTACAGCTCTGTGATCCCTTGTTCTCTGTTTTGCTTTTTAAGTTCAACAACTGTTGACAATTTTTTTTGTGATCTCTTTTGAAATGCTTAGTGTGGTTTCTGTTTTCCTGATTGGGTTCAGACTGGCTTCTGTCAGAAACAAACATCAGCAGACCCAATGGGACTGGGGGAAATGGAGAGGGAAAGGAGAAGGCAGAAAATACTCTTTGTGAACATAGCTCCTAACACAAACAGCCCACGCATGGTTACTCTCCTTTTCTTCTCATTCGCACATTATTCTCTTATCTCACTGTCTTCTTCTTGTCAAATTCGCAGTTTCCTTTTGGAATTCGTGCTATTTTTTCCACCAGTAGGGAGTCTGAGTGTTGACTTGAGGTGAGGGTGGGAAATGCCATGGAAAGCATTGGGCCAGGTTTTCCAAAGGATGTCTTTTGCGTAGTAGCATATTCCATCATTTAAAATGTAAACTAATGTAATTATATAATTTAAATAAGTAAAGTCTTTTGAATCTTATAATAGTTACTTGTCTTTCCTTGTGTAGCCATCTTTACCTGCCATGTAGATAATGCTTTTTATCTGGCGGTAGGCCCCCAGCCAAACGCCTTTCCCAAACCTCTGGGTACCACGCTATCAACTTTTTCTCAGGAAGCCCCGTCTGAAGCCAGTCAGTTTCCTAACTTCTTAGGTACCTGTATCTCCATGAAGACTAACTGCTTTGAAAAAAGTAATTATATGGATGTAGTTTAGCTAGGATCCATTGTTACAAAACTATATTGTTTCTAGTACGTATAAAGGATTTTCGGTAACTGATTAATATTAATCTGTGTCTATCCCAAAATTCTTTTTAGTAGTTCATCTTCATGATATCCACTTTGTTATTTCACAAAGATAAAAGGAAGATAAAATAGCAAGATATGGGAAAAGAAGTCTTGAGTGAACCCTTTTGGCATCATTATTTGTAGCTATCTTTTACTGAGTACCAACTAAGTATTAGTTATTACATGATTTTCACAACAACCCTCTGGAGCAGGTGACTAAAGTAATAAAATTCCCTAAGTGCTCTTAGCCTATTGGGTCAACCAGGAACCTCCTCCTACCATATCCCATACCTGTAGGTTTATACCACTGCCCTAACCCTAAACAGTACCCCTTGGGCTGGGCATGGTGGCTCATGCCTGTAATCCCAGCAATTCAGGAGGCCCAGGCAGGAAGATCACTTGAGCTCAGGAGTTCAAGACCAGCCTGGGCAACATAGTGAGCCTTTGTCTCTACTAAAAATAAAAAATTAGCCAGGCGTGGTGATACACGCTTGTAGTCCCAGCTACTCAGGAGGCTGAGAAGTGAGGATCGTTTGAGCCTGAGAGATCAAGGCTGCAGTGAGACATAATTTTGCCATTCTATCCTCGGTGACAGAGTGAGACCCTGTCTCAACAAACCAAACCAAACCAAACCAAACCAAAACAAAACAAAACAATAACCTTGGACCCACATTCTCAGATCTCCAGGCCTCTCTTCCTAGGCCTGATGGGCCTTCACCTCTAGTTTGTTGTGTTCCAGTTCGAAATTGTACATCCAGTTAGTTGACTCACCCCTCTATGGCAGTTTTATAGGATGGTCCACTCAGGATCCTGAGACTTCTTCCAGATCTTAGGCCTCTCTCCAATACTTCTGTACTCTTTCCTCATTTAAAATTTCTTCCAGGTCTTTTTTTTTTTTTTTTTTTTTGAGACGGTATTCCTCCATCACCCAGGCTGGAGTGCAGTGGCATGATCATGGCTCACTGCAGCCTCAATCTCCCAGGCTCAGATAATCCTTGCACCTCAGCCTCCCGAGTAGCTGGGGTTACAGGTGCACACCACCACAGCTGGCTAATTTTTTTATTTCTTTTTATTTTTAATAGGGATGAATTCTCACTCTGTTGCCCAGGCTGGTCTTGAATTCCTGAGCTCAAATGATCTTCCTACCTCAGCCTCCCAAACTCTGTCTTTTACTCTATTATCATATTCTGAGTTCTTGCCCATTTATTCCTTTTTGTACCTGAAAGAACTATTAGCTTCTAGTTTTGTGACTTCCTCCCCTGGACTGTCAGCGCCTCCTCTGTAGGACTGTGCATTTTGTGCTGCTAGGCACAACCCTCTCTCATCAGGTGGGGAAGTGGAGGATGAACTGCACATCGCCAGATTTCTCCCAGATGAATTTCTCTGAGTTGGGCCACAGACTTGCTCCAACTCATTGGGAGATGCCTGAAATCACTCCCACTATCTTGAAATAGCCAAGTCAGCCATAGGACCCAGAGTAGTCCCCATCAGTATTTAAATCAGGGAGGAAAATTGCCACCAGGTGAGGCCAACACTGCTGCTAGAACCAGGATGGATGTGGATTGTGCAGCCAGTGCTCCAGAACTCCTGGCTGGCTAACCATGCAGAGTCACCTGGTCATTTCTTTTACTTTTAATTCACATCCCTACATTTTATGCAATTTTAGTTTATGGACTTGACACATTGACTTGTTACAGGGTTTTATTGATGTTGTTTGTTTTGCTGGCTAGACTGTAAAGTCCCTGAGGATGAAGCTTCATTCATAAATATTTATTGAGCTCCTACTGCATTTCAGCAGGAGCAGATTTATCATTATCCTAGTGATACATAAGATGTAGGTGCCCTCACTTGTATGGAGACCTAGTAAGTCCTGGGTAATATGTTCACAGGCCCTAGTAATATGCTTACATGGTTGTATGATTTCGAAAAATGTACACAAGTTAGATATTTTAGGCACAATCTGTTGAAACTGCTGTCTCTTCCCACCTCTATTTCTTTGTTATATGTCCTTTCATGATGAGTGGCAGCGGAGCAGCTAGTATTGGCTTCATGAGCTTGCAACCTGTGCAATAGCACAGGGTCCTATGCTTGGTTCAATGTTCTGCTGTTACTGTCAGGAAATTCTGAATAATTTTTTTCTTATTCCTTTTTTTTTTTTTTTGAGATGGAGTCTCGCTCTGTCGCCCAGGCTGGAGTGCAGTGGCGCGATCTCGGCTCACTGCAAGCTCCGCCTTCTGGGTTCATGCCATTCTCCTGCCTCAGCCTCCTGAATAGCTGGGACTACAGGCACCCGGCGCTACGCCTGGCTAATTTTTTGTATTTTTAATACAGACGGGGTTTCACGGTGGTCTCAGTCTCCTGACCTTGTGATCCGCCTGCCTCAGCCCCACAAAGTGCTGGGATTACAGGCGTGAGCCACCGTGCCCGGCCTATTCCTTTTTTTTGAGACACATTGTCACTCTGTTACCCAGGCTGGAGTGCAGTGGCGTGATCTTGGCTCACTGCAACCTCCATCCCCAGGCTCAAGTGATCCTCCCACCTCAGCCTCCAGAGTAGGTGGGACCACAGGCAAGTACCACCACACACCTGGCTATTTTTTTTACTTTTTATTTTTGATAGAGACGGAGTCTCACCATGTTGCCCAGGCTGGTCTCCAACTCCTGAGCTCAAGAAATCTACCTGCTTGGGCCTCCCAAAGTGCTGAGATTAGAGGCGTGAGCCACTACCCCCAGCAGGGACCCATATTTTCATTTTGCACTGGGCCCCGTGAGTTATATGGCTGGTTCTGGGAGTGGCTCTGGACATTTTTGGACTCAAATAAAGGAGAAGTTGAGTTGTGAATATTTGTGTGGTTCATAGTCACATCCGTGTCTAGTGAAGTCATTACCAGCTCTTCCAGTGCAGGAACGGCTCCCAGGAGTACTCCTCTTGCCCTCTGTGATGGCTCACTCAGTGCTGTGACTCACAAAGCAGGGCCAGAGGACCATCACAGGTGAGTGTGTCCTCTGGTGCCCAGCATCAGAAGTATGTAAGAAGTGGAGGAAAAACGAGGATCAAAAGCTATGGAGCCAGAAGCTAATCTGTGCAAAATCTTTCTAGTTATTGGCAGCACAAGGTTGTAAGCAAAGGATGTGGTTTTTAATAATGTCCATCCAATACAGAAGCTGTAGCTGCACTTATGTATATGTTGATGTAGTATATACAATTATAAGGACACCAGATTATTTCATTTTTTGTGATAATCATAGGAAACAGAATTGATCAGAATTTCTGTTTCTAGAGGAACAAATCTGTGATATAGCTATCAAGAACAAGTATGTCCCATGGGAATTTGCCTGTTGGGAAAGTTGTATCCCAAACATTAATGATTAAAAACACATTTCTGTCAACCATTCTAAATAAAGGAATGAGTTATTTTATATTCTGTTCATATAAAATGACAGATTACTATCATTTGCATAGGTGACAAAAGAGTAGCCATAAAAATGTGGAAAACATGTATAGCACTATACAGATAATAAGTATATGTTATTTTTCTGGAATTCACAATAATTGTAGTTAAAAAATGTATAGTTTGTTGTAATTTATTTTCTCATTCTAAATTCACTTACAAACCTATTTTTGGGTTATTTTTTAATGATGGTACTCAAAATGGTGTAAGCTTCCAGCTTCACAGGACCTGGACCTGGCCGTGTGCTGAGTACATGCCAAGCATTTGGCACATCTATTACTTTATTTAATTCTCACAACAGCCCTCTGAGAGCAATATTATTCCCACTCTACAGGTACAGAAACGGAGGCTCAGAGAAGTTAAGTAACTTCCTTGAGGTCATATATCTTGTAAGTTTCAGGACCAGGTTTCTGTATAGGTTTGTCCTTTCTGAAGTCTATTCTTTTACCCTTTGCTCTCCAGTTCCTAGAGTGACAATGTCATTTCCTCAGAAAAGTCTCCTAAGATCACCAGGGTAGGTTACATGCTCCGTTATGCCTGTCCTTTCTTTCCTAGCTCACATCACAATTAACTAATTACTAAAGTGATTATACTGTGATTATTATATAATCACAGTGTTTTATTATACTGTGATTAAAAGTGATTATCCTGTAACCTCCATGGAGGAAGCTGTCTGTTTTACCTACAGCATGGAAACTCTGGGTATTCAGTGAATAATGCATTTAGATCTACTAATTTTCAGAGGCACCTTAGAGCAGCTTCTTGCCTCAAGCACTTTCTTTCTCACCTTTCCTTCTGCTCAGCAAAGGAAGGGTCTGGGAATGGCAAAACATTCAGGCTCAGAATTAACACCCAAGAGTATTAGGGTTGTGCAGCTGATAATGTAGAGATGTTATCATTTATACATTCACACCTTCATATGGATTGCCTGGTACCAATTTCAGGTACCAGATATCTATGGGGCTGGGATATTCATGCCAAAAGGGTATCTGTTACATAGTTTTATATTTTTGTAAACTGAGTCATCTTAAAATGGGAGAGCACCTGTGTTCAATTTTCCCTGGAATGAGCTGCTAAATTCTCTTGTACTCTTCACTTCGGATGAGGTTTTCTGGATGACACCATCTGGGAAATGTCACTTTGATTAAAGTAAATATGCAGCATAGTTAACACTGGGAGCCTATTTGAATTTCTCTAAGTAGCCACATCTACAGAAGCAGAAGGCAGCCGGCTCTTTGGGCTGGGAGAACTTGAGAGAGATGCATTCCACGGTTTGGTGTCAGTCGAGTGGCAGTGTGTGGCCAACTAAGCTCTGAAGGATTTTGTGTATTTTCCTTTTCTTACCATTGGGCTATTTTTTTTCTTTTCCAGTTTATTTTGACACGAAGAAGAAAATATATAAAAATAAAAAACTCAGCTTTACGATTGCCAAGTTTTTCTTTCAAACTAAGAAAAGAAACCAGTTGTTGAAAAATATGATGAATGGCATCCTTTGTTTTATTTTCAGCGTAGCACATGAGGGCACTGCCATTGGAAAGGGGCCAAATTCCCCAGGCAGGAGGGAACCCTGGGCTGAAAGGCGGCCTAGTGATTTTGGAGGCTGGTGTGTCAGGATTTCCTTTCAGCTGTTACAAATATCTCTCTTCTTTCCACAAGATTTCCTCACAGACTCACCCCCCTCCCATTCTTCAGGCATTCCTTGTGTTTTCAACACTTGCTACTGATGAGGATGTCATCTATTTGTAAGAAAACGCCATTGGTACAATGTGGGGCTTTCAGCATTTACATTGTGGTTTTCCCGACTTCCACAGCTATTGACTTATTTGGCTGTGGGATCATGTATGGTTGAGGGCAACAGTCAGTAGTTGACGTGTAAGCAATCCATAAGATTGTTAGCATGATTCCTGCTCATTGTTGTCTTGTCACCAAGTGGTTTGGGAGAACCAAGGGGAGAGAGAGTCTAACTTTCTTGTTCTGAAAGTCAACCTCAGGGCCCTTCTGATCTCTCTGTGCCGCTCACGTGGTGGAATGAAGAGGAAGGGATGGATGAGAAGAAGGGTCATGCTACTCTTTCAAGGAAGTGAGGGAAATGTCTCAGATGCCTTGAGCTCATCCTCATGTGTCCCATGAAGTGAAATCTAAAATTGCTCTGAGGACGTAGGTGAACTGTACCTCCACAGAACCTGTAGCACTTTCCCAATTTGGAAGCTCCTTCTGAAAACTTTATGCACTTTGGCTGGGGTATTTAACTCATTTATTATAACTTTTGTTTGCCAGGGTGTTTTTCTCACTAGACTGAGATCTTTGAGAACAGGGCTGTTTTATTCCACTTGGTAATTCCAATACCTGGTCTCAGAAAACCTTTGCTAAATAAATTAATGTACCAATAGCTGAATTCCAAGCCCTGGTGTTGAGTCAGAACTAGATAACTCTCTAGGTATAGTTGGTTTAATCATTTATCAAGTGACTTCAGGTTCTGTTGCATCAAGTTGAGTTACATTTATAAGGGACAGTTAAAGGAAAAAGCTGTTCTGAACTTCTAGGGAACAGAAAGTCTGGCTCAACTTATGTGTGAGGCTGGGGAAAGAGGGTAGAGACATCACAATTCCTCATAAAGACAGACATCAAATGACTCGAGAATGCAAACACCTGACTTACTTCCTGCAGAAACGCCAGTGGGAAAAAGTGTGAGTTGGAGCTCCTCATGCCTCTTCCTGTTGTCTTTACTCTTAAATTCAGGCTGTCTTTTAAATGCCCCATGATCTACTTGTAAACTCTTTAAGCAAAAACGATGCCAGGTTCTGTTCTGTGGCTACCAGATTGGAGCTTTTCTCTCCCGGCTTCATTCAGTTAATTGAGCTGTGCTGGAAGGTTCAGTAATTTATTCTATGGAGTCTTTCTGTGCAAACAATTCCAGGCTGAGGGAAAGAGACTTAGCTGAATCTCTCAAACACTTGAAATGCAGAATTTATGTTTTGGAAAACACCAGTGAGTCAGTGTCCTCAAATGTAATCAATAAAAGACAGTCTCCATCATCAGCTTTTCATTAACTGAGCTTAGAGTTGCCTCCTTTTATTGCTTTTTACATGTTTACAGTATCTCATTCTTTCCTTGATTCTGGATTTTCACACCATATGGCCACATCTTTAAGTCATTTTTCAGCTGCTCTATTAAATAGTAAAATGAGATTCAGAACAGATTTCTTTGATTTTAAAATAGCATTTTGGGTGTGTGACTTTGTTGTAAATAAAAAAAGAATTAAGACACTCAAACGCATGAAATTTCAGGTATTTCTACCCAGACAGTGTAATATGTAGCTTTCTGCTTACTTAGAATAAATATATGTTTATCTCGTGGAATTTCACCTGCTGCATAAATGGATTCATTCATTCTGCATATTGAAATTCATTTCTACTTAAATAAGATTTAGCCTCCACTGTTGCTAATGAACATAGATTGAAAATGAAATTGAAAGTGTATCTTTATAACTATTCAATATTATACTGTATTTCTCATTAGAAATGATTGCTATCGCTTATAAGCATCCATACTACATGTCAATAATGCTCTATTGCTGTAATTATGGTGGTGTTTCTACTATTTGATCATATAAAAGGGGATTCTTTTATGTTTTACTTTTTTTCTGGGTTATCTAGTGGTCAGTTCCTTGAGAAGCTGCAAAGGAGAGATTTTTGACTGCCAACATTTGGATCTCACAGTTTAGAGTTGGTCAATGAGGGCTTAAGGCGTATAGTCCTACAACTTAATACAGTTTACTTTGTAAAGGGTTACACATATTTAAAAGACTATTAAATATTTACTACTTGTTTTCTGAGCCAGAAAGGACATTTTGGTGTAGATTGTATGGGATTTTTTTTTTTAAGGATACTACTTAACAAAAGGAAACCACTGCATGAGCAAATTTTGTAATATGAGTAAATTTGCCATTGATCCAGACTTTAGCAGCAGAGACTGTGTCAGTCACAATTAATCAGCTTATGAGTATGTGATTCAGAATCTTCAATTATCCTTTAAAATCTGGACATCGACTTGAAGAAATGACTGACCTACAGTTGATTGTTTAAAGTTAAAACCAAGTGCACTCAACATCTGAAAGGTCAATAGTCTCTTAATTGTAATTCAATAAAGTTAATTTAAAGTGGTATACAATTTGTGAGTGTTATAATTACAGTTCACATATTTTTGACTTCAGTGACGGTACCGTTTGCTAGAGAAATATGCTTCAGTTGAGGATAAGTCCATTGGATGTGTGTATTTTGATGGCTATCAATATTTTAAAGTTCATTACTTAATATGATACATAGGAAGATAGCAATTTGGAGCAACTATTCTAAATAACTCAGGTAAAATTCTGCTTTTTCTTGAACTATTCTGGCATTATTCATTGTTTTATTGTCACCGTGATAAACTTGCACAAAATTTTTAAGCAACAGTAACAAAAAAGTAAAACCTTGTTTTTAATTCTGTTTAAAATTTTAAAATCAGAATCACTTCTGCATGTTCTATTGTATTTTTTTCAATAACATATATCTCTAGAAGACATAGTTGGTATCTCCCAATCTGTTTTATATCATTTCTAGAATGTAAAGATTGTCTCTGAGGCCAAAATTAAGAGCATGCTATCCTTTCCACATAGCAAAGATCATCACCCCTCAGCATGTACTAAGTATCTAAAACTTGGTGGTGGCAGAAAATGTTATAGACATAGTGCTTTTACCTAAGAGCTTGACATTAAGAGAGATAATAGCATTTACCGAGACAAGAAAAGGAAATATGGATGACAATGAGATATAAACAGTACATTGACAGATCAGAAAGACAAACATTTCTCAAAATCTCCATTGTCATTTTCAGCTTGGAGGTCAGCACAGAGGGCCCCCCTGCTCCTTGAATGAGATCCATTAGGAGTTTTGGAAGAAGTGCCAGCCTTCTGGTGTTTCCAGATCACTGCCTGGCAGGAAACAGTTTATTATTTTGAGAAAATTACTTATTTAATAAATATTTGTTGATCTACTGTGTGCCACTCAGGTTATAAGAAACAGAGCTGTGAATAAGACGAAGTCCCTGCCCTTAGGGAGCTTGCTTTCTAGTGGCAGGAGACAGGCAGTTTACAAATAAAAAGAAATGGAAAAATGTTCATATGATGTAAGTACCATGTAGAAATATAAAGAATAAGGAGGACGTTTTTGTAAGGTGTTCAGGAAAGCCCTCGTTAATAAGATGCCCTCTGAGCAGAGAAAAAGAAAGAACCACGTGTTTGTATTGGGAGGAAAGTGAGGTATCGAGGCTCAGCTGGAAGAAACCTGCAATAACTCCTCTCTCTAGCCATCCTGTATTCAGCCATCACGTCTGATCTAGCCTAACAAGTGGGTAAAAGACAAATTACAAGATTACTCAGGTCAAAGGGTCTCTTATTCTCCAGTCAGTGCCATACTGGAAAAGTAATTTTATCAGCTACCACTTATTGAGTGCCTTGTATGTCAGGCATTGGGTTGGGCATTTTGCAGCAGTCCAAGTCAAATTTTTATTATTTCCTTTTCTCTAATAGGGAAACTAATGCTTAACTGAAGTTAAGTGACTTTCTCAGGCCCACATGGCTTTGAATGATGGAGCCAGAATCTGACCTTGGGTCAGTCTGACTCCAAAGTCCCTACATGTTGTTGCCTCTTCAAGAGGGTAAGGTGCCTGGGAGGACAACAACATGAATGCATTGTTATTATTATTAGTAGTAATAGTAGTATTTGAGACAGGATCTCACTCTGTCACCCAGGCTGGACTGGAGTGCAGTGGCTTGATCTTGGGTCACTGCAACCTCTGCCTCACTGGCTCAAGCAATTCTCCCATCTCAGCCTCCCAAGTAGCTGGGACTATAGTTGCGTGCCACCATGCCCAGCTAATTTTTTGTATTTTTTGTAGACATGAGGTTTCACTATGTTGCTCAGGCTGGTCTCAAACTCCTGGACTCAAGTGATCCACTTGCCTTAGCCTCCCTAAGTGTTGGGATTACAGGCATGAGCCACTGCACCTGGCCATGAATGCATTATTATTAAAATATCCTCAGAATGTGACAAATGTTAATGTTCTTAATTTAATGAGAATGGCTGAGTTGTTCTCCAGGAAAAGTCAGAATAACAAATGGCTACCAGCCTCTGATTGGATTCACTGAAAGATGCAAGGTTTTGTACCATAGAGAAGTAGAAACGTGGTTATTAGCTAGTACATTTGGAATCTTTGGGCCACTGATCCGCATAATCCATCACTCCATTATTCCTTCAAGTGAGAAATATTTGCTTTGGCCACAGTGCTTTTATATTTTTAAACTTTTGTGTAGGAATGCTGGTTCTTCTATGCAAATATTGCCAGCCCACTATTTTGAATAAAAACCACCCAGTTCCTTTCAGGAGCATTGGAAATATATTAAAAATTTTCTGGCTCTTAAATTTTCCACCAGTGTGTACTCAAATAGATAGGATTAATAAGATTAATATCCATTACTATTCATCCAGAATTATAAAATTTCAACGTATCTGTATTTTCAATGATGAAATTTAGAGTATTTCTGTCCATCTAAGACACATCAGAGTCCACTAGGGTGCTGACTCATTTGAACATCAACATATGGAAAAGTGATCTTCAGCTGGGATAATTAGAAATGCAGCTTTTACTCTTTATGCCACCTCTTTCTATAACGTTTTGGTCCTACACTTTGAACTAACCTTGCGGAGAAAAAAATGATAATGAAGTGAAGTACACGTATAATGAGTATCTGTTAAAATAATAGCTCTGGAAAGAAACTAAAGTTTAATGCAACACAGGAATTTTCCCTACTTTTTAGTGGATTCACATTACAGCTGGTCTTAGGTCGTGGCCTGGGTGGTTGTGAGTTCTTGATGTCAATGCCGTATGTTTAAGGGGGAATATCAATCCGATAGCCATTTTCTTTACTCATGTGTGCTATGCATTTATTGTTACACTGGGACTCAGCTTTTTTTAAAAATGTAAATGTCTATGTCAAAAAATAATCTTAGATTTTTCATTGTCTTGATCAAATCATGGTTAGCTTTGAAGAATGGATGATTTTGTGAAAATTCATAAGGGAAAAATGTCTATATAAACGGACTGCACCAAACTTCAAAATACTTTTATTCCTTTGTTGTTCTCCAGTTTGGTTTTGGTAGCCTTATTATGACTCTTTATTGATGATGGGTAGTCATATATATTTTATGTTTCTTTCACTTGCTTCTCAAGTAATGCCCCCCCTCCTCCGTCTATTCTCAGGAAATATGAAACTAACTCTCAGAGGGTTTCTGTTGAGGACTAGATAAGAATTATGCCTTGGATTATTTATCCTTTATTCACAGCTCACCTACTTTATTATTTTTCTGATCTCATGTATTATTTCCATTTCCACTCATCTCATTATGTTTCTAAGGGAACTTTGGGTATAAAGATACTTGCAGGCAGTTAGAGATGTTAATTCCATATGTATAAGAGCAGCAATTAGCATCAAGAGCTGTTTCTAGTAGGAGGAAGGAACTTGGGTCCTTGTAGGCAAATGAAGAGAGACTCATTTCACCACTTTCCCAGAAGTATTTTGAGGTCATTGTTTTTGTGTGTATGCTCCCTAATCTATCCATTAAATAGAAATCAGAAAATTATACATTAATAACATATTTGACAATACAATGAGAATCTAGAGGGGAAAAAATATGTTCCTTAATTTAACCAGTATTGATGGTTAAATTACTTATGTTTGGTACTAGCATATTTGGAAATTAAAAAAATAGCACCCACGGTTTCTGTTTAGGATCTTGCTTTGGATACAAAGGTTGCACATGTGGAGTCATTAGAAAGCAATTGGAAGCAGTGCAGAGACACGAGGAGATAAATCTCTATGCTGGGGATAAGTGGACTGTAGAGATAAGAAGTCATCAGAGGGAAATGCTGTCAGGTTTGCAGGAAACACAGATTAGCGAGACGGGTGAGAATATTAAAGATTGAGGTAACATGGGCAAGAGCACAGAATGGGAAATAAGTGATGTGTGAGTGGGTAGTTGGTAGGCATGTATGTAGTCAGGCACGAAAGGTACAGAAATTTGGTTTTGCCCTGTTTGCTCACAACCAAGCAGGGAGAAGAATATACAACCCCCTAAGTATAGTACCAGTGGTAAGGACAGAAGGGAAGAGCCAAAAAGTCCTCTGCTGGACAGAGTCAGGGAAGGATCCTCAAAGGAGGATGTAATATTTGCAGGATGAGGCAGGGACTTTGGAAGGGTATAGCAGATTTGGTTGGATAGAAGTGAGATCTCTGGTGAGAAATAACGTTCAATGTACTTTAAAATCTAGTATCAATTATTTCTATATTTACCAAAACACCTACTACTTTAGGAGACTTGATTGCACAGTTGCTTTGGGGCTTCATATTTCAAATATTGGTGAAATTTGAATCATTAAGAGTGATAGAAAAATAATTTTTTCAAAATTTCATCTCCCACCATTTGCTTTTTCTTTTCAACAAAATTTACTGTGATTTTTTTTTTACACATAAAATTGAATGGATAAGGCAAAACGGAGGAAAAGACAAAATTCATAGTGGTAAATATGCTATATTATTTATTTACATATTATTTTCTTCTAAAGGGGATAACGTAGCTAATTCTTTTAGTACTGTTATGGAAATTAGCTCATGTAAATAATTTATAAAAGGTGATACTATATACAAATGTAGCATATACTATAGCGGTAGTATATACAAATAGGTATATACACATATGCATATACATATATTTGAATGGGGCACATTATATTTGCTTGTAGTCTCTCTCATCACTTTGTACTGCACCATCAAAAATTTTTCTTTATACTATTAGTCCTTTGGAAACACAGTTATCAAAGTAAACAAAAATAGATGGCCTTGACTGCATAACATTATATGGATTTAACATAAATTTTATATTATGTACAATGACACTATTAAATGTGTTAATACAACACATAAAATGACCAATTCTCTTTAAATTTTAGTGTTTAGCATATTTGTTTTGATTGTACGTGTGGGAGCTGTGAGAACAGCTCTGCAAAAATACTTTGCAAGTTACCATAGTGACTAAAGTGTAGTGCTTTATGATATTGTCTTTCCCCTGGGTCTTAATTCAGTTGCGTGCTTTTTAAATCATAATCTAATAGTTGACGTTTAAATTTTTCTATTTTTAAAAAACTGTATACACACATACAGGTTTATAACTTTACTTAAATGTATAATTTGATTATATTACACATTCTTCAAGTAAAATGTTACTTTTTCCTTTCTCTTTTTGCTGGGTTCCCAGAACTCTTTTTTCTCCTTTTTCTTCCCCCTCTCAGTGATCCATGTTGACAAATGATATCTTTTAAATTTTTTCCTCTATTTTCATACAATTATATACAGACCTATATATGCATGTACAAAAATAAAGCAGGATTTTTATAAGCAGGATTTCATGGAAATAGTTCTGAATTAATTGATACGTAATAGTTCCTATTTATTCCTTTTAATGGCTTCTTAATGTTTCATGTTGTAAATGGGTCATAATTTAATCACTTTGCTTCCATTTTTTGTTCTATGAATAATGCTTTAATAAATATCACAATACCTATGTCCACACTTGCCAGTGGTGTTTTTATGTCTCTGGGATAGGTTTTAAGAAGTTGAGATTGCAGCGTTAAAGAGTATATTATATATTTTAAATTTTCACAGAAATTGAAATTACCTTTTGAAAGAGCTGTAACACATCAAATTTATACCTAGCAGTATTTGTATCTTTATCCCATGTGTCTGCCAAGCAGTAGGAATTAAATATGATTCTCTTTAATTTTTGCCACTCAAGTGTAAAGTAAAATTTCATTGTTACTTTAGTTTGCAGTTTCCTAACTATTAGTGAATTTGCTGGTTGACAGTGTGGATATGTTTAAGGAATATGTTTGTCAAAAAAAAGTATTTATTTAAGAATTGCCTATTCATATATTTGAATAGGCATTTATTTGATTTTTATTTGATTTTTATCCTTTTCTTATCAAATTGTGAGATCTGTTTGTATATTACAAAGATACCCCTTTGTATATCAACTCTGACACTTTTTTTTTTTTTTTTGAGACAGAGTCTCGCTCTGTCACCCCAGCTGGAGTGCAGTGGCACGATCTTGGCTCACTGCAACCTCCGCCTCCCAGGTTCAAGTGATTCTCCTGCCTCAGCCTCCCGAGTAGCTGGGACTATAGGCACACATCACTATGCCCAGCTAATTTTTGTATTTTCAGTAGACACAGGGTTTCACCATGTTGGCCAGGCTGGTCTCGAACTCCCAACCTCAGGTGATCTGCCCACCTTGACCTTCCAAAGTGCTGGGATTACAGGCATGAGTCACCGCGCCCAGCCGCATTTTTTTTTCTTATAGCCACTGTGTCTCTTTTGCCTTTCAAGTGTCTTATGCTATACAGAAATTTTAATTTTTTACATAGTCTTTCAAAAGTGTTTTAGTATAAAATTATCTAATTCTTTCTCTTCCCACCCTCTTTGCTTTCATAAAAGCAAAAACCTTGTCAAAATTCTAATCAAAATGACATTACATTTATATAACTGATATTTTTAAATAAAATTAAGTATTCCAGCCAAGAACATGGTGTATCCTTCCACTTGCCAGACCTTATTTTATGTCTTCAGTAGAGTTACCATCCTCTTTATGCAGGTCCTGTATCTTTCTTGGAAACTTTATTCCAAGTATTTTATTTGTTGCTACTGTAAATATAATATTTTCCTGTTTTCTATCTCTAAGTACTTCTATGGAGAAAATATATTGATATTTAGATATTTATCTTATATCCAGCTACCTTGTCAATTTTATTTATTCTAAAGGTTTTTATTTTTTAAACTTGAATTTCTTGTGGGCTTCCTGGGCATGGATTCATGTTACCAATGAAAAGAAGTAATTTTGTATCTTCATTTTCAATTCTTATGCAAGCTATTTAATTTTCTCTAAAAATCAGAGATAATATTAAATAGTAATGAAGATACTGGGCCTACTTGCTAAGTTCCTAATTTTAATTAAGATGGTTGTGATGGTTTACCATTTAGGAAAATATATGTGCTTGCTTTTTCATAAATATTCTGTGTTATAAGTTGTGTTCTTCTATTACTATTATTTTTAAAGTTTTTAAAATAGAGATGACTACTGAATTATATCAAATAACATCTTGGCATTTATTAACATTTTCAATAATTCTTCTCCCTTAATGTATTGATGTAAGGGATTATGTTGATGTATTTGTTACCATTAAACCGTCTTGCATTCCCGAAATAAACTACTCTTCGTTATATCATATTACTCCTTTGGGATTTTGCTGATGTTTTGCTTAGTATTTGTAGTATATTCACTGTAAGATTAATCTGTGGCTTGTTTTTTCATTTTTGTGTTACCATCTTTCATAGGTTTTGGTGTAATTGCTGTAATATAAAATAAATTCAAGAACTTTCACTTTTTTTCTAGAGTCTGGAATAATTTAAGTAAGTTTACAACTATAACAATTTGAAGATTGGATAAAATTGCCCTAGTGACTTCTTTTTTTTTTTTCGTAATGATAGCTTTCTTCTATGGTAATTTCCATATTCAAGTTTTCATTTGGGTAATTTTGGTGACTTATATTCAGCTATGAAATTATCCATTTATTCTAGATTTTCAAATTTGTTTTCCATAGAGTTACACATAGAATTCTCATAATTTTTAATCTCTTCTCTGTCTGTATCTGTTATACATCCTATTGCTCTTATTTTTAGGATCTCTCCTTTATCTTTAATCAGGCTTGTGAGTCTTTTTTTTAAACATCATTTTATAATCTTTTCAAAGGAGGAACTGTTTGTAATTTGTTTATTCTTTCAGACTTGGGGGTCTATTTTATTAATTTCACCTTTTATTATTATTAATTCTTCCTAGTTTCTTTAAGTTTATTTTGTGTTTATTATCCTAATTTTAAAGAGGGAATATTTAATTCTTTAATTTTTAGCCCTTTTTTTGTAATAGCAAACAATAAATTTTTCTCTGCAAAGATCTTGCTGTATCATATAGGATTTATTATCCAAACAGTTCCTAATTTCTCTTTCTATTTTATTCTCGGGATTTACTTCAGGCTTATTCAAGAGAGTGCTTTTAAATTTCCAAGTTGTCGAGATCATTTTGGCGACCCTTTTATTATTTACTTTTAATTTTATTCTACTGTGATCATAGAATATGCTGTGCTAAAATATCTACTAAAAAAATATTCCCCTAGAATTTCTCTTCTTCCCTCTCTCAGCTAGAATGCAGATATGCCAGCCCCTGCTTCATGCCAAGGGCACAGATGCCTTTGGGGAGGGCAGAGCAACAAGATAGAAAGGACCTGGTCCCTGAATAGCCATATGGAAAAAATGGCATCTTTATCAGGACTGCTCACTTAAGCACTACTTTGTAAAAGAAAAATAAGCTTTCATCTTCTAATATTGTTTATGTTCTTTTTCTTATAGCATCTTAGCCCTTAATTCTACTCTTATAAGCCTTATCTGCAAGCTCATATTCACATTGCCTTTTCATGTTTTGGTTATTATTTTAAATGCAGAAATCCAGTTTCTGCATGGAATACAAATCTGCAGTGCTTACAATTCCAATTTTGCATTTAGTGCTAATGACACCATCACCACAGGGATGCAGAACAAAATTATGTCCTCGGAAAAGTACGTGTTCATATACATTTATGTATTTTATATTTTTACTTAAATATAAAATATTAAAATTGACTATCTGTGAATTTATACTCTGTTTCCTTCAATCTAAGATGCCATTGACTCTAGAATTACAGTCAAAATATTGCAAGTCATATAGTTGACATTTGTATTTTTTTCCCCCATATAATGTCATCGTCTGTGACACAAAGAGCTGTGGCAATGTAGAATATTTTCAAAGAATGCTTCTCTCTTGTCTCTGAGATTTTCTTTCAAACCTCTGACACGAGTTCTGCAAGTTTTATATTGCATGTATGTGGTAGGTAGAATATTGTCCCTCCCCAGAAAGTCTCAATGTCTTAATCCCGAGAACCTGTGAATATGTTAGGCTACGTGGGATAGAAAATTAAGGTTGCCAAGGCTTGGAGTGGTGGCTCATGCCTGTAATCCCAGCATTTTGGGAGGTCAAGGCAAGTGGATTACTTGAGCCCAGGAGTTCGAGACCAGCCTGGCCATCATGGTGAAACCCCGTCTCTACTAAAAATACAAGAAATTAGCTGGGCGTGGTAGTGTGCGCCTGTTATCCCAGCTACTCAGGAAGCTGAGTCAGGAGAATCGCTTGAACCTGGAAGGTGAAGGTTGCAGTGAGCCAAGATCGTGCCACTTGCACTCCAGCCTGGGTGACAGAGCGAGATTCTATCTCAAAAAAAAAAAAGAAAAGAAAAGAAAATTAAGGTTGCCAATCAGCCAACCTTAAAATATTAAGATTATCCTTGATATCTGAGCGGGCCAAAGGAATCACAAGGTCCTTAAATGCAGAAGAGGGAGACAGTAAAGGAGGTCAGAGTGATGCAATGTGAGAAGAATCCAGATGCTGCTGCCGACTTTGAAGCTAGCAGAGGCCAAAAGCCAGGGAAAGAGGGCAGCCTCTAAAAGCTGAAAAAGGCAAGGAAACAGATTCTTCCCTAGAACTCCCCTAGAACCATAGAGGAATGGAGCCCAGGTGACACCTTGATTTTCACCCAATGAGACCCACTTCAGACTTTTGAATCCCAGAACTGTAAGATAACAAATTTGTGTGGTTCCAGGCATTATGATGGTAGCAACTTGTCACAGCAAGTTGCCATAGAAAATTTAATACAATGTGCAGGCAGTGCTAGTGTTTCAACACTGATCGCCGGCTAACAGCAATTTGAAGGTTCACCCTGATCTCAAGACATTAAAATATGAAAAAATATGTACTGTAAATTTGATGAAATATGGTAAATGTATGTTAAATAGGTGTCATAGGAAGGACCATTTAGAAATTGTAACAGTGGACTCAGTCTTGTGTGATACTCAGAATCCAGTTAGACATCATTTTAATATCTGAAGTAATTGTGTCACTCCTAAATAAGAAAAAATATGAGAAGAGTGGAATTCGATCAAGTTCAAAGGTTTTTAGTAAGGGCTAGGCAGGAAAAACATGCAAATACCTTAAAAGCCAAAGAAATGTAAACCTCAGTCAAATGATGTGGCAACCTGGGCTAAGTGACACCCCCTTTTAAGGTTCTGAAGTCCCCAATATATATATATAAACAGGGCTAAGTGACACCCCTTTTTAAAGTTCTGAAGTCCCCATTATGTGTATGCATATATATATATATATATACAGGGCTGGAGGTAGCCCAGACTGTTCATGCCTGTGGTCACTACACAACTCCACAATCAGGGTGAACACAAAGTTGTTTAGGACAGGGGTCCTCAATTGCCAGGCCACAGACAGGTACTGGTCTGTGGCCTGTTAGGAACTGGGCCGCACAGCAGGAGGTGAGCAGCAGGAGGGCAAGCCGAGCATTACTGCCTGAGCTCCACTTTCTGTTAGATCAGTGGCAGCATTAGATTCTAATAGGAGCACGAACTCTATTGTGAACTGCACATGTAGGGGATATAGGCTGTGTGCTCCTATGAGAATCTAACTAACAGTTTCATCCTGAAACCATCCCCCCTGCCATCTGCCATCCATGGAAAAATTGTCTTCCACGAAACTGGTCTCTGGTGCCAAAAAGTTTGGGGACCACTGATTTAGGACATCATTGTTCTGTTGGTGACTAAACAACATTAAACTCAGTCAAGTGAGCCAGGCATGGTGGTGCACACCTGTAGCCTCAGGGAGGACCTGTACTTGGGAGGCTGATGTGAGAGGATCACTTGAGCTCTGGAGTTTGAGACTAACCTGGGCAACAGAGACCCTGTCTCTAAAAGACAAAAAAATTCAATCATGTGAATTGCTGCCAATAATAACTAAAACTTAATAAAAATGTATTTTGAAATAATATCTACAGGTTACAAGTAAAAAGGACTACAACTTAAGAATTTGGAAGAGTTGGCTGGGCGCGGTGGCTCACGCTTGTAATCCCAGAACTTTGGGAGGCCAAGGCAGGCGGATCATGAGGTCAGGAGATCGAGACCATGGTGAAACCCCGTCTCTGCAAAAAATACAAAAAATTAGCTGGGAGTGGTGGCGGGCACCTGTAGTCCCAGCTACTCGGAGAGGCTGAGGCAGGAGAATGGCGTGAACCCGGGAGGTGGAGCTCACAGTGAGCTGAGATCGCACCACTGCACTCTGGCCTGGTCGACAGAGTGAGATTCTGTCTCAAAAAAAAAAAAAAAAGGAATTTGGAAGAGTTTAGAGACCCTGACAGAAAGAAAGGTATGTGATGATATATGACATTTCATATCCCCCATGTATGAGATCATGAAAACACTCAAGAATATGTCTAACCAAACAGTCAATAAAGCAGAACAGATAACTCAAGTTAGGGAAGATGAAAGAGCAAACGGGGTGAGCAACAAACCTTGTTAACTTCATTATATAGTTGGGAAATCCTAATTTTTAGTTTCAGGGGAATAGAATTAAATACTGTTACTATTTTTGTTCAAATGAATCTCAAACTTCCCCAGCAATTTGAGTTAACTGGGCATGTGTTCTGTGTGTTTTAAGTGTTCTCAGTCTACAAATCCCACTTTGATGGAGTCTTGAATGCTGTAGGCTATCCTTAGGCCACTTTTCTAGAAGCCCCTGTTTCCCCAACTCCTGGAAGAGTTAGTTGCTGATAACTCACAGATGAGTTTCTCCCCAGGAACTGTCCCCAGCCGGAGAGTCGCCTTACCCAGGCCACACTTCCTCCCTGGGGAGAGCCCACATCAATGACTGGCTGATGTATGGTACAAAGTCCCGCCTCAATTGGGGCAAGTCTGAGGGAGAGTCCCAGCTCCAACAGCTCCCAGTGAGATGACTGAGGCCTTCATAGCAAATACATGGCACTGAAAGTTCTCCCTCTGCCCAATCCTGCTTCCCTCACCCCGACAGGTATTGTTTTTGAGAGTCCTCCCCAATAAACCTCTGGCATGCAAATCTCAGAGCCTCAGAGTCTGTTTTCCAAGGAACACGATCTACAACAGGGATTTTAGAGCTGAATCCCATGGCACAGGTTGGCAGCAAGGACCCCCATCATTGGTGTGAGATAGAGCACTGAGAGCCCCTGGCATACAGTCTTGGTGCAATTCCTAATCTTTACCTGGTGCTGAGGAGGAATTACACATAGGTAGACCAGAATGCCCTGCTGGAGGAGTATCTCAGGCATTTGAGTGTAGTAATTACAAGGACTTTGGAATCAGATTGCTGTTGCTGGGAGTCTTTAATACATTGGAGCGAGACAAGTTTGGGGATAATCACCAAGAAGTCCTACTTGGTAGCATATAAAGACTCTTTCATCTCCTGTAAATGGAGGGTAGAAAAAGCTGAGGTTCAGGTCCCAAACTTAATTATAAGGGTAGTGAGCCATGAAGGAAGATTAAATTTTCAACCCTAAGAGGTTGGCTACCCTGAGGTTAGGGCCTCATTTGGGAATGGGAACCTGAGACTTGAAATAGGGACATGTGGAATGATGCACTTATCATCTTGAATCTTGAATCCCCAAATTCCTCTGAAGTCTCTGGGATCACTCCTCCCCATCAAAAGCTAGCATTGTAGCATGGTTGAACATGATACAAAATCCTTTTTGTTTTTTTTTTCAGCACAGAAAGACCCCACTCAGAAGGTACCACACCTGGCTGCATGGCTTTAGACCAGTAACTCACATGATGAACAATGTAATGTGTCTAGAGAAGTGCTGGGCTTGCTGAGGGAGGAGGAGAATTGTGTCCTGAAGGTGCTGCTGGACCCACCTAACATGGGTAGGCAGGAGCCAGGAGAGGCTGTATGGGACAGGAGCCTGAAAGTGCTGGTGTGATGAAGGTGGAACATAAATCTGGATAAGGGAGAATTTATTGATATGAGCACTGTTCTGATATAAAGAATTTAAAACCCTGACAGGGTCCCAGAAGATGGTGCTAATACCTAAGCTCTAGGAAGCTTGGAGATAATGATGGCCCATACCATGTAACGTTGAAATATTAGAATTATGATGGCCAATAATTGAAGGGTGGATCAAAAGACCCAAAGATGTATACGAGAACTTATTAACATTGGTGTCATTAAAGTAGGTATACAACCCCCCACTGCTAAATTTGACTGGCTTTAACAACAACAAAAAAGACTCAGAGATGTAGGCATACTAAAGTAGATATTCTACATAGGGCCAGAAAACTCACCAGCCAACTATGTTATGTGGGCTTGGAGAATACTTGTTTATTGTATAATGAGAAAAGTACTGGTAACAGGCCATGGCCTTGCAGTAAAGCTTAGTGGCGTCTTCTATTGTCTAGGGCTGACAGTAGGCAATGCTGCTTCAGAACCAGGCTCCCTGATGGCCCTGTATGATAGAATGCAGAGCAGGCACCATTATCATCATGAATAGCAAGTCAAAGTGATATCCAAGAGTGCCAAACCTACAGAAATCTGTAGAGATGGGCAGTCAGCAAGAGGGTTGCTTATTTTATACAATCAAAAGAAGTCAAGAATGGTTGACAATATGTTAAGGATGACCACCCCAAAAAAATCATAGTCCTTTGTTTAATATATAGAACCAAGTTTTTAGACATGGAAGCCACTAACTGAAGGAGTGGCTGGATCTGAAGGATGAAGGACCCTGCAAAATCGTGAATGACTATAGTATACAGTTATGAAACAATGATGGAAGAGCAAGTCCCAGACATTTTGAAGACTATTGAATAGAAGTAATGAGCTAGAAACTGAGATTGAAACTTGCTGTTTTAACATGGCCCCCTCTTAGGAGGATACGTGGAGACCAGGTGAGAAATGGAAGAGTTCTGGTTCAGGTCCACCAGTCCCACAAACCCACTGGGTGAGCATCTCTCTAGTCCCTCAGTATATTATTGCAGCGGACATAACTGCCAGTTAGTAGAACTCCCACATTGAATCTCAGAACTGTAGGTTAAGAACCTTCCCAGTAGAGAAGCTATGTGGAATCCTTTGAAACTTTCCCCCTCAATCAAAATAGTAAATTGAAAAGGGTCACAAAAGAACATAGTGGGGTGATGGAAATGTTCTATATTTTGATTGCAGTGGTACTGATTACATTCATTCATACGTTTGTCAAAAAGTCATCAAACTATGCACTCAAAATGAGTGCATTTTATTGTATGTAAATTATTCCTCAGTAAAGTTGATTAAAAATACCATTTTGCCCAAGTGTGACAGACATTGAAGAAGTAAAGAAATCATATCTCTAATTCAATAGTCAGCCTCCTGAAAAATCCAAATGGATCCTGGAGCATGAGAGTGAACTATCACAAATTCACAAATAGTGGCCCCAGTTGTAGCTCTTGTGCCAGTTGTGCTGTCTTTGGTAGAGCAAATTAACGACACCTCACAAAGGCCTGGCGCAGTGGCTCATGCCTGTAATTCCAGCACTTTGGGAGGCTGAGGCGGCAAGATCACGAGGTCAGGAGATCGAGACCATCCTGGCTAACATGGTGGAACCCTGTCTCTACTAAAAATACAAAAAAGGAATTAGCCAGGTGTGGTGGCGGGCGCCTGTAGTCCCAGCTACTCGGGAGGCTGAGGCAGGAGAATGGTGTGAACCCGGGAGGCGGAGCTTGCAGTGAGCCGAGATGGCGCCACTGCATGCTAGCCTGGGCGACAGAGCGAGACTCCTTCTCAAAACAAACAAACAAACAAACAAAAAACAAGAAAAAAAAACAATACCTCACAAACATGGTATGTGACATTTTGTCTGCCAAATATGTATTCTATTCTATCTCCTTCCACAGGAAAGAGAATCAGACATAGCTCACATGCTCTGGAGTGAACAAGAGAATGTATGGTTTTTCCCTAGGGCTATATTAACTTTCCCACCCCCTGCCATTCTGTAGTTCTAAAGAGATATGAACTGCCTAGATATTCTACAGAATATCTTACTGGTCTATTGTGTCAATCTATTATGACATTGTGCTAATTGGATTGGATGAAAGAGAAGCACCAAGTAGGTTCAAGGCTCCAGAAAGTGGAAATAATGCCTATAGATGATTCAGGAGCCCATTAAATTAGTAAATTTTATAGGGCTTCTGTGGTCTGGAAGATGACCTCCAAGGTAAAGGAAATGTTATTACATCATATACCTCCTGTCAGTAGGAAGGAAGCACAGAGCCTGAGGAGCTGCTTCATATTTTGGTGGTAGCATATTCCACGCTTGAGAATTTTGCCTTAGAGAAGAATAAATATGTACATATAGGTAATGGTTTATATCCTGGCTGTTTGGTCAAATGCCTGGAGGGAGAAATACTGGATAACCAAAGACAAGGAGGTCTGAGTAAGAGACATGATGGACCTGTGGGAGCGGACATGAAGTAAGAGAGCCTTGAATATCATATGAACATCTATGTGGAAGGAGAAAGTCATCAGCCAGCCTCTGACACCAGTCACTCGGTGCTGGCACAATGGGCATGTGAATAGAGTACATTGTGGCAGAGATTGTGTGCTTCCTGTCTCTATAATTCTAGGCAGTATGGGTTAGACACCTTGGTTCCCTAGAGGAAGAGCACTTCCATGAGGGGACACAAGAGAACAGCAGGCACAGAAAGAAGTGACTCTTCTGGCAGGGACATTTGATCCTGGTCACACCAGGAAAGGGCAGAGGAGCTGGTACTTAATGGTGACAGTGGAGAATGTATTTGGCAACAAGACAATTTGCTGTGGCATCTCTTGGTATTCCCCTGCCCACTTGTGATATCAAATAGACAAGTGCAGCAGCCATGCCCTAAGCTAGGGCTCAGAACCCCAAAAATGAGGGTGTGTGCTACTTTGCCAAGCTGTCTAGATCAGCGGAAGTGCTACCTAGGGACAAAGGGAACCTGGATTAGGTAATAGAGGAAGAGATGGGCTGGTTTTGAGACCAGCTGCAGAAGCAGGAAGAGAAGCATGGCAATTCATCCCTCTAGTTTTCATCTTTAATTTTTTTTCAGGAAGAGACCAGTGAGAATCCTGAAGAAACTGATCCCAGAACTTGTTACATGAAGCACATGGGGGTGAATGGCCTAAGAGTGGACTGAGGTGTGGGGTGCTGCCAGATTCCCATCAGCAGGAGTCATTCCACAGTCTGCTGGGAGTGCTGGCAGAACACAGCTCTTAACAGAGTCCCTCCTCAGGATTTGCCCTTGGTCAATTTCTTCTGTGAGGAAGGCAGCATCTAATGGTGGACTCAGGGATATAAGGGCCCAGCAGCCCCCTGCCCTATCCTAGCGAGGTGGGCCATCCGGGCTCCAGAGGTCCCTGTAGAGCTGGATAAGGTCTTTGCTGTGGCTGCATCCTAGTTCAGTTTCTCTGTCCAGTCCTGCTTCCTTCACTCGACAGGCACTTCTGAGAGCACCTCCTGCACACCAATCTTAACCACAGTCTGTTCTCCAGGGAACTCCATGGATTGCTATGTTTCTTGCTTTTTATTTCATCAGGGCTAGCTGTCGGCACGTGATAAGAGGTGGTACTTTTGCAGGTAGTGAAAGCAAAGTGTCTCATTTTGCAGGCTGTGGTCCTCTGCTGAGCCCCCTGGAAGAAGCCCTCAGTTGTCTTGCATGTTTGTTCTTTCAGAGTCAAGGAGGATACAGTCTGGCTGTTGAGCTCTTCTTAGGAGCGAGGACAACCCCATACACTTAGGACTGACGTCACCATCTCCATCTCAAGCACATTTGCTGGAGGCTGATGTCACCCTTATCACCACAGTTCCCTGCCCCTACCTGGGGTACACAAACCACACTGGGCCATGGTTTTCCAGGTTTGATTGTCCTTATGTCCTTGCTCCAGATCCCCTGACATTGCTCTCCAAGATTGGTGCAATCCCTGGAGGCACATCGCTTTTTTGCAGGGGTTCTCTCCTCTAAGAGTGTAGGGGAGCCCTTTGGTTCAAGAGAGGCAGATGGATTGAAATCATGAGTGCACATGTGGAAGGTGGAGGGGGAGCTGCATTCAGGTCACTGTGTTCCCAGAATCCTCTCCTATTTTCAGTCTTCCATTTTGCTTTCTGTTTCCCCATTTGCTTTTGAGATAACTTGTTTGTGTCCTGATTAGTTTGTGTGCTGATCTTCTGTATGAAATAATTGTCAGGTCTAGGTAACTGGCAAGGACACTTACACAATTGGTCCAGTAAATTTGGGAAGTTTAGCTTCCTTGGTAGAGTGAATAACTCTTCTAGAATATGTTTCACTTCAACTTTATAGTTCTAGTTAAAATTTTACTTGAGCAAATATCAATAGTCTTTTGCCCAGCCGATAGAGCCAATTTATAAGAAATATTGTCTGTGTATAGTTTGAATATAGTAGTGGGTATTTCATTTGGATTTCTCTTTACTTACATAATAAGGAAAACAGGACTTTTAAGTCTTTATTTTACCTCCAATTTTTGCATTTCAGAACTTGGAGAGGTACATTTTAAGACCGAGCAAATCTATCAATTATAATCTGATGGAAAAAGATACGACTGAGTGTTCCTCCTTACCAAAAAAGTTCTTGTGATTACTTATTTGGTACTCATGTCTACTGAGAAAGGCTTCCCTGAGCTATTTATTACTCATGCGCTTTATAGAGCATTACAGTCAGTAAATATCCTTTGCCTGTCACAAGAATTTGCAATTATACTAGAATGTCATCATTTCAGGAAACTATAAAGCAATGAACATGTTTATTTTCAGCCACAAAGGGAAAAAATATCCTGAGAACCACATTCTCTTGGCAGTTTGAGGCATTTATTAGAAAATCTGTAATTTCTTTTTGTAATCCCACACTCAGTGGGCATACCCTTTAATGGAGGTATGTCAAGTCTGCAGAATTATATAGTACATTCTAAACTTGCTTTGCTGGGAAAATAGGACTCATGGCTTAATTTATAGGCTTGCTGAGCTCACCACCCTGCTGGCTCCCTAGAAGGAGGAATTAAAGTCTCCTAATGGCTTAAAGGGGCCGAAAGTGCTCGCAGGTGCCCTTAGACCCTTGGAATGGTGGGCACTGAATTTCAGCATTTGTATTTTACCTTAAGGAATGTGTTCTCTGCAAAATAGATGACTTCAGGGATTTCTGCGTAATCCCACTGAGTAGAGATTGTCACCATTTTTCTGTGTTTCTACCATGTTCCCAGTTTTTTATTCCTCAGTACCTAGAAATGTACTGGATTTTAGGTGTTTGCTCCTTCAAACGTGCTTTCAGGAGGGAGAGAACAAGAATCATTGAGGTGTTAGTGAGATAATGCCTAGTTCCTCTCCAGACCTAAATATGTATCAGCTGGCCACATTTTGCTTGCTGGTTGTGATCTCCTAAATTATTCTTCTTTGTGTATGGTGATAGCTTCAACTGGGACCAGACTTCCTGTTTTGGATTACAGATTGAATGTTTTGGACCACCTGTTTTAAGTGGCAGGTGTCTGTGGTCAAACCTACTTTGGTTAATGTTTCTTCCTCTTGGTTCTCTACTTCTATCGTTATATTTTTTAATTCATTAAATGGAGTGAAATCTACATTTTCTTTTGAAACAGAGCCTGATTCTATTTTTTGATATCTTTTAAGCTGCACCCCTTCCTCTTGCCCTTGTGCCCCACATTTAGACATGCAGGATAAGAAAGCCTGCACGCTCCCTCCTTTGGCGCTGGAGGGAGGTTCAGGCCACATGAACCTCTGCCCTGAGTGGGAACGTTCCACCCCCTTGTCAGCCAAAAATCCCTAAGCAGCCTCTTTCCCAAGCTCTCTCAAACCATTTTTGGGTGTGCTTTAGAGTCACCCTTTTCCCCACAGAAAGCCTCATTATGTGAATGTGCTGGTTAATGTTATGTGTCAGCTTGGCCATAATATCCAGATATTTGGTCAAACATTCTTCTAATTGTTTCTGTGAAGGTATTCTTATGATGAGATTAATATTTACATCGGCCAACTTTAAGTAAAGCAGAGGACCCTCCATAGTTTGGGTGGGCCTCATCCAATCAGTTGAAGACTTTAATAGAAAAAGACTGACTTCCCTTAGAGAAAAGAAAATTCTGCTAACAAACCACTTTCAGATTTGAGCTGCAGCATCAACTCTTCACTGGGTCTCCAGCCTACTGGTTGACCCTGCAGAGTTTGGATTTTCTAGCTTCCACAATTCTGCAAGCTAATTTCTTTTCTCTCTTTCTTTCTTTTTTTCTTTTTTTGGAGACAGAGTCTTGCTCTGTCACCCAGGCTGGAGTACAGCAACGCGATCTTGGCTTGCTACAATCTCCGCCTCCTGGGTTCAAGAGATTCTCCTGCCTCAGCCTCCCACGTAGCTGGGATTACAGGTGCATGCCACTGCACCTGGCTAATTTTTGTATTTTTAGTGGAGACGGGGTTTCGCCATGTTGGCCAGGCTAGTCTCGAACTCCTGACCTCTGGTGATCCACCTGCCTCGGCCTCCCGAAGTGCTGGGATTACAGGGGTGAGCCACTGTACCTGGCCTCAATACACACACACACACACACACACACACACACACACACACACACACACATATACACACATCTCTGTGTGTGTGTGTGTGTATATATATATACATACACATATATTACACATGTATATGTGTCTATACATACGTATACATAGACACATATATGTGTGTGTGTATATATAGGGAATATATAATCATACACACACATCCTATTCATTCTGTTTCTCTGGAGTATACTAATACAGTGATTAACAAACTTTTCTGTACCTTTTTAGTGTTGTATGTGGAATCATCAGTCTTAATATCTGAACTCCAGTTTGGGTGGGGTCCACCCTCTATCTACGGAGTGTCTACCACACCTTAGTTTTAGCATATTTTGCTTTCATCTGCCAACCTTCCCTTGCACAGTTGACTTAGGGGTTGTGTGCAGTTTTGGTAATGTGAGATGCAGAGGAGGACCCGAGTGGTACCTTTGATGCCAAGATGTTTAGTTAAATCCCATACTTGTGCAGGCCACTTTCAGTGCTGGACTAGATATGCCATTGGATAAAAGGCAGCATCTCTGCCATTTTTCATGGGACATAAGCTGTTAGAATGATTAATTGGCAACACGAGTGCATTAAAGTAGTGTGATTAAAACTGAGATGGATGTTGTGAGGTGTTGTTTTGGGGATGTATGTAAGCCTTAGCTGAATTGTTCTTGTTGGAGCTAGATGTCAGACATCTGTTTCCTTGTTCTCATTATATGACAGATATGGCCCTGAAACCTAAGGTTCTTTGGGCAATATCAGTTTCTGGCTTTCCTATCTTATCTCAGGATTCCAAGAGGCCATGGCCACTTAAAAGGAGATCCTGGCCAAGGTGGGTGGATTACGAGGTCAGGAGATTGAGACCATCCTGGCTAACAAGGTGAAACCCCATCTCTACTAAAAATACAAAAATTAGCCAGGCGTGGTGGCGGGCGCCTGTAGTCCCAGCTACTCAGGAGGCTGAGGCAGGAGAATGGCGTGAACCTGGGAGGTGGAGCTTGCAGTGAGCTGATATCGCGCCACTGCACTCCAGCCTGGGCAACAGAGCGAGACTCCGTCTCAAAAAAAAAAAAAAAAAAAGGAGATCCTGCTACTGTACCAGCCTGCTCTGAGCCCCGGTTTCTTTATAAACTAGACATGATCCTTATTTCATTGAGTGGTTGTGAGGGACAAATGAAGAAACATATGCAAGAGATTAGTACCGAGCCTGGAACCTATAAGGTCCTCAAGAGGTACTCATTTCATTGGCTTTCTCTTTCTTTTTTCCTTCTTAAGTTCCTTTCTTTATGTTCTAAACTAGGTTGTGGAAAGAGGGGGAACAGTGGAGAATGAGTGGATATTACCCAGTGCTGCCATTATTAGCAGCAGCTAGGCACATGAGCGTGGATATCTGGAGCAGAAAAAGGAAGACTGGAGTCACTGACTCAGATCTAAGCCACTGATTTCCCAAGCTGCAGGAATGTTGGAGACTGAAACTGTGCAGCTGAGTCCCCACAGGAAATTGCTCCTGGCCTTAACGGAGTTGCTTCCCTCAAGTTTTCATCAGTTCCCAGGGAAATGACTGGTCAGTGTAAGGAAACAAAGGCCAGCCTCCTTGCCTCAATTTGGGCCAACTCTGATGGGCCGTTATATCTGAAGACATCTCAAGAAGTCTGTGGGGGATTGGCTGAGTCTGCTACAACAACATTGTTTTCAACTTTTCCTTCTGCTTAATATTACTGGCTTCACTCCCTCACACGTATCACTCCTGAGCATTCTCTAATAAACGTTCTCCAAAACAGGGGTTGCAGGCTTAGAATCTAATCACCAAAGCATTTGGTGTCAGGAGTGGTTGGAGAACGCAGACAATGAATGTGATTTTGGAGCTGCATTACTTGCTGGCCAGCTGGCAATATGGAAACTATTGCTGGTGTCAGGTGAAACATGGAAGATCCCTGGCATTCTATAGCACTGAAACTATTATTACTTGATCAGTGGTGAACAGGGATGGGATAGCAGTAGAAGGAATGCACTTAAATATCTCAGGGTTTGTTAGATTCTGAGAGGACTGGTACTTATGAGGATGATGGAATTGAATGGCTGTTGTGGACTGCAATCTCATGCCCTGGAGAAAGACAGTGAATGACTTTGAGTCAGTAATCAGTAATTTGAGAGATACTGTGAATGTCAGAGGAGCTCTTTAGGAACATATAAAGAGATTCTTATCTCTGTGATCAAGGACAGAAAAACCTGAGGGTCAGTTCTAGGCCATAATTTTCAGGATGGCAAAGCTCCATAGAAGGTTGAAGTCTCAGATGCAGAAAGTCTATCATGTCAAGGCCATGCCCTGGTTGAGAGTCTTAGAAAGGGGATACCTGGGTGGGTGCACTAAAAAAAACCCTTAAAACCCGTTTTGCCTGGAACTCTCTGAGCTGGTAAATGTTCAAGGCTAGCATGCCCACCCCCTAAAGCCCCCACCATTAAAAACTGCAGAGGCCTGTGCTTTGTAAGACAACATGTACCCCTCAGGAATTACCTCCACCACCCGTCCTGGCCTAGTATGAGACAAATAGAGTCAATTCCAACATAATCTGTCCAGGAAAGATGGAGCCTGCTAAGGGAGGAAAGGGACAATATAATAAATCAGCTGTGACACCTGGCCACATAATCCATATGGGACTGGATCCTGAAGATGCTGAATTTGTAGGGCAGAGCATGAGGTTGGGTAAGGGAGAGCATATTGATAGTGGACCACTGTCCTAGTCTACAGTATTTAATGCCCTGACAAAAATGCTGGTTGCATTTGCACCTTCTAACACACGGCTAGGATGGCTCTTGGAAGACTGGAGAAGGTTATGACCCACACTAAATAGAAAAGCCAGAACTTTTGTGTAGAAGATGGTAGAAAAGGACCAAAAGGCCCCAAGGATGAGTACATTCAAGAATGGATGTATTACAAAACATTGCAAATACTCCCAGCTGACTACATTCCAGGGACAGGACAGAGGACACTCTATTGACTAAAGTGATATGTAATGCATCACTCAGACAGGGACCAGCATCACTGAGAAGTTCAGTGGAGGCTTTCTCTGTAAGCCAGGGACCTGCTGCTAGAGAACTGGGCTCCCTCACTACAACAGGGATGATGGGATCCTGAAATCATAAAGGCCAGGTGGTGGTGCTTAATATCAGAAGCGAGATGCAATGCAATTATCATAATGAAAAGCAATGTCATAATAGTAGTTGGGGGGATGTGACCCACACAGAGCCATGGAGATGGTTTATTGGACATAGCAAGATAGATGGACAGTCATCAAGGGAATCACTCAATCTATACAATTAAAAGAAATCAAGGAGGCTAAGTGCAGGTGTCCCTCTAAAGAGTCACAGTCCCTTATCAGTGTCTGGACATGAGCCACTTCTCAGACTGGATGCCACTGACTGAGGGAGAGGCCAGATCTCCAGGAGGAAGGACCTGCAAAATCATGGCAAATATATATGACAATGACTCCTACAGATTTTCCCCAAAGGGACCTATGGCCATTTATTCAGGTAACCTTACAATGGGGAAAGAGTAGTACTCAGACACTTGTGAGTACTTCTGGATACAGGGTCAAGGTAGCACTGATACCTAGGGAGGTAAAGGGTTATTGTGGCCCTCCTAAGAATGGGGGTAGATGGGGACTGGTAATAAAATGGAGTCCAAGCCTAGGCCCAACTCTTAGTGTATGTTTGTGTATATGCATATACGTATAGTTGGGATATATATGCTGATAGCTAGTGAAACCCTCCACATTGATCCTTTGGCTTGAGAGTGAAGAGTTACCATAGTGGGGAAGAATTTGAAACTGTCCCCACCCCTATTACAACAAGATAATAAATAAAAGGCAATGTTTTGTTTAGGGGAAATGGCAGCAATTAATACCAGCCTTACAGGGGTAGTGAGCCTCATCATATCCCCATTAAATTAATCAGTTTCTGGCCAAACAAAAAAGACAAGAAAACCACAAACAAACAAAACAGGTTAACAGTTGACTTCTGCCAACTCAACCAGGTAGTAGCTCCACTTGCAATTACTGCGCCAGAGTAGTATCTTACCCAGCCAATGAACACAGCTAATTATTAATACAGGGCGTGTGGCTACAGATCTGGCAAATGTGCTCTTTCCCATCTTTCTCAGAAAGGAGAAGCGGAAGTGGTTTACGTTCACATGGAACAGACGACAGAATACATTTAAGGTCTTATCTTGAGGCTATGTTAACTCTTCCTTTTCTGTGATAATATAATCTGAAGGGACCCAAATCATCTGAATGTCCTGAACATCATCACATTGATCCACTATATTGATGGCATTGTGTTCATTAGACTGGATGACCAAGAAGGGGCAGATGTATTGGAGGCCTTGGTAAGACACGTGCTTCAGAGGGTGGGAGATAAACCCCACGATGATTCAGAGTGTGGGGTCATGGGGAGGATTAGGGCTCCTGTGTAGATATAGAGCATACTGACATTTACTTAACCCCTACTATATGTCATACCTTGGAAATGTGTCCCCTGCTCTTTGGGACCCTGACAGAGAAAACTAGAGTTAAGTGCCCAGAAAGAGGAAGCCCAACGTGTCACAAGATGATTTCAATTACAGCAGTTGTCTCCCTTATCTGCAGTTTCGCTTTCCGAAGTTTTGGTTACTGTTAGTCAACGGTGGTGCAAAAACATTAGGTGGAAAGTTCCAGAGATAAACAATTTATAAGCTTTAAGTTGTATGCTACTCTAAGTAGTGTGATAAAATCTCCTGCCATCCTGCTTTGTCCTGCTCCAGATGTGAATCATCCCTTTGTCTAGCATATCCACACTGTCTATGCCACATGCTCATTAGTCACTTAGAAGACACCTTGGTTATCAGATTGACTCTCACAGTATCGCAGTGTTTGTGTTTAAGAAACCCTTATTCTGCTTAATAATGGCCCCAAAGTGTAAGAGCAGTGATGCTGGCATATTGTTATAATTGTCCAGTTTTATTATTAGCTACTGCTGTTGATCTCTCACTGTATCTAATTTATAAATTAAACTTTATCATGGGTATGTATATATAGGATAAAACATAGTGTATACAGAGCTTGGTACTATTAGAAGATTCAGGCATCCACTGGAGTCTTGGAACATATCTCCCATGGATAAGGGGGGAAGTAGTATATTCTAATTCTACTGCTTTAATTGTAGGTAGTATTCTCTTAAAATCTAAATGATATACAACGCCAGTTCTCTACAAGAAAATCATAACATTGCTTGCTGTCATTGGGTGGTATGGAAATGATCTTTTGCCTAGAGTTTATAAAGAATCTTTTACTTAATGAGCTAAATGACCATGAATAATACATTTAAATTATGACATACTTTTCCTATTTACCATTTGCTTTTGTTCTTTTATACCATAAGAAATTAATGAGGCTGAGAGTCTTAAACTGTGTTTTATGTATTTAAAATAATTATGATTAAGGGTCTTTTACACATGTGTATTTATCATGAATTCTTGTTCAAAGAACTATTTTTTATGGTTCAAGAAGCAAAATTAATTTAAATCAGCAGCTAATGCACAGTTCTCAATTCCATGAGTCAACTGGATACTGCTGACATTTTTATATGGAGCCTCCTTTAATGTAATAAAAAGTATGGCACTAAATGGTGTCTGATATGGGAAGGGGTAGAATACTCATTGTCTGAAACCCACATGGCGATGTTCTGGGTCATGTCGTGAGCCATAGGTAGCACTCCGTTGGCTTCATGTTCTCTATTGTCTTATAGTTGACTCGTAGTGACAATGGAATGGTGTCATCAGTTGCTAATTTTTACATTCATATGTTGCAAAACTAAGGTGGCTAATCCATGAATGCGCATGCCTGTCATTCTCTATCAGAATAGCAAATAAAATTCATTATTGCATGCTCAGAATCCCTAACATAAGCCAGTAAAAGCATTACAAGGAACTTGCCTTCAGTGCTGTATACATGTACTGTGAGCTTGCATTTGGTCTGAGTATTCAGGACTCCAGGGCTCAGCCTCTAACAGGGCTGGATTCCTTAGCAGAGTAAGAGCTTACGGCTCTGTGCAGCTCTCTCTGTGCATCTGCTGGCAGCCAGGTGCTCCTTGTAGGACAGAGTATGTAATTATGAATATTTTAAATGTGGGTAGTTGATCCCTTTTCTATTCAGCATGTAGCTGTGAGTGAAGCGGCAGACAATGGCCAGAATACTCTTTGTGTTTGCCTGAATTTATCTGAGAATACTGAAGTAAAGAGCCAAAGGGCTCTATTCTCCCCTTCCCAGATACACAGGGAAGAACAGAATCCAGTCTTTGTCTGGGTGGTTAATTTTTAAAATGATATGTGAAGGATAATGCATGAATAACTAACAGCCCTGGGGGGCTCAGGAAAATTGTATTTCACCAGGAGGAACAAATATATGCTGTTTTTGAAATGGAAGGGCTATACTAAGGATTCAGATATGAAGAAGTAGATTTTTGATAAGAAGATATTGAGATACATAAAACTGGTATCAGAGGCAGCAAGGAATGTAATAAAAATATTCTGGCTTTGAGCCCCAGATGTGCCACTCACTGACTATGCGATGTTGGACTTTAGGTCATCTCTCCAAGCCTTAGTTTTCTCATCACCATAATAGGGAGATTAGGCCAGATTATCTCCCTAGTTTCTTCTTAGTCGACTTACCTGTGATCCTGTGACATGCTCTCTTAAGATAAATGTGCACTCACACCTCTTTTCAAGGTGTGATCGCTAAGGAGTGACTGCTACAGCTCAAGAAAGACTTTTGTTGAGTGCCTAATGTTGAGCCAACACAGGATCAAGCAGTAAGGGTATAAGCAAAAAAAGTTATCAACTGTACTGGTGGTGCTGAGATGAAGAAGAGGCCTGAAACAGAGGACAAATTGGGAGCTGTAGAGTATGAGCTTAGAGAACATCAGATGGGAGACGTCAGTGTAGTTGCACAAGCATGAGGATGAGATTTGAACGAAAATGTGAGCTGAGCTTTAGAGGATAGATAGGATTTGGGTAGGTTAAAAAAAAAAAGAATAGATCATTCCTGGTTGGAGGCTGAATCAGTCAGGTTCCTTGTAGGAAACAGATGATTCAATCAAACTGGGTACTGAGAAGAGTTTAGTAAAGAGATCATTTACACAGGTGTTGCCAGGGCTGAGGAAAACCAACACAGGTGGTGCTGTACCCTGGGCTAGTGACAGTGGTGAGCCATGACCACCCTGAAATAGCAAGGGGTAGGCGTGGGGACCACAACCAGACCTGACTGTCTGAAGGGAGGAGAAGCCTTCAGTAGAAGGATTGTTGGAGACCAACAGATTGCACACTGGCAAGCAGGAATCGGGGAAAAAAATGCCCAAATATCTTTCTTCCCTCTCCTTGTATTAGTCTGTTCTCACACTGCTACTAAAGACATACTTGAGACTGAGTAATTTATCAAGGAAAGAGATTTAATTGACTCACAATTCCACATGGCTGGGGGGGCCTCAAAATCATGGTGGAAGGCAGATGAGGAGCAAAGTCATGTCTTACATGGTGGCAGGCAAGAGGACTTGTGCAGGGGAACTCCCATTTTATCAAACTATCAGAGCTCATGAGACTTATTGACTAGTAGAACAGTAAGGGGGAAACTGCCTCCGTGATTCAATTATCTCCGCCTGGCCCACCCCTGACATGTGGGGATAATTACAATTCAAGGTGAGATTTGGGTGGGAACACAGCCAAACCACATCACTCCTTCAATTTTTTTCTGGTAGATAGTGAAGGTCAGCACCTGTGGGAAAGGATGAAAAATGGGTCTGAAGAAGCAAATGGAAGAACTCAGCAGAGCAGGAGATGTGAATGCTCACAGAGATACAGCTAGAGACCAGCATGAATGGTGGAAGTCTCTTGGTAGAGTCTTGCAAGTTGGGAAGAGAAATCACACATGTTCCGCCCCTGAGCAGTGTCCCCTTGATTGCAGCACCGTATTAGATTGCTGCAGGAGTGTGGGTGTGTGTGAAAGAGCTTGCAGAACACCCCCTAACATTCCTGGCCATGGTGAGGGTGCCCACGATGCCCACCCATCCAAACGTTTCCTTTGTGGAGAGACAAACTTAAATAGCTCCTCTCTTCTCATTCTTACCTCCAATCTCAGCAGCCAAGTACGTGTTAAAGAGGGAGGGAATACTGGAGCCTCAGCAAATAATGATACAAGTAGAACTCTTGCTTTTCACATGAGAACTCACCCTGGTAGGCCTCCAATGCTCCATTTCACACCTTGCTGTCATCCATCTAGAACTTGCCTTCTCTTGGCTTGTCCTGGCACACCAGGTACCTGCCATTACTCTTTAATTGGTCTGCTTTTCCTTCCTTATTCTTCCTTCTGATTTCCTAATTAAAAAAAAAAACTAATCTCAACTATGGGAAAAGGGGAAATGTCAAATACAAAGTTTACCTTCTTCATGATTTTGCTCTGGGCCATTAAAACTAAGTGGGGTTGTAGATCCTTTCTTCAGAAAGGCATTGAGATGACTGTAAAATGGCTCATTTGTCTGGAAAGTAGTAAATGTAGTAGTATATAAAAACATAAAATGATGTAGAAGACTTCTTTACTCCTTGTTGCCCCTTTAATCTAGTAATAACTCACGGGGGAATATGTGGTGTTCTTATAAGAAGCTCATCTTAAGCATAAGAACCTCATATTAAGAATTTTTTGGCATGCAAATATAAGAACCCAATGCAATCTTTTACACAGGATTGATTTTGGTTTTTGTTAAGAATTTGCAACTTCCAGAATATATTTTGGAATCAGTATAATTAATTCCCATGTCTTACATCTCTTTTCATATTTCTAAAAGTCTATACTTTCTCGAGAATATGTATAATGAGGCACAATACTCTTCACTGTCTGTATTGTACTCTACTTATCAAGCCTAGAAATGGGCTAAATGTTAAATATGTATGTTTCAGGTTATACAGAACTCAATAATGTCAGTTAATTGAGAAATTTCTTACTTTGTCCTTTTAATTCATTGAAATAAAACTCATGCTTTGCTTATCTGGAGGTTTTAAAAGTTAGATTGTGCAAAACTCATTGTCTTAGTCTATTCCTGTTGCTATTGCAAAATACTTGAGACTGGGTGATATATAATAACAGAAACCTACTTCTCACAGTTTTTGAGGCTGGGAAGTCCAAGATTAAGGTTCTGACAGATTTGGTGTCTGGTGAGGACTTGCTCTCTGCTTCCAAGACCATGTCTGTTGCTGCTTCTTCTGGAGGTGACAGATGCTATGTTCTCACGTGGTAGAAGAGAGAAGAGGTGCAAGGACCAAGCAGCTCTCTGAAGCCTGTTTTATAAGGATATTTATCCCATTCACGAATGCAGATCCCCCATGGCCTAATCACCTCCTGAAGTCCCTACCTCTTAATACCATCACCTTGGGGTTTACATTCCAACATATGAACCTTGGAGGGGACGCATATATTTAAACCATGGCATTAATTAATGCAGTTCTTTTATTGTCCTAAAAGATTGAGTTAATACCAATAGATGAAAGTTAATTCAAACGAAGCTGTCTCAAATAAAGTAAGATGATAACTGGAGGGATTCAAGTAGAAGCTGACTGTTCTTGGCTGTTGTGAAATGAGAGGATTCAGCTATTTATGAAAAGATCTGGCTTCAAGGGCTTCTAAGCCCTGAGTTCTCAGACTACCTGAAAACTGAAACTGATAAGCTCACTCACAAATACTCAGAGAAACATGGTACCTGGTATGGAAAAGAATCTGTTTTTTCAAGAATCTTTTTGTTTTCTAAAAGATTATTTGGCACTTTACTTAGAAATTTTTATAGAAAATCATTTTGATTTTATAAACTTCTTACTTCTCACCCTGGCATTGTCATCTTGATCAAATATAACTTTTTTATATTGGGGTCTTTTTATTATTAAATCCTATTTGTATCAGAATGGCTTGATCTCGATATTTAGTACTAATCCAAAATATTGCTTTGTTTTTTCTTACTTCCCCTACCTCAATAACCAGAAATATTGTATATTTTTAAGGCCTTTTTGTATGTTCCTCCCCACACATTTCAGTAAATCATTATTGTCTAGACACCAAGAGGAAGTCAGAAAACATTGCTGGAAGTGAAAATTCTTTAGGGATTTTCATTCAATACTAGGGCAATTAAATCGGACATATTATTGATCAATAGAGAGTACTTTCTTTACTATCTGCATACATAGCAGTCACATCATTAACCATCAAGCTGACGTTTAAGTTCAAGGCCACATAAACCAAAAAAGCACTGTTTTGTACATAGCTACCTGATCTGTCTTTGGAAAATACTTAACACTTTACTTAGAAAATGAAATATTACATTCTATATTAAAGCCACAATTAATATAGTATGTTGTGATTATCTACATATTTCTGATTCCTAAATTATATGGCAGAAACAAAATTATCAAAGTATAACTACTCTGCTCATTTAATCAGAAGATGTAGGCCTAAAAATGTGTTCCTTATGGAATTCAAATCTGCCATAGCTTAAGGGAAACCATGCTGAAGGACAGTGGGTGTCTGTTCAAAGGCCAATATGGGAAGGCTATGATGATGTCTCAGTTCAGTTTACAATTTATATATCCTGTCAGCTTTAAGTTAGATAATCTTTACAAGTGTTTATTTGTGGTGGCTACACATTATTTCAAAATTTGTGCCTAATGGGAAGCTGTGTTAATATTATTAAAATTGCACTGTTCTCAAACCACACAATTTAATACTGTGTGCAATTCAAATTTATATTTGCACTTATAATGCCACTTTATTGCATTGAGAGCACTTCCAGCTTGACATTTTAAGGAGGTTTTCACACTGGCCTGCCCAGGTTGTCTGTACACTGTTGAACTGATGGGGGTGAGGGGAATGAGGAAAGTAGCAAAGATAGTGAAGCTTGATTGACTTATTTAAGAAAAGACTTATTGCCACTAAGAGTGAGGTGTGCCTATGTGTGTGGACCTGTAGTTAGAACAAACAGTGACAGAGGGACAGAGAAGGAGAAAGAGACCCAGAGAGAAAGCAGGGTGTCAAGGCAGGAGAATCACAACCACAGCAGGTGGGCTGGAGTCAAAAAAGAATGAAGGCCAGACACAGTGGCTCACACCTGTAATCCCAGTACTTTGGGAAAGTGAAGCAGGTGGATTGCCTGAGCTCAGGAGTTTGAGACCGGGCTGGGCAACACGGTGAAACCCGGTCTCTACCAAAAATACAAAAAATAAGCCAGGCATGATAGTGTACGCCTGTGGTCCCAGCTACTCGGGAGGTTGAGGTGGGAGGATCGCTTGAACCTGATAGGTTGCTGTGAGCTGAGATCACGCCCCTGCACTCCAACCTAGTGAGACGCCATCTCCAAAAAAAAAAAAAAAAATATATATATATATATATATATATAATGAAGACAAAAAAGAGATGCCACGTGGTAGTAGTTTCAGGCTAGGATTTCCTTTTTGCCTCCTTTTACAAGGCTGAAGTAAAGGTCCATATTATTACTATTATTTTGTAATAGACTTTATTTTTAGAGCAGTTGTAGCTTTGCAGGAAAATTGAGCACTAAGTACAGAGTTCCCATATACTTCTTGCTCCCCTGCTCCCAGCCTACCCCATTATCAACATTCCCCCCACAGAGTGGTACGTTTGTTACAATTGATGAACCTACATTGACACATTATCATGTCAAGTTCATCGTTAACATTCGGGTTCACTCTTGGTGTTGTACAGTCCATGGGTTTTGACAAATGCATAATGGTATGCAGCCACCAATATAGTATCTTACATAATAGTTTTACTTACCTAAAAATCATCTGTGCACTGCCTATTCATTCCTCCTCATGTTATTTTTTGATGTTGAATATTTTGGGATTGAATTCCCCCTTGCTGATCTTGAGATGGGCGAAAGAAGGCCCACATACTCAGGTCCTAGTTGTGGGCTGTTTACCCATGAGTGGCACTGAGGTTTACTATGAGGCACTCAGACCACTAAGTCTGTACTTAGATGACTTGAGAAAGCTTCACAATGGCTGTGTGCGAAGGTCTGAATGCCTGGGTCAGGGGGAGTAGGGAAGCGGGTGCAGGAGGAGAGCTGGGGCACATGACACAGGGTCTTGGAAGGTCCTATTTGTGCAGAGTAGTCACAACAGAAAGCTCATCTGGATTCCAGGTTTCACATGCCTAGGGGCACTGTGGACATTTTCTTTACAGCATTCTAGTAATTCTGCTCCGGTAAAAGGCCAGAGTCCTCCGATTTCGCTGGACTCAGGGAAGAGGCAGCTTTTACTACCTCTCCAGGCATTTCACAGAAGAGTCCTGACTCCTGCACTTACTCAGAAAGCAACTTATAAGGTAGGAAGTAGAGAGAATCTGGCCAAATAACCACTGTACTTTATGAATATTCATGTTCCAATGTGACAAAAATGAAGGCTTTGGGGGAGCTGAATCACGAATATTAGCACAGCATATGACTTTGGTGATAGTCTAAGTGGCAGCATGGTACAAACGCTAACAGAAGGCCCCAGAGCCGGGCTTCCTGGGTCCAGAGTCCAGGTCTGCTGCTTTGTCATCTGCATGATTTTGGGCAGGTTACTTCACTTTTCTCTGCCTCAAGTTTTTTTCATCGGCAGAATGGGGGTAATAATAGTGCTTGCCTTGTGAGTATTAAACAAAGTAATGTTTTAGTAATTTGGTAGTGTTTTAGTAACTTAGCCATGTTTTAGTAATGTGTATCCCTTTGGAGATTGTCTAGTGCACAGTACGTGCCATGACAATATTTGTTAAATAAATATTCCAGGCCAGGTGCAGTGGCTCATGCCTGTTATCCCAACACTTTGGGAGGCTGAAGCGGATGGATCACTTGAGGTCAGGAGTTCGAGACCAGCCTGGCCAACATGGTGAAACCCCGTATCTACTAAAAATATAAAAATTAGCCAGGTGTCGTGGCAGGCATCTGTAATCCCAGCAACTCAGGTGGCTGAGGCAGGAGAATTGATTGAACCCGGGAGGTGGAAGTTGCAGTGAGCCAAGATTGTGCCACTTCACTCCAGCCTGTGTGACGGAGCAAGACTCCATCTCAAATAAATAAAATAAAAATAAAAAATAAATATTCCAACATTGTCATTTGACAGATGAGGAAACTTCTCTTAGACATAATTTACTTCAAATTTTCACAGGGATTTCACCAGTCTGACTGTAAATCCTTAAAGTTTATAAAGTCTCTGATGCCAGAAATTTTGAGATTTTTCTTCTTGGCATTGAATAGGGGGAGAGGTCCTTCCCTATGAAATAGTCTCGGCATTCAAATCCCCAAGTTGTCTCATCCCTGGACAGGACTACCAGAAACAAGTAAGAGCTCTGGCAGATCCAGGCAGGAAACACAGGTGGGTAAGTGGGAGCTTGGGGAAAGGTGAGTAGGGAGCTGGGAGGAGGCTGAGGAAGGCTTCATTATTTCTTCTATGAAGATCCCCAGTGAACCTCCAGGTGGTGGGGGCTACATAAAAATATTTAAGGCAGGGAATCCCCTGTCCCCTCCCACCCTTGTAATACTATATCAGATGTGTTTTGGGAGAATGCAAATCACCCACATTGTAAAAGGCTCTGCAAAACTTGGTGCACACTACAAGTCACGCTGGGGGAGAGGACAGTGTGAACGCTCAGAGCCCCTGGAGCATCCAGCAAGGAGCCTGGTTTTCCTGCATGGTCTGTGGAATCTACCTCATTAGTAAGGGTGAAGCCCTGGAAACCACTGGAGCATTGTCATCTCTGCATGACGTCTCTATAATTGTAGTGACTTAGAACCGGATGGGCCCTGAGCAGTGCTTTTTGGTCAGAAGATAGTAATGTGTTGTTACTTAGAACTAGATGTATTGAGAAATGTCTCTTTCACTCCTTCACTTTTTTATAACTCCCTGTTTAATTGACTGCATTGAACATGCATCTCATGACAAGTATGTGATTTCTCTAAGTGATATTACAAAGCAGAAAATGTTAAGATTGACCCCAAATGTGTGCTTTTATGTTAACACTGAACCTTGCATTTTACAGGAATGATGTTGTCCTTGCAGTTTTCAGGATGCTATTACCTTATCTCACTTGATTGTTATATATAACCTATAAGGTGAAATATGCTACTATATATAAATGTACAATTATATGATAGATATAACTGTATATGTGATATAATATATATGACATAGGCAGATTAGTTTCTTATTGCCGTTGTACAGATAAGGCACCTGAAAGTCAGAGTGTATACTATCACACAATAAAGGGTAACATTGCAAAAACTCATTCATTTATTCATAAATGAATTATTTATTTACTTGTTAAATATCCATTTGTGCTATTTTACTGGGCCAACACTATCTAAGTTCTGGAGAGACAGCAGAGAACAAGACAGAAGAGACCCCAGTTTTCCTGGAACTTATTTTTCAGTAGGGGAAAGATAAGCATTAAACCAAGCTTGTCCAACCCATGGCCTGTGGGATGCATGTGTTCCAAAATTGCTTTGAATGCGGCCCAATAGAAATTTGTAAACTTTCTTTCTGTTTTTTTTGAGACAGAGTTTCACTCTTGTTGCCCAGGCTGGAGTGCAATGGTGAGATCTTGGCTCACCGCAACCTCTACCTCCCAGGTTCAAGTGATTCTCCTGCCTCAGCCTCCTGAGTAGCTGGGACTACAGGTGCCCACCACCATGCTCGGCTAATTTTTGTATTTTTAGTAGAGATGGGGTTTCACTATATTGGGCAGGCTGGTCTCGAACTCCTGACCTCATGATCCACCCACCTCGGCCTCCCAAAGTGCTGGGATTATAGGCGTGAGCCACCACACCCGGCCATAAATTTGTAAACTTTCTTAAAACATTACAAGATTGTTTTTTTTTCTCATCGGCTATCGTTAGTGTTAGTGTATTTTATGTGTGGCCCAAGACAATTCTTCTTCTTCCAATGTGGCCTAGGGAAGCCAAAAGATTGGACACCCCTGCATTAAACAAATAACTGAAAGATAATGTGAGATAGTAAACAATGTTAAGAAGAAAATAAAATAGAACAACTTTTGATCAGGTTCTGAGGGCGGCTTCTGAGGAGGTAAGTGACCTGAGGCTTGAGAAAAGTCAGAACAGACATGTGAAGACTTGGGACTGAGCACCCCACATGAAAGTCACAGAAAGTACAAAATCCTGAAGACAGGACCCAGGAAGACAGCATGGCTGGGGTGTAGTGGATGAAGATGTTGGGGCTTGGGATTTTACCCTACTTACAAGCTCATAAATTAGCCTGTTACTATTTCATGGATACCAGAAGATGACATGAGGCTCCTGGGTTAGGCTCATAGCACAGCCAGCAATATTGAGCATCAGGTTTTCCTCAGTTTCATTTGTCTCCAAAGTCCCAGGAGGGCAACAGATGGGCCAGGTGGGAGGCATGTACTCACTGAGATGTGTCCAGCTGAGAAACATCGAGATCAGGAATCCACTGCTCTATTTATGGCAAGTGGGAAGCAAGATTGTTCTTTTTGTCTTGGAGAGAGACGTAATCTCATCCAACCAGCCTGGGTCAAGGGTGGCCAGAGTCTTGCATTTTCGACGTACACAGTGAGAACAGGCAGCATGCTCAGGTCCATGGCAGATCGCCTCTGCCAACAGGGACAGAGCATGCAGAGAGGCAGATGTGGGTTGTGCAGGACCTGATGTGGCCCTGGCTGGGATTTATTCAGGAGTGGCATGAGCCTTCATTTACCAGTTGCTGTCATTACACCAGAATATTCATGGATACCTGCAGGCTTCTTACTCTGTGCAGGGAGCAGTCAGGGTCCTGGCAAGAAACTGATGGAACATTCAAACGATTAACTGAAAGAGTAGTGAAGGGACTACTTACAGAGGCGTGGGCTGGGTCAAAGGCACCAATAAGTGAGAGCAAGTGACTTAGGGATCACTGTCACCAGAACCCAGAGAACGTGAAGCCTTGGAAGACAGCTGCCAGGTAGCTACTGTCAGCCAGACAGTGAAGCAAGGAAAGGAATGGGGGTTGAGTGGAGAGGGGTAAGGCCTCAACCACTCTTTCTCTTCCAAATACTAATCTCTCCTTCCCTTATTCCCAGTGGACAAGCGCAACCAAGCCTAAAGGCAAGTGCTGTTGCGAGGTCGACATCCAGGAACCAGAGGAGGGCAGAGCAATCCACAGAATGGATCTGGGGTGACTCATGGAGGAAAACCAACACACAGTACCATTTAATTCTTTTTAAAAAGATGGAAAATTATACCATACCCAGAATTACTAAATTCTAAATAGAGGGTATATTGCATTTACATTTGTAAAAGAATGTTTCCCCATGTATCTTTTAAAAATTCATTTTAAAGATATACAATAAAAAGTGTTTAACTCTGTTTTTCAAAAATAATTTGTTTATAAAATTGGACTGACTCACCCTCTTATATACAAGGTGTTAAAGGCATTTGTGTTTGTTTGGTTTACACTCCGGAAGGAGCCCTGGCCTAAGGGAGAGGAAAAGTAGATTCCAGTCCCAAATTTGTCATTAACTGGTTGTAAATGACAGGGTTGTCAATAAGCTCTGAACCTCTTTCCAGTTAACTGCTATGTTTGAATACTGCATATGATCAAGAAAGCAGAACTTTCTCTCTGTTATGGGAAAGTTGGGTTGGCTGAACTTTGTAATTAGCTTTGCCTTACTGTTTGGTTTTTAGTAGAGTTTTTTGTTTTTTTTTTTTTAGTTCTGATTTAATCAAGATTCTTCCTTACGACTCCCCCGCTCCACCCCCAGAATTCTGGTTTATTCAGATTTCTCTATATCTTGGTCAAAACAAATCCAGATTCACACATGAAACAAGTTCCTAATCTTTTTTAATGTTCAAAGGTGATATACGATATTGAAGATATACAGAGTGATTGACATAAATCCCTACTTTTCCTGTTAGAATCAAAACATGATACGATCATTATAGCTCTTTGGCCTGACACCATCTATATGCCCAATACAATTACGAGCTGTCCACATGCATGATTATTGTCTGGACCAGTGCATTCTGCTAGGATGGTGTGGCCATGTTGTTTATGTTCACATACTGATGCTACTGAAACTAGGGACCTAAAGATCCATTTAAATTCAGATCCCTAGAAAACTTTGAGAAACAATTGGTTTTATCAGGTTTCTAATGTTTATTTTAAAAATGAGCTTCTCACAGCCACAGCAATATTTAAAGGCAGGGTATCTCATGCAAGTCATTTGTCCTATGATGACATGTGGAAGTATTATCATTATTAACTATTTCTTCAAAGGACAAATACAGACATAGATTTAGATATACACATACATGTTTCTGTTTATTGCTTTGGTTAGGTTTATTAAGTGACCTGATTTTCACACCAAGACTCTTGGAAGAATCATAGTATGATACAGCTGAATAAAAGGACTTCGGGGTTAACTGGCCTAATTCCTCTGTTTGGCAGGCTAGGAATCTGAAGTCATGGAGGCTGGGACTCCCAAGGTAACACAGCTAGGTGGTCTAGAATCCAAATCTCCTAACTCGCAGGGAGTGCTCTTTCTTAAAATTAAAAAAAAAGGAAGACAAATGTTTTCACAAATAATACCTATATGAATTTTTGTTACAAAAAAAAAAACAACAAATGATAAGGAAAAAGCCATAGTTTTCCTTGACCACCATCCTAATCCCAGTATTTTCACCAGAATTAAGCACATTTATCAATTGGTGTATCTACTCTGGACTTTTTGATGAGTGCTGCACACACACATACATATGTGTATATATATATATACACACACAAATATATATACACATATAATACATATATATTACACACACATACACAGATTTACATGTAGAAATGTACATTTAGAAATGTATGGCTTTGTTTTGTAGTTTCTTTTTTAAAAACAAATATTACACTGTACATTTTGTTCTTCAGTGTTTTTCTGGATCCACACATATCTACCCCATTCTTTTAAACTCTAGGTTAATTTTTTGTAATATGGTAAGCCATGGTAGATGATGGACAGTTAGCTTGTTTTCATTTTCCCTCCAGTACAAACAATGTTTTGACACAGTGCTTCTCAAAATTTTGTGAGCATCAGAATCCCCTGAGGGGCTTGTTAAAATAGATTTTTGGGGCCCATCTCCACATACTCTGATTAATTTGTTCTGAGATGAAACCCCTACCCCATTTCCTACAAGCTTTCAGGGGATGCGTATGCTAGTGGTCCAAGAACCTTACTTTGAGTTGTGCAGCTGTTATGGGTATCAATGCATAGACTTCTTGTATACTTGTGAATGGTTTTGCATGGGAGCCAGTGGGAGGGAAGGATTTGCTGGGAGATGCGGTGTGTGCATTTTAAATTTATGGATACTAAGAAATTATCCTCCAAAGTGGCTATACTGATTACAATCACCCCAGCAGTGTATGAAGTATGAGGGTCTTTGTTTCCCCAGTTCTTTTTTTTTTTTTTTTGGTGGGAATGGCCTCTTGCTTTTCCCTGACCACTAATGAGTTTTATCATAATTTCTTAACTATACAGGGCACCTGAATCTCCAATTCTATGAATTGCATATCCATACCCTGAGTGTGTTTTAAAAATAAGTTATTTGTTTGTTTTCTCATTTATTTATAGCAATTTTAAAATAAATATTTCATATATTAAACCCTTGCCTGTTTTATATGTCTGAAAATTTTTTTTTTCCAGTTCTCTTTCCTCTATACAACGTAGTTATTACTTCCCTCCTAATTTTATAATGTTACCTGAATGGTACTGGTCCCTCTGAGGATCATAAAAATTCCAGAATAAAACATTATTTTCCTTTTGGACCCCCAGCTCACACCCTGTGCCTGTTTTGCTGAATGTTGGCTAGTGATCAGCGAATTGTGAGGAACTCAAGAAAAGGAATAGGTTGGAGACTTCCCCAGCCCCCTTTAGCCAAGGATATTCCACTGTGGAGGAGCACCCCAAATGAATTAAGGAATAAGACTCACATATGGAATTGAAATAAAGCAACCTCCATTTTGTCAAAAAGGAATTTCTGTAAGCTCCTGAGTAAAAGTTCTTCTAAGCCACTTTGACATAGGATTATTCTCTTTTGACATATTATAAACATTAAAGAAAATTTAATGCCCATCTGGACAGTTAGTTTTTGCCAATTGCTACCACCACCAGCTGCAAAACTACACTGACTACAAGCCATCCAGCTGCCATGCATACTCCATGCCAAGAGAGAGCAAGCTGCCAACACTGCTTCAAGTGGCTGGGCTGGTTTGCAGCCAGGATTTGAGGGAGGATGTGCAGTGAAACACAGGAGTCAGGACTAGGATTTTCAATGAGTGTTATTTGTGTTTGCTTTTTTTTCTGGTCATCTACTGTGGGAGGCTGCTGGGGACACCATCCCTTTCCTGGAAATGGCAGCAAAACATGTTGATCCTTCTTCCTCTGCCTTTTATGTACTTTCTGGCATCCTTTGCATTCACATTCTGCTTACACGCCATCATTAGCTGGAACCGCCTGGAGCTGCAGAAAATGGTGTCATCTCTCCAAGACTGGGTTTCCCCAGCTCCTAATCTCTCTCCCCATCTCTAGTGGCACCCCTTTCCTTGGATTTTTTTTCCTATTTGTTTGGCATTTATTTTCTCACAAAATAGCAAAGAGAAACTGCTTCCCCAGCTCGTGTTTTCCTAGAAGGGTTCTTATATTTGTGTACTTGGGTCCAAGCACTCCTGTGTTATGGACTTTTCCCCTCAACAAAGAGGAGGTTCTTCTTCCTTCCTTTTAGGCACAAATCATTTTCCTGTTTAGGAGGTAAATTCTCCATTGACTTCTGTAGTAGATTGCATTAGTGTTTGCCAATTATTCTATTTTCTTTCCTAGTCGTGTTCTTTGTGGGAGGTTAGATTATTCATGCCCTGCTTGTTGAAGTCAGGAGAAACCATGTGATTCACTTTGGCCAATATAATGTGGGCAGAAGTGATGTGTGTGACTTTCATGCAGTAGCTTTGAGAGCCAGCTTATGGTTTGAAATTCCTCTTTCCCTGTGCCAGAAGAACAGCCATGTCCAGATGGAGACTGCTCCATCAGTCTGGGCTCTGGAATGAAGAGGACATGGAACAGGGCTGCAGCTGACCCTGGATGCATGTGCAACATGGGTAAAAATAAAACTGAGTTGTTGAAAGCCAGGGGGATATTTGGAAGTATTTGTTACTGCAGCATAACCTAACCTGTTGTGACCGATACAACCTCCTTTCCTTTGTACACCTACAATAAAATATCTAATCAACATATTGAGACTACATAGTAGAACATGAAATGGGAGATTTAGGAAAGTTATCCTGAAAACTAGGCAGTGCTGCTTGCCTGCTAATGTGTATTTGGCCAGGTTAACATAGGACTTTAGAGTGTGAAAAATTATAGGGATCTTTGAGCTCTTCTAATTAAGTCACTGTGTTTTGCAGTTGAGGAAATTGAGGCTCAAAATGTGAAGTGAAACTCTTCAGTCAGCCCGCTGGCTGGTGGAAGAAAATGGCCCAGAGAGGAGGATGCCAGGCTCCCACCCCCACGCCCTTTCACCCACACCTTCTCCTGAAGTGTTAGCTTAGTTAGCGTTGAAGAAAAGATTCATAAATAAATTGAGAAGATTCTTAAATAAAATTGTTCTATCACTTTATTTAAAGTATGTCTCACAAGCTTAATAATATTTTCACCTATCCACTTTAAAATCCAGATTGTCTCTCATTACCTGCACTACTGTTCATGTTGAGGACACCTCATATTACCCCAATGAAATGCATATTTAAAGAAGTAAATTTACTATAAAAGACAAGTATAAGACTTTTCTTTTAGTCACTGTTCCAACATACCCATATTCATAAACCTCTTCATTTTACCACACAGTTGAGAGTTGACTCTATGTAATTATTTTTCCAAATCAGTTAAGCCTAATTTTATTTTAGAACATGTAAAGTGGTCAGGTCACTTCCCAGAGAGCCCTCTTATTCTGTATATTATTACTGCTTCATAATAACAGAAGCTAATATTTATATCATACTTACCGTTAGCAAAGTGCTGTTCAAATGCTTTACATCTCTTTAAATGCTTAATCCTCGCAGCAAACATGTATTATCATCCCTTATTTATAGATGAGGAAATGGTGGCACAGAAAAGTTCAGTAATTTACCCAAGTTCATACCATTAGGGAGTGGCAAAGCTGGGATTTGAACCTGGGCAGCATAGGTATACTGCTCCTGGAATGACCGTAACGATGATAATAATAAAAGTAACAATAGCAGCAGCAACCACCATGCACGTATTAAGATACTGCTGTGTATAGGGAATATGTACCATTTTGTGTTCATCATTTGTAATCCCTAAACTATATGTTTTATTGATTTAGAAAACTGAGGCTTAAAGACATAAAATGACTTGCCCAAGATCACATAAATGGTGAACCTAGAGTTCAAGGCTAGATGCATCTGCTCTCCAAGTCTGGCCTTCCCTCACCTTGCCATTCTGCCTTTCATGTCTTCTCCACAAGAATGCAGTGAGACAGACTGAAGGAGCTGCTTTTAGCTGAGCAAATTTGTATTGCTTTATGTATCAAATACACTGGGTAGCTTAATAGTGAGGTCCCTGTCAATGGAAATGTAGACTCTAAACAGAACAGATAGATACCTACTTATCAAGCCAGTGATGAAGGGGATACAGGCATCAGATGGGCATATGAACCAAGTACCCAGTAATGTCCACTCTTGCCTTAAGGCTACAATCCTTACTGCCTTTCTCTGGAAGAGTTGCAATCATTTCTCCTCTTTTGGAGATGTGAAATTGAGGTTCAGAGCAGCAGAGTGCTTCAGGCTGCTTAACTCTGAAGTTAGTTGTGGGGCTCGTAGTAAAACTTGGGTCCTTTAACTCAGAGATTACACTCTATATGATGGATTTCACAGTTTTGACCATCTGCTAAAGTCATTTGCAGAGATTTCCAAAGCTTGACTGGAATTTTCTACCGCTAAAAGTGTTTAAACTGTTATTCAAAAGAAATGTTAGAAACATATATATAGTTTAAAATTATGTGTGTGTTTTACTTTTTAATTAACGGCAACTAAGGAAGCAGCTACAGAAGGATAAGGACTCACTTGGTAAATCACTGCATAACTAAACTGCAAGGCGCAGTCATGAGGTTCCGAAGCCCCCAATCTGTGAACAACGTTCACAGGATTCACTCTTGTGGGAAGAGTCTGCCCTTGTTTTGACCCCCACACCTCTAGGATGGGAGTGGGTAGAAAAGTTTAAAGCCCTGGAGACTCTCTAGGAAACAACTTGTATCAGTTAAGATATGGCTTAAAATAACGACTTAAATAAGATGGAAGTTCTCCCTTTCTTGTGTGCTAGTCCAGGCATCAGTGTTCCTGGTCTGGTGTGGTGGCCTCCTGGTGTTAAATGGTGGCCTCCTGGTGTTAAAGACTAGACTCCTCCCATCTGCAGGGCCACCAGCCCTGATATGCTGCCTCTAACCCATCCTCCAAAGTCTTTACCATCACTTCCACAGTTCAGCCCATGGACGTGGAAAAAGGCACTAGGAGGGGGCATGCCACTTCCCTCTGGGGCATGATCTGGAAGCTTCACACATTCCTTCCGCTCCTCCCATGACCCACAACTTGGCCCCATGACCACACTCAGCTCCAAAAGAGGCTGGAAAATAGAGGCTGTGTTCTGGGTGTCCGAGTGCCCAGCTACGAATTGTATTATTTACAGAGGAAGGGAAGAATGAATTGTGGGGGACAATTTTCAGGCTGTGCCACACTTCTGCTGTCTCTGCTGCGTTCTCTCTCCACTTCCATGAGAAGGCCCTGAGGCCCTGCTCTATCATAGCCCGGCCAAGTCACTGGCACTTTTGCCTCTAGATAAAGGCCCAGGGAGTCTTGGAGGGGCAATATCTCCAAGGAAACACAATATTCATTAATAAATAACTCATTAATGTAGTTTTCTTGTTAACTGTAGAAAGATCCAATCATAATCCACAGTAAGAGTGTTAAATTCCCTTTTCCCTTCTCCCTGGTTTTGTATCCTCAGATCCTTGGAGGAGCTTCTCACCAGCTATTCCTCTCCCCACAAATAATCTCTGAATATTCACCCTCAAATGGCTTTCTCTCTGACCTACCTCTTCATTTTTTAGTTATGTATTTTAACTAAAGCTATCTCCCTGTAAGGAAGCATCTCTCCTCTTGAGAGGCAACAAACCGAAGGGGAGAGGGTAAGTGCAGGTGTCCCTTTTCCAGCTGGGGATGGGAGTAGAAGTGAATGCTGCCATGAATTCCCAGTGACAGTGACCACGCTTGTTCCATCACATTGGGCTCCCCATGTGTATTCTCCGATTGTGTCCCACATGGAGGTAGCCAACATAATTAAAAATATATATAAATCAGGATAATGTCATTTCTCTGCTTAAAGTTCTTCGTTGGCTTCTCACTGTAACTGGGGAAGATGCACTGTCCTCAGCACCATCCTCGGCAGGGCAGCCAGGCTCCTGTACAGCATGGCCCTGTCCTGTGCCTGTCCGCTGTCCCCTGCTGCACCTCCTCTCGATCTTCCTGCCTCCAGCCTCACACCTGCTGCTGCCTCACCTGAAATGCTCTCCTGCAGCTTGGGAAACTCCTATTTGTTTTTCAGCTTCTCTAAAATGTTGGCTTTTTGGAGGTGCCTTTCATGACCTCTTATACCTCTTATAACCTTATACAGGGTTATTTCCTCTAATGGGACACAGCAGCTATCACCACATACCTTTATATATGTGTCTTTATTTAATTGCTGAATTATGTCACTAGAGCGTAAGCTTCAAGAAGGCAAGGCCCCGTTTCACTCCCCACCATGTGCCCATGGCTTAAGCACTGCTGGAGGATGAAAGTCTCCCTATAAGCTTCTTATTTACTTGTGGCACTTATCGTCAATGAGACAGACCAATTAGATACACTGCTGTGTCAGACGAGAAAAACTAAACTCACCCTTTCTCAAGGCTTGCTAAGCCCCAATCACTTTCATATCTCATATACTTCTCTCTCTCTCTCTCTCATTGTCTGTCTCTCTCTCTCTCTCTATCTATATATCTCCAATTTAGTTGAAGACCCGAATACACACACACACATACACACACACACACACACACACACACACACACACACACACAGAGAGAGAGAGATAGTATATATGTATATACTGAAAGCAAGAGAGAGACACAGAGACAGAGACATTAATTTTAAGGAATTGGCTTATGTGATTATGGGGGCTGGCAAGTCCAAATTCTGCAGGTTGAGGGAGAGCCGATGCTTCAGTTCAAGTCCAAGGCCATCTGCTGGCCAAATTCCCTCCTGCTTTGAGGAAGACAGTCTAGTGTTCTATTCAGGCCTTTGACTGATTGGCTGAGGCTCACCTACATTATGGATGCAATCTGCTTTACTCAAAGTCCACTGATTTAAATGTAAATCCCATCCAAAAACACCCTCATAGAAACATCCCAACTAATGTTTGACCACATATCTGGGCACTGCAGCCAAGCCAAGTGGACTCATAAAATTGACCACCACAGGGTGTAAATTTGTCCACTCAGGGAAGAAAAAGTTTCAATGTTCTTTTGAAAACAAGGATGGTCCCCACACAAAGAACCTAAGTAGTATCTGGGAATGCTGTGGGGTGGGGAGGGAGAGGGGAGGCAGCCTCAGCTCCAGGGAGGGTTGGCTGTGCCTGGAAGTCGAGGCATCCTTGAAGAAGGCAGAAGGAGACAGGTGAGAAGGAATCACAGGGGAGGAAGCTGGGGGAAATAAGAAGGAGAGAGAGAAGCTCTCTGGGTTTCCATACTGCCTTTGGGCGCATCATTCTCTGACTGTCTGTGGACAGTCAGTCTGCCCCCTCCCTTCCTCCGTATTTAGTGATCCACCCGTGGCTCCCTGCCACTAGGTTTATTTGGAAGCAGTAGATAAATGTCAGCACTTAGAAGCTATGAAATGTCCTAACTGGCCCCCCAAGACTAATAAACATAAAAAAAAAATCCTGATTCAGGCAGCCTGATGGGCTCATTGGTGAGAGGGAGATAAAGTTTCCCTTCAGGACATTTATAATTTACATAATAAAAAGCTTTTCACCTACTAGTCAAGGAGCAAAATTAATTACCATGGCCCTGTTACCTCGCGGAACACTTTTTGCTTAAACTGGCAGGAACAGTTTGTGAACTCTTAAATGAAGGGTGGGGGTGGGGTGATGTTAGCATGCAGTCGGGCAGAGAGAAGGGGAGAAAGGCGCCCTGCAGCTCACTTCACAATGTTCTGGAATGGGCTTTTGAGGAGTGGGGGTGCTCTGCCTTTAACAAAGACGGCTGTGCCTGACCTGTCCTTCCAATCCATTCCCCACCAAATATGCACTAATGATAATAGACTCAGGCAATCTGAGGCTCTGTAATCACCTCCCCTCGGACAGATGTTGAATGGACAGTCACCAGAAGGGTTGACTCGATCATAGCCTTCAGTCATGTCTTGTCCTCTTCTCTTTTGGGCATCATTTCAAATAACAAATAGAAAAGCTGGTGTTCCCGTGTCCCTGGTTCTGAAGATATATGGACAGCCTCAAAGTCCTTTGATTAGGGAACCATATTTGATATCCATACAAGGTCTCTCATTCCAAATTCATTGAGCTCTTCAGAAAGCTGACAGCATTAGCCTAATATCATTAATTATCACCACACTCCTGTGAGGGAAGCAGGTGGCCTGCATTATTTTGCTATTTTGCAGATGGAGAGACAGAGGCGAAGGGAGGTTAAGTGTTACGTCCACTTTCCACTGATGAGCTGGGAATATAATCCAGTCTCAGGTCCGCAAGGTTATAGGGTCTCTCGATAGATGGGGGAGGCCCAACTGAGGGTCTTTGGAAAGCAGGTAGGAGCTGCGAAGATAAGGATGGCAAGTCAAAGCCCCCGCTCTTATGAAAAAGGAACAATTATTGCTTTAAGATTCATTCTTAGCTGTAGCAATTATAATATGACACAGAATTATAAAAGGAAAAAGCAAAGGATGGCATGGCAAAATTATGTTTTTCATCTCCTTCAAGCCTGGCTTCCTATCTTAGATAAAGAGAATATCAACAGACAAGTAAGGTAGCTACTTTCATTCAAAAGTTCAGAATTTGAGGGGAGAGCAGGATGTGTGGACAGAGTCCGCCCGGTGGAAAGCCATCCATGGCGGAGTCTTCAGGGCCCCTACCTGGCTCTCTGATTCACTTTGGCTTCTACGCTTCCTCCCCAGATTTGCATTTTCTTGGTGTTTTCTAGAACCTGGTGTCCTCAAAGCTGCAGAGCATCAATATTTCTTTCTCTTCAGGCAATGATTAAGTTAAGGTCTTCTCAGAACCAGTTAGGTGTGGGAAGGGGGCAAAAATAAGTTCAGTCAAGTTGGAAACAACCTTTTCCCCCCTGACTTGGTGTGTTGGATATTAGGAATAAATTGACCAATGAGAATTATAGGATTGACCTATAGAGCAACTGAGATTTGCAATTTATTTATTTATTTATTTATTTATTTATTTAGACAACATTTCTTTCTGTCACCCAGGCTGGAGCGTAGTGGTGAGATAATAGCTCATTGCACCCTCCACCTCTCAGGCTCTAGCAATCCTCCCACCTCAGCCTCCTGAGTAGCTGGGACTACAAGGCACATACCACCAAGCTCGGCTAATTTTTGTATTTTTTTTTATAGAGAGGGGATCTTGCCATGTTGCCCAGGCTGGTCTCGAACTCCTGGGCTCAAGAGTTCCACCTGCCTCAGCCTCCCAAAGTGTTGGGATCACAGATGTGAGCCACTGCACTCAGCCTATTTTTTAATTTAAATTTAAATTTTTAAATTTTTAATTTTTGGGGGTACATACTAGGTGTGTATGTCGGTCACCTGAAATATTTTGATACAGGCCTGCAATGGGTAATAATCACATCAGGGTAAATGGGGTGTCCATCGCTGTGATGTCTTTTTGATGTGAATATAAGATGGAAGCTGTAGATAACTGAATTATGGATCTACACTGGAAAATATCATGTGCTGTTTCTGGTGGAAACCACACAATGCTCATTCATGTCCTCAGAGACAGTAGAACCTAGTGAGGGAGCACTTGGGCTGTGTGGCTGTATTGTGAGCCCACCTCGGCCGTGCCTGCTGGGTGCCCGTAGGCAGCTCTCTCATCTGTAAAGTGAGTACTACGAAAACATGCACCTTCTAGAGTTTTTGTGAGGACTCAATGAATCAGTCCATGCAAAATGAATAAGATAGTGCCTGGTACACAGTAAACACTCAAATAAATGTTAATACTTTCCATTCATAATAGCTGGCAAATACTCTTTTTTTTTTTAGGGGGAGATGGAGAATTTATTTCGTATGTGATTTAATTAACAAATGACTAGTCTCATTTGCAAAGATGATCAAAACAGTGAGTTCAGTTGTGTCATACTCTGATTATTGGCTGGTGGGTTAGTGGTCCAATTGAGTTGATTGTATGGTAAAAAGATATTGCTACCAACTTTTTGCAAAACAGTCAATTTAGTCAGTTCATAGAGACCTCACTGCCATGATTTCCTTTAGCCATGTATTTATTCCCACACATCTATTCATTCAAAAACCATTAAGCATCTGCTGTCTACCCCCTCAGGAACTCCTAGGCTGGAGAGAAGAGACAGGCAGGTCACACATGTTGTCATTGTGAGAAGGGCCAGGTATGTGCCCCAGGTGATGAAGATGCCCCTTCCGTTAGGAGACAATATCTAAGATGAGGCTTGATAGAGAAGTGGGAGTTAGCCAGGAAAGAAAGAGCCCTTCAGACGGAGGAAAAGCAGGTGCTCCCCATATAGAACAGGTGAGTCTGGATTGGCAGGTGCTTGGGTGGAGGGGCTGAGAGAGTCCAACTTCTGCAAGGCCTCCTGTGCCCTGGGGAGTGTGGACTGCACCTTGTGGGCCAGAGGGTTTGGGAGGCAATGGGGAGCAGGAGAGGTGAGCAGGAAGGGGGCAGAGGAACTCCTCAGAATGAACCAGAGAACTTTCCAGCTCCCCTCTCTCACATCATGTCAGAATCCAGAGGGACGAAGGGCAGTTCCTGTAGAATTGGTGCAAAGTATAAAACTTCCCTGGAGAGATTCTAGTAAATTCCCTTCCCTCCACTTGATCCTTTTGACTACCTTCCTTGGTAATGGAAGTCATGGAAGGATTTAGGCAGTGCAGGACACACTCAGAGGTGCATGTTAGAACTATCGCTAATAGTATAGATAACGGACTGTCTCACAGATCAGGGGCTGATTAGGATGGGATTGATAGTGCAAACTCAGGCAGAGGGGCTCAGGTGTAAACTAAGTAGGAACCATTTAGAAAGCGACCTGTCTTTGTGGCACCTTGAACACAGGGATAAGGAAAGAGGTGGCTTCATCTGGTATCATTAACTAAGGCAGGAATACAGGAGAAGAAGCAGTTTACCTTTTACTTGAGGGGCTGGTAAGACTTCCCCATGGACATACTTTGGTAACATAGTTTTCAAAAAAAAATAGCTATGTAGTTTAGGAGAGAGTTCTGTCTTAAAATCAGTAGCTTTGTTTAAAAGTCCTAGCTGATCTATATGAATATGGGAGATGACTTCATCAGAATTTTTTTCTCAAACTCTTTCCGTAGTATGTATAAGGATGATCATGTGCAGGACAGGACGAATGAGTTTCCTTTTCTTATATGGAGTATATTCTACATACTTTCATACTTTCATTGAATTATTATATTTTTTCAACTATTGCACTGCTCTCTTTGACCCTACTTTTTCTTCTTTAAAATTCTTGTTTACATTTCAAAAGTTGACTTCGTTCTCTTTTGCAGGTTAAAGATTGAGGGATAAAGAGGACTGGGGAAAATAAGGACATTGTAAAAGTAAGTGGCAGAATTAAATAGGGAGGGAAAAGAGAAAAATCTAATAATTAGCCATCCAACATCAAATGAAACCTAAAACAGAGGTTCCCAGGCCAAGAAGGGTCTTGGGAAAGGGGAAGAGAAGAGACTGAGTGTACTCATGTTGATGTTCTTTTCTTGTATAAATTTTAAATCAAATTTGGCTTAGGGTTTCTGGCAAAGCAGACTGTGCAGAATGAGCTGGAAAATGGAGACTTCTTGCTTGCTACTTTTAGCTCTCACCATTCTGCTGGTTCAGACGACTTCTCACTGGGTTCAGTGTACGGCAATGAAATGCAAATCATAAACGATGCGAGCTGGCCTCCGGGGAAAAGGGGTCCTGGATGTGATCCAAGGTCTGTAACACAGAGAAAAGACATATTTCTTTGTCACACACAGTAGATTCTCCCCGAGGGTTTTAGCGATGGGAATAAAATGATTGGGAGGGGGGTGGGTTAGTGGTAGTGGAAATCATTACAACGTTCTTCTCTCATATGAAAAACCAAACAAAAACAAACCCTCTGTGAGTGTGAACACAGACAGGCTCGAGGCCTTGCAGCCCTTCTTCACAGCACACTCCATATACCATAGTTATTACTCCAGGCCGCAAAAATGTGTGCGCCCCTACGACCATGCAATAGACGTATATCCATGTATTTATAATGCGATCTGACCTGGGGTGGGGAAGCTGTCAAGTAAAGTTTGAGATGAATTTTCGAACATTTGAGCTCAGGAAAATCCAGAATATATTTCCCAAGCACTTTCTCTCTGAATATTTAAACCCAAGTGTATTTTGAGGGAAATTTAATCCACATGTTCCTGATTCATTTACACTTAATTCATCAAATTGTTTTGTAAGAGTCATCTGATGTTCAAGGATCTTTATGAGGGATTTTGTTTTGTGTGTGTATGTGTGTGTGTGTGTGTGTGTGTGTGTGTGTGTGTGTGTTTTAAATAAACCCTCTTCTCTGAAACAGGATATTGTTCATGTCAATGCTGGCTGAACAAAATTCACGAGAACCTCACTCTGAATCTGAACTCACAACCCAAGACGTTTAAGGTAGTGGGAGGCGTGAGGGAGGGAAGAGGAGTTAAGAAGGATCATCGTTTGGCAGAACACAAGGAACATTCTCTCATCTTTAATTATAATGCTGGGGATGGAGGCTTTTCGTTTAATTTTTCGAAGAAAAATAAATGTAAAGGACACCCTGACCATGAGTGGTCTTAGCCATCTGCTTGTGATTCTCGGTGGAGGTTGTTTTCCATTGTCTCATTCATGAGGGTTCAGGGCCTCTTGCTAGTCTTCAGTAGGACCTGAGCCCTGAGCAGAAAGATTATCATCGATTTTCAAAACCAGCTTGACATTCGGTGGCCAAACATCAGTGGTTTTTAACAAAGCCTATTGCTTTTAATGCCTCTCAGTCTGGCTCCATCTAAATACTAGATGCCGACCTCCTCATAGGGCTCAAGGGCCAGGGCTTGGACCTCTCTGCCTAGCTGGCACCATGGCATAGACATTAAGCTTTGCCTTGATGATCAGATTGGTTTGACTCTATACAACAAGTCTAAGAGTGGATTCTAACTTGTCACTCCATGACAGAAGGCTAAGTCGACGCAACTTCACTAAGATGAGTTTCTTGGAATTAAATCCTATTCTATTTTGACCCAAACACATTTGACCCATCCCCCACTAGCCCTGTTGCCACTGTTAGAGATTTGGAGAGGGTGAGTTTCTAGTACGACACAACTGTCAGAGGAATTAAGAAAGAATGCAAGATGCAAAGGGATGATTAACCACAGCCTTGAGAAATTCTCCTGCTTTAACATAAAACCTTGGGACACTGATGATTACTGATTTTGGTAGAGTAAAAAAATAAATTATCTTCAAACACATTTATGAATATGATAAAGGTCATTTTTGGGTTGGTTGACCTTGAAGAAGCAATTTTAATGTCACGTAAAATCTGATCCATGTTGTGGAATCATTTATATTTAATATGTACATTTTACACTTAAGTATAAGTTGGCTTTTAGGTCTTTTCAAAAAGCAATGCTTTGAACCCAGGATAGCAATTTGATTGAGACTTGCTATAGTCAAAAATAAAATAATTACGGGTAAACTCAGTGTTACTTGGATAGGAGTTCATGCTTGTAACTCCTACCCAAGGTCTCTGATCTGCGTGCAATATGCATTTCACTGTCACGACCCTGGTTGCTTTTGTCTGAACCAGTACAATGGAGTTATAAGAAATCAGCCAAGAAGGGTCCTTGTGGAGAAGTTATAGGAAATTTTGTTTGTATTTTTACTGCCAGTGCAGAGCTTAAGTGGAAAGTAAGAATGTGAAGCACTGTGCTTTGCTTTCTGATGGTTAATCTGTACTCCAGATTTTAGAAATCCTAGTTCTTCTCCCTGGCATGGAGATGATGTGTACGAGTGCTATGGGAAAAGACAGATACAATTATCCTTTGTCCTTCAACATCTCTATTGGGAAAATGGACTAATGACAATGTTATTCACTTTCTAAGAAATGGGAAAGCAGATTTAAAAAATGGTTAAAAACAGAAACCTGTCATCGAGTAGGAAAAGGCATCTTGGGACAAATAGAGAGCCACGTTAGAATAAGATAAAATAAAACAGAATCTTACTTGATTAAAGGTTATTTAATTAGGGCTTACAATAAAATGTAAACTCCATGAAGATAGGGATTTTTGCTTGTTTTGTTCACTGCAATATCCCAAGTTCCTGGAACAGAGTCCAGCATGTAATAGGCGTTAGTAACCATTTGTTGAATGTAAGGGTGAATCGATAAATATCAGTAAAACTAGACACTGCAGTGAAGTGGCAATCTGCATTTGTCTTTCTTCCTCAGGCAAAGCCATAGACTGACATGTGGGGAAAATGGCAGGTAGGCAGGTGGGCATCCACAGGACAGTACAGAGCTGTAGGGCCTGGTTTGCCCGGTGGACACAGGATGATGCGTCTGGGAGGGCTGCCAGCTGAGAGGCGTGCACAAAGTCTCCAGGAGTTCTCTTAGGAAAAATGGAGAGGCCTTTGCGAGGAACGGGCGTTTTCCCGTCTCTTGCCTGTGGCCAAATTCCAGAGGCTGGGAGAGCAGGCTTAGCTCTAGGAAATCAGCCTTTTACACCTACGAAGGTTGGGAGATAAAGAAATGAGCTAATATGAGGAGAAATTAGAAATCCTGCTTCAATTCTTAAACTCCGACGTAAGGAAAACAAGTAGTCGTGATTAAGTCACTGAAAAAATATGAAAGTTACTTTGAGGATATCACAATGTCAGCCCTAGGGAGTGTGTTAGCCGGCTCTGGCTGCCATAACAGAATACCACAGACTGGGTGGCTTAAACGACAGAAATTTATTTTCTTACAGTTCTGGAGGCTGGAAGCCTGAGATCAAGGTGTTGGCAGGTTTGGTTTCTCCTGAGGCCTCTCTTCCTGGCTTGCAGACAGCTACCTTCTTGCTGTACCCTCACATGGCCTTTTCTCTCTCTGTCTCTCTCTCTCTCTCTCTCTGTGTGTGTGTGTGTTTGTGTAGAGAGAGAGAGAGAGCACACGAGAGCACGTGTCTCTTCCTCTTCTTATAACAACACTAGTCCTATCAGATTAGGGCCCCACTCTTCTGACTTTATTTAATCTTAATTACCTGCCTAAAGGCCGTATCTTTAAATATAGTCACATTGAGGGTTCAGGTTTCAACACGTAACTTTTGACAGAGACACAATTCAGTCCATAGCAGGGGCTTAAAGAGTCCATCTCAGGTTGGAGGTGTCAGCACGGAGGGGGCATCTCTGAGGCCTCGCCAGCCCTTTTCCTAAAGCAGTCATAGTCATTAAAAATGAAAGACTTTCTCAGGTATTAAGGGGGTAGCATGCTCTGTGATCTCTGGCTCCTATTTAGAGCACCATTATTACTATTGGATTGTGACATTAATCATGATACAAGAAACATATAAAGCCTAAGGCCTTCTTTATGGTTGAGAAGCTTAGGCAACAGGCATGTTCAGTAGGAAGAGAGCCAGCCTATTTCCTTATTCATTTATTTTTAAAAGCAAGCTATATACTGGAAATATAATACTTAGGTTTTCAGATTCTTATGCAAACCACTGAAAATGCAAATTGTTTACCAGTCATGTTGGAATTCCTGGGGGAAATTTCTATTCCCTTCAATTCTGAAAATATCACTCTGGAAATGTAGTGTTAGAAGAACCCTCAGAGGAACCTATAACCTCATTTTATTAACGATGGCCTGCAGACCCCGAGACACTAAGAGGCTTAATTACCATCTTGCAGCCAGTCAGAGGCAGAGGCAAGGGACGTGCATAGGTTCCACACAGCATGTAGTCTCAGGAGAAACGCCCAGAGCCTCTGACAGGCTGCCTTTGCCTGCAAGTCAGGGAGAGTCTCCACCACTCCATCTACACCTTTGCTTTTGGTCCTCATTTAATCAGTGCAGAAACGTTCAATGAATATGTACTCTCCACTCAACAGTGATAGACAAAAGCATAACATTCTGTCTCAAGAGGTAAACAGTCTGGTTTTGGATGTTCAGGCTAACATTCAAGAAAAGAATACAAGAGAATATACAATTTCACATAAGCAGCTAAAATCCTAGTGGGCTTCTAAAGACTGCTTGGTTTCCTGAGAGTCTTTCGAGGGGCTTTGAAGTCAGATCTGGATTTGAGCTCAACTTTGTTATTAACTGAGTGACCTTAAGCAGTCACTGGGCCCACTGAGCCTCAGTTTCCCCATCTGTAGAGAGGAGACTACAGGGCTGGGGACAGATCCACATGGGCTGTTGAGGTGATCATGGTGGTTATGGTAACCACACCACTGTAGCCCCAGCTGCTGTTAAAACAGCTGCCACTGATATTCCCATTGCCCTAGGGATAAAACAGCAGGAGCTTAGTTGGAGATTAGCCTCCAGCTGGCCCTCCAGGTAACCCCTGAAGGCTGCTTCATTCTTACAGATAAATAACATTTCCAGTCTTCTTTATAATGCTCGCTTATTTTCCCCAAGAACCTAACAGGTGGGTTTTTGCGAGACCCATTTGTAGTTCCTTTGTGGTCCTCCTACACTGCACCATAAATATCCAAGCATAATTCTTCCTCCTCCTTTGTGAATTGGAGGAAAACTCATACCTTATTTTTCTACTTCTATTGTAGTGAACTTTTTCCTTGTTTGACTAGAAACCGAGAGACTCTTTGGGTACAAATCCCAACTCTGCTTCCACCTGTTGTGTAACCTTGAGCAAATGACTTCATTTCTATGTGCCTGATTTCCTCATCTGTAAGATGGAGATAATCATATATTCATATCATATGGCGGTTGAAATCATTAAACAATGTATTCCATAAAAAACACTTAGTATGGAGCCTGGCACATAGTTAACACACAATAACTATGAGCTATTAGTAGTAGTATCATCAAGACTTTAAGAAGAGATAAAATTGCTTTGTGTAGGACTACTTTGAATAAAGAAGAAATTAAAATAAGGAAGAGAATCTCAGTGCAAAATTCTCCAGGCGTTGATCCCCGAACATTCTAGGCATTATGATAAATCCTAAGAAACAGAGTTACTTTGGAGCCTTTGAGCAGTTAATGGGAAAACAGAGGAATTCCCCCCACCCCACATTGGTATAGTAAATGGAGGGAGGTACCCACAGGGCCAGGGGAAAGAAGGAGCAGGGTGTAAGTCTTCATGGGAGGCGTTAGGGAAGTGTTGGGGGTAGTGGGGGAGTCTTCACAGAGAAGGAAGACTTGACTTGAATTTGAAAGAATGGTTAGGAGGGGATCAGATGAACACAGAAGCCCCAGGATGCTCTAGGCAGAAGGACCAGTGTATTTAAAAAAAAAAATTGAGGCAGAGAGAACAAGATACATTCTGGAAATAGCAAATAGTTGGGTCTGCTGTGGGGCATATGAGGGCGGAGGGTAGGAAATGAAGCTGGAGACGGTAGGCAAGTATTGGTTTATGAAAAGCCCATGTGCCATGCTAAAGAGTCCAGATTTTATCAAGGCAGCCAATATTACATAAACTGTATTCCCCAGATTCGTCGATATGTTAATAGCTGTTCCATTAATTTAAAAACATTCTGTGGTCCAATATATTTGAGAAATGTTTAGTACAAAAAAGTTAATTTTTTTTTTACTGTAGGATTTTCAGAGCATTAATATGTCAAGAGGAAGATATAAAATGAAGCTTTCTTAAAACCTTTGATTTGGTTTTGAAATACTTCTTATAGTGCGCTTGTTAACATCTAGTTCCAGAGGACAATAAAGAATTTTGAGGAGGGAAGTAACATTTGAAAATATTTTATTTAGGATTACAAAGACAATTCTGGAAGCAAAGTGGAGATGAGCTAGAGAATGTTAATGAGGGGGAGGTGTTTTTGAAGGAATATATTATTTGTTCCGTAAGTATAATAATTATTCTGAAATGAGTAATATAAATATGTCACCTAATCGAAAGGGACTGCTAATTAAAAAATAAAATGTTGAATTAGTTCTTATTTAAAAAGCATGGTGGTGCTTTGTGGGCCAGTGCTACTTCCTACAAGGAGTTCATCAATTAATTAGGTACATATTTAATAGACTTCTTTGGTTACCCAGTTTTGCATTTGTATTTTCATAGGTTGATATGGAGACTTTGAGTTTTGTTTTTTCTTTTGTTTTGTTTTATTTGAGAGACAGGGTCTCACTCTATCGCCCGGGCTAGCGTGCAGTGGAGCGATCATAGCTCACGGCAGCGTCGAACTCCTGGCCTCAAGCGATCCTCCTGCTAATGCCAACTCTAAAATACCCAAGGCAGGATGAACACAGGCTGTCTTCTACTTATTAACTGCACGAACATAAGCAAGTTATTTAATCTTTCTAATTGCAAATTTTTTAACATATAGAGGGGAGGTCATAATTCCTGCCTCAGGGAGTTGTGTTGATAGAGTGGCATGACCGTTCTTTGTGATCTGTGAAGGACTGCCTGAATGAAGACTTGTGAGACACTGCAGGAAGCTGGCACACAGTGGACCCTCTATAACATTTGCCGAACCATTTCATGAAAGTAGATCCTAGCCCTGTCTTCTAACAGCATGAAAAGGGGCATGTGCTCAATTTGTGTAATCCAAATTTTCAAATCGAGAGTTGCTACCTGTTAGCTCTCCCCAGGACTGCCACCTCCCTTTCGTGTGAATGTGAGTTGCGTTTCCAGACTCCCCTCAACAACCTCCCTCCGAGTTTTCCTAACTCAAAGAGGCTACAGGAGATTCAATGACAATTGCCTTTGAGGTTGCCAGAGCAGGCAACTCTTTGTTTCTAATGAATCCATTGGATGGGCCTTTCTCCCCTGCAGCCTTGCTCTTGGAGATCACCTTGATCACAGCTCACCCCACGAAGCTGGGGAAGGGAGGGCACCTATGGAATGTCCTTATGGTGTTCTAACACGTCCTTAGAATGGGGCTCCAGCCCTGTGCTCCACTCCTCCGGGCAGCTCCCATGATGCTCAGATTAGGGGGCAAGAGGGAATGGGGCAGAAAATAAGGCGATTCAGAGGCTCTGGAGAGCTCTCAGAACTACAGCTTGGCTTGAGTTCCCACTCTACCTTTTGGTGGTGCAACTGGCTACGTCAGACTCTGAACTATTAACACCTGCAGAGTTTTCTCTTCTCCAGGCCCTGCTCCATCTCAAAAGTTTCCGGCACCACCGTGGCTGCCTTTGTTTCTCTTGTCCTTTCATTTAGGTGGCTCTTTGCCAGTGATGGTAGCTCATAAAGATGACTAACAGTCATAAAATGAACCGAGTTGTTTTTCCATGCAATAGTGATTCTTTGCAGTTATAATTCTTCTGAACTGACAGCTAAGAAGTGAAAAAAGGTGCGGTAATTGAAATTAATTTCCCCTTTAAACAGTGGTTGTTTTCCACCCTCGAAGTTCTTCTGGCGGCAATGCGTACTCTCGCCAGCAGGGGGCAGTGTTCATCTTTAAATGACGTGAGCCTGGCAGGCCCGGCTCCCAGAGTTCGCAAACCCCACCGTGTCCCAGGATCCTAGGCCCTCCAGAGCCCATACTGAAGTTCTTCTACACACAACGTCTCCTGAATGCAAATCTTATGGACTGGTAAGTCTAGATTTGCTCTGAGTTCTGACATTAAACAAAAGCACTTCCATAAAACGGAATGACGGGGACTTTATGGCAGCATGCAGCGTTATTTTCATTGTGAATAATGTTTTAAGCATTTCGGGGTGTTGGGATGGTCACAGAGTAACTGAAAATCACTCTAGTATTATCATAGCTGCTAAACTGGGTTTTTTGTTTTGGTTTGGTTTTGATTGTTGTAGTCACCCTGAGGCTGTTCGAATAAGCAAGGGAGGAATGAAACAACTTTCTCCCAATTAGCCAAACTCCTGTATGGAGGCCTCTGTTCTTTCACATAAGCATACTCTAGCTTCCCAAAACAGAAGTGTGTTGTCCACAGTGTGGTGACTTGGATTTTGAATGTAAAAACTAGAATCACACTATGTTGCAAGTCAACTTTTAACCAATGAATAGATGATAAGCCCAATATACTCTAAGTTTTACCCGTAAAGCTCCTTCTGAAAATAAAAAATTCGCAGCACACATTTGTGTGCATCCTTGCAGTTTTAGCCCCCTGTTGATAAGAGCACCCCGATTCCGAAGTGGTAGAGGGTAGGGAAAGAGGAAGGGCTATCTCCTCTCCAGTGGCCTTGAGGCAGGAACCAGCATTCAAGAATGTGAGTGAAGTCGGGTGATTAAAATAGCCACACTGCTTCAAACTTTGAAATCTTACTTAAAACACAGTCTTCATTTTATTTCAATGAGAGACATACACTTTAAGGAAACATTTAACATTATTTTTCCAGGTTCTTGAAGAATTTTGCATTTCTTCCTTCCTTCTGAGACATGGTTTCTAGTAATTTCCCCATACAATTTGGGCTTCCTGTGACTGAGAATTTATTGCAACGCCTGTCACATTTTATGGTGCTATTACGAAATTTAACTGAAATACATGAGAATGGTGTGTTTACAAAGGTTGTGCAATCCTCTGAGTTAATAGAAACAAAGTTCCTTTGGAAGAGTTAAGTGGGTCTTAAGCTATAGTACTGAGAGAGGGATACAGAGAGAGAGGAGGAAATTTAGCCCTTACAGTCTTCACCTTTGCTTCACTCCATCATTATTTGCTTTTCTCTTTACCATCATTGATAGTTGAATTCAGCATTCACACCAAAGCAGCTGTGTATTGAAACGAGCTTTCTTAAGAGTTAAGGAATTTAAAGCACTGAGATTTTGGACTTTGGGAAACACAAAGTGAATCATTTGACCTTGAATTGTGTATCACAATCCTCTGTTTCAGCATGAAGACTGCATATGTACATGTTTAATGAAAAAGACCCTTAAGGTTTGCAAGGGGGAAAAAAAAAGCAATGCCCTAGATTTATATATTCCATTAAACGTGATCTTCACAGGCTAATTAGTTAGTAATTTCACCCTTGCTTGTAATATAAACCATTTTATGCTCAATAATAATAAAATCTATGTAAACCAGGCTCTTTATTAATAAACATGATGTGCTTCTGGCTTTCAAATAAAATAATGCTTTACGTGCTTTCCTGTCTATCATGCCTAGACTAATCACACAGTAAAAATCAAACAACTAAAACAGTAGTTTTTATCTCATGCTGTAGAAAAACAATAGAGAGACCACGTCAAGAGCTTCTGAATGAGCCATGAACTAGAGAAGGCTGGGATGGGGGAGAGAAACCCAAATCTTTCTTTCAGTGTATGGTATCGAGAAACTTTTAGGCTCTTAAAATGATTCAAAATATGTTTTTGAATAATGAGCAGACATCTATGGAATTGCAGGTGAGGGAAATGACTGAGAATCCCGTTTCTTATCAACTCCCCCAACCTGTGAGAACCCAGTGAAGCAGTTAATGGAGAGGCTCCGTGAGCCTGTGCCGTGAGGCAGCTGTGGTCATTGAGGCAGCTTCCCCAACAGACAGGAAGAAACAGGGAACCTTATGTCTCAGGTTCAAGTATCATACAAATATCTTCTAACTGAAACGCTCCTAATTGTGGAATTTGCATTACTCTACCTCTCAGTAATAGGTCACACCCAGGCAGGACCAGCTACGTGACACGCAGGGACCACTGCAAAATGAAATGCGGAGTTCTTTATTCACGTTATTCAGCCTTTCAAAATGATGCCAGCAGAGCATTAAACCAAGTGTGGGGCCTTCTAAGTGCGGGACCTATGAGCCTATGAAGCCAGCTCTGTGCCCAGGAGACACAGTGGCCCCAGGCGTGACACACAAAATTAATTTTTTTCTACACATTTCATCTCTCTAAAAGATTGTTTTAGTCAACACAGGAAGAGTTCTGGTCATTTTAGCACCACTATGAAAGTTTTCAAAAGGATAATTCCAGGTAACCTTTCTGTTGATATATTTAGTATACCTATGAGTATTTGGAGAACTCTGGAAAAATAAAATATTTATTGACAAATGAAAATGTCTTTACTAGGAAATATATTATTTCAAATTCAAAAGTATCCAAGGCAATCTGGGAAATTCTATTCATACTATGAAGGCTCCTATCTGAAATTTCCTTTTGTTAGATAATAACAAAAATAATGGCTAACATTCATTGTTTATTAAGTGCTTTATATGTATTAACCTGTTGATTCACTAAACAACCCAGTAAGATGGGTAGTATTATGCCCAAATTATAGACTGGAGGCAGAGAGTGATTAGTTAAGTCACTCAAAGTCACAAAGATGGTAAGTGACAGACATGAGATTTGGTCCAAGGTAATTGTTTCCAGAGTTCTTGCTCTTAACAACATCACAGCTCTCAGACAAGGTGGAGAACACAGAAAGTAAAGTTGCTGTTTTGGAAATTTATTCCATGATACTTCAGGCACTGTGGCTCAGCAGTCTGGCAGCCAATGGCTTTCTGCCAATCTCTCCTGTTTCCCTGTGTCCACTGTGGTCCACATTCATTCCACAGTGGGACAGTTTGGGCAACAGGGGGTTCCCAGGATAACTGCTTTGAACTGAATTAATCAGTTCAATCAAACAACCCTTCAACCCAGTCAAATTACCAGTTCAATTGACTATTGCTTTGACTGGGTTGGTTGGTGCCTGAACTCAGTGTATGGGTAGCTGCGTCTTTTGAGGCTGTGTAGACACTCACAGTTGTAGATTGAAGTGATATCACTACTGTGATGCCGAATGACACTAGTCAAGTTCTTCCTGTAAAAACCAACATCACCAGGCTTGACTCTGTGGGAAGGGGATTTGCTTCTTCTCTAATTGAATCTAAGCATGTTAAAATATTGTTTTTCCTCAGTGAAGGCAGCTTAATGGATTGAATTAGCAATACAGAGGTAAAGACAAAATATGAGACAGAAGGCATACTGTTATTTCTACCTTTAAGGGAGAATGCTGCAGGTAGCGTTTGAGAAGATTTTCTTCTATCTAGAAAGTCAAGGTTAGCATCCACATTGTGAGTTCTAACAAGCAAGTCAGGCATCCCCCATAACTCTGGAAGTACAGGTTGGAGGCCAGAGTGCAAACTGGTATTTGTTTAAGGTTGACTAAGGCAGGTAAATGATCCAAGGAAGCTCATGGAAACATTGAAGGGCAGACAAATGAAAACCTGAGGCATGTTTTTAAGAGTCAGGTTGATAGCCTCTTTGCTCTGTAAAGATCTGAAGATGCGTCCACTTAACCTGCACCCATCTCTTTATCACTGTCAAATATTTACAGATAAATGTTTAAGTGCCTGGAAGCTTGGAGAGCTTTGCTTATCAGAAAGCCAGTTTTAAAAGGCACTTAATGCTGGAGTTGGTGGGCTGATGAAAATGCCCTCTGTCCCATTTACTTCCCAATAGTCACAAAGCTAATTGGGGTTGGCATAGGCTATTCTGACTTTGCTGGGAAGAAAATCTTGAAACATTTTCAAAGAATTCATAGCTATAAAAGGAAAGGCTATTAGAGGGTAGTGTACATAGACAAATGATAGATTTGTCCGCTGTCGTATGTGAGTCTTTGAGGGAAAAATAGATGGTAGTTATTCTGGCTCTGCTGTATTCATTCACAAATATGCAACAGATATTTATCAAGTGCCTTGTTGCCTGGTGTCATGCTGGAAATTATGATAGAGCTGTGAATATGGCAGACAAGAGCACTGCCTTCACTAAGACACAGCCTTAGTGCGAGAAGAACACAGCTATGGCGTCTGCATACCGTGTGCTTGCTCACCACCAAACATGAAAAGACGAGGAAGAACTCTTCTACTTGGGCATCTTCTGATTTCTTTGCCCATTTCTATAAAAGAAGTTTTTTTACCTGAGGACAGATGGAAATGCTTCTTGCTCACCACTAAAGATATGTCTAGGGAAAAACCAAGGAAGCATGGAATAGGACCCCGTACTAATTTAAGCTGTAAACTTTAATTTGTTATACACATGTAAAAAAAAAAGCAGGGTAATATTCACTATTGTATAAATCAAACCAACCGTTTACCCTGTAAAATATTTTTATGCACAATGGATCTCATAAAGCAGAACACAGAGTCTATTTCACTAAGGTTGCTGCGCTTGTACCAAAGCACAGCATAAATGATGTGGCACGGAAAGAGTTTCTTCTTCCTTCTCCAACATGTGGGAAATTGAATGGTCAAAGTCAGGACCATGTTCTTCAACCCTAGAGCTGATTATCTTTTACAAATTGAGCCTTTCATAGAGTTCTGTGTTGGTAGCCACTAGGATAATCTCATATTTAGGACTGATTTCCCTGAGAAATAATGTGGTTTTTTTTTTTTTTTTTTTTCTAAAGGTAGTGGCTTTGTTTGTTTGACTATCAGGGGGTTTAAGAACATTCTCGTCTTCTGAAGCCTTGATATGCGTTTTGAGACACCTTTGTGGTTAGTACCTGGAAGAATAAATGACCAAACAGAGTTTTTGTCTTGGCTTCTTTTCTCCAGCTCTGTCAGACATGTGGGGTTTGGCAAATCCCTTTAGCACATTTTGCCAGGCACTTTCCCCATAATTTTTTAAACCCATGTATGTTTCAAGAGAAATTTAATCTACATGTCTCTGATTCATTTACACTTAGCTCATCAGAATGTTATTTTGCTGGAGTTCTTTCATTGTCTGGGAGATCAGTGAATCCCCTTAGCAAACTCTATCCTTTTTCTTTCACAATTTCTGAGTATAAGCAAAATCTGAACTTTATAATTCTGTATTCTCAGGAACCAGTCATTCTGGGTGCTATTTGAAATACCAGCATGTTCACTGCCTTTGGTGATCATGTGTCATTTAAATTTGTTGGGTCCAGAATAATAATAATTTAAACATTTGATTTAAAGATAACTTTTGAGACTTATTGATTTAAAGATATTTAAAGATAACTTATTGACTCTAAAGGAAAAGTTTCTGAAAAATGGGATATTTAGATAATTTTGATAATCTCCAAATATCCTGCCTACAATAAAATCATTAGTAATTGATTCAAAATATTGTTTGAATCCACTTGAAATTGATTCATTTGAAATCCTAGAGTTAAAGAAAGTAAAAAAGTTGGAAGCTTTTCTTCTCTGTCTAATGGTACCTTAAATTTGCTTCTAAGAATCACTGCAGTACACATTGTATGTTGTATAAAGCAAAATGGTTAATCTGTCTCTTAAAAAGCAGTTTCAGCATCCACCCGCAATGCTGTATGAGCTGCTAGAGACTCTTTGGCTCAGAGTCAGAAATTCTGCTTTCCAGACCTGCCTTCCACTGCCTACGTTTTTGTGTGACTGGAAGATCATTTGTAAACACCCTCTAGATCTTACCTCAAGTAAAATTCAGGAAACCAGGCTTGCCCTACTTATTTGAAGATTTTTTCAGGATAAAATGAAATAATAAATTAACAGAACTTTATAATCTTTATGTTTGAAGCATACTTCCCAATGGCACCTCTCAAACTATTTTTGGTGGAAGACAGTTTTTTTTTTTCCTTCAATCCATTGTGGGTTGAAATCTTTATAAAATGCAATAAAAATGAATTGCCAAAAAAAGAAATTAAAAAGACAAAAATATAAGTGCAATGAAAAAAATTAGACCCAATAAACATAAAATGTTAAATTTTTATATAAAGGTTTCTAAATGCTTTGCTTAAATTTAATTTCCATCTCGTCATGTATGTGTAACATAAAGCTTGTGGACTGGCACAGATCTGCGGACCACATTTTGAGGTGCTGTGCTTCTGCATACGGAGCAGGAAGAACTTGCCTGTTGTTACTGTCCTAAGGGCATTCTTTCAGCACCTGACATTGATGGTTTCTAATTCCATGTCATGTGGTTTGAACTACCATCTCTCTTCCTGCTTTCCTAGATACAGTAGCTCCACTGATGAGACATCTTTCTGAATACTTCACATTTAGATTTCCAGTGATGCTCTTTTGGGCCTTATGCCTTGGCAATATTTGATTCTGCCAGCTCCCTTACCTAATACCCATAACTTAACTTCTCAGGCATCTCTTTTCTGTCTATTCCTATTTCTACTCTTCTGGGCAGGTCTTCTTGCTTGCACCATTACTAGCCTCTGTCCAGTCTATGGTACTCTTCACACTGTGGTTGAATTGACATTCTTCAGCTACATGCCTAAATATATAATTCCTTTTCTCACAAATCTTCTATGGCGTAGCAAATGAGCAGTGCCTGCCTTACGCTTTCCTGCTGATTGGCCTCTTCTCATGCTATCCTCCCAGCTTAAACTATCTCCCAGCCTCAGTATCCTGGCATTTGCATCCTTTCCATCATTCTGTGCTTATGGCAAACACCACCTTCTCCATGAAGCCTCTTTGGGGGATATGTTCTGTTCTTCCCTCTAATAGTCTGTACCTGTCAGCTGACACAGATGCTCTTCTGTCCAGCTCTATGGTGCTTTGTAGGTTAGAATTAATAATTTCCCTGTCTTCTTCTCCACCCCACCCCAACTCAATTGTGAACAAATTGAAGTTAGGAGTCATGCTAGTCTTTTAAATAAAAAAAGAATTATTATTAGTGATGGAATAGAACATACATTCCCTTTGCCATAAAAAGAATGTTCAAGTAGTATGGAGAGAGTTAATTGTCCCTTGATCACTTATCCTAATTTCAATCTCTTGGGTAACCAATGATCATGGGTTCGATGGGTTAGGGTGCATTATTTGAGACCTTTTCCTTTTTTAATATATTTTCACATGTAACTACTGAAATATGTTTATTTTGTGTATACATGTCAGGAAGTCTATGTGTTGGCTTTTAGCACTTTTATTCTGAAACTTTTTTTTTTCATTCAGTGATATGTCCTGGAGATCTTTTTATGTCAATACCCATAGATCTACCTCATTTTATGACTGCCCTGTAACATTCCAGGAAGAGATGTAACTGAGTTCATTTTGCCTATTGATGGACATCAAAATAATTTCTACTTTTTTGTTATTACAATATCAGAATTATTCCTACTTTTTTATGCCAATGTCTGTCTTTTCTAGAATTTAGTACAATGCCTCACCCATATGAATGCTTGATAAATACTTGTGGAATTGAACAAACCGGGGAGTTCCCAAGACTTGTTAACTTTTTGTTTAAGAGATTAGGAGTGATAGTCCCTTGAGGTGGTCTATAGAAATTTCCTGGAGGACAACTCATATTTGGACTTCACAGTTAGAGTGAAATGTGAAGAACATGAAAGAGAGTTTCAAGGAGGTGAATGAAGATTAGAGAAGTAGAAAAGAAGGTCTAGGAAAAAAGGCCAAAAGGAGGCTGAGAGTGAACTTGATAATATTCTTTCCATATGAAGATCAATGTTCTCTCTCTACAGAGACAGAAGCAGGAGAGAACAGTGAACATGTTAAATTGGATTTGGTGTGAGGATTATTAGACCTAGGATAATTGTGGATTTCCCTCCTGGAGACTTTGAAAAAACAAAAATTGTTTCTTCTCTTTAAGAAACAGTGTAACAGTAGTCTTATCTGATAGCACAGAGCTGGAATAGGTGACTTCTCCTAGGGGATTTTTTTTTTTTTTTGAGACGGAGTCTCGCTCTGTCGCCCAGGCTGGAGTGCAGTGGCGGGATCTCGGCTCACTGCAAGCTCCGCCTCCCGGGTTCTCGCCATTCTCCTGCCTCAGCCTCCCAAGTAGCTGGGACTACAGGCGCCCGCCACTACGCCCGGCTAATTTTTTGTATTTTTAGTAGAGACGGGGTTTCACCGTTTTAGCTGGGATGGTCTCGATCTCCTGACCTCGTGATCCGCCCGCCTCGGCCTCCCAAAGTGCTGGGATTACAGGCGTGAGGGGATTTTTCCTGGTGGATAATTTATTAGCTCTTAATTCTCTCTTTAAACCCTTACCTATTGTAATCTGTTCAGTGAACTCAAAATTCCTAGGGGGCACAACTGTTATGTTAATGATGAGTGATATGTGAGGGTGCAAGTCATCTGTCTAATTACATTGTTCCTAACTTCAATTTCTTCACCTTTTAACTGTCTTTCCTTGGAAATAAATTCTCTCAATTAGGTTGGTCATTGAAGTATGCCATTTTAAAAACATTTTTTTATTTTCCTTTAAGTTCTGGGATACATGTGTAGAATGTACAGGTTTGTTACATTGGTATACATGTGCCATGGTGGTTTGCTACACCTATCAACCCATCATCTAGGTTTTAAGCCCCACATGTGTTAGGTGTTTGTCCCATTGCTCTTTCTTCCCTTTACCCCAACCCCTCGACAGGCCCTGGTGTGTGATGTTCCCCTCCCTGTGTCCATGTGATCTCATTGTTCAACTCCCACTTGTGAGTGAGAACATGCAGTGTTTGGTTTTCTGTTCTTGTGTTAGTTTGCTGAGAATGATAGTATCCAGCTTCATCCATGTCCCTGCAAAGGATATGAACTCATTCTTTGTTATGGCTGCATAGTATTCCATGGTGTATATGTGCCACATTTTCTTTATCCAGTCTATCACTGATGGGCATTTAGGTTAGTTCCAAGTCTTTGCTATTATAAATAGTGCTGCAATAAACATACATGTGCATGTGTCTTTATAGCAGAATGATTTATAATCCTTTGGGTATATACCCAGTAATGGGATTGCTGGGTCAAATGGTATTCCTGGTTCTAGATCCTTGGGGAATCGCCACTCTGTCTTCCACAATGGTTGAGCTAATTTACACACCCACCAACAGTGTAAAAGTGTTCCTATTTCTTCACATCCTTGCCAGCATCTGTTGTTTCCTGACTTTTTAATGATTGCCATTCTAACTTGCATGAGATGGCATCTCATTGTGGTTTTGATTTGCATTTCTCTAATGACCAGTGAAGATGAGCTTTTTTTTCACATGTTTGTTGGCTGCATAAATGTCTTCTTTTGAGAAGTGTCTGTTCATATCCTTTGCCCACTTTTTGATGGGGTTGTTTGTTTTTTTCTTATAAATTTGTTTAAGTTCCTTGTAGATTCTGGATATTAGACCTTTGTCAGGTGGAAAGATTGCAAAAATTTTCTCCTATTCTGTAGATTGCCTATTAACCCTGATTATAGTTTCTTTTGCTGTGCAGAAGCTCTATAGTTTAATTAGATCTCATTGGTCAATTTTTGCTTTCGTTGCAGTTGCTTTTGGTGTTTTCATCATGAAATCTTTGCCCATGCCAATGTATTACCCAGGTTTTCTTCTAGGGTTTTTATGGTTTTGTGTTTTACATTTAAGTCTTTAGTGCATCTTAAGTTAATTTTTGTATAAGGTATAAGGAAGGGGTCCAGTTTCAGTTTTCTGCATATGTCTAGCCAGTTTTCCCAGCACCATTTATTAAATAGGGAATCCTTTCCCCATTGTTGTTCTTGTCAGGTTTGTGGAAGATCAGATGGTTGTGGATGTGTGGTGTTATTTCTGAGGCCTCTGTTCTGTTCCATTGGTCTATATATCTGTTTTGGTACCAGTACCATGCTGCTTTGGTTACTGTAGCCTGGTAGTATAGTTTGAGGTCAGGTAGCATGATGTCTCTAGCTTTGTTATTTTTGCTTAGGATTGTCTTGGCTATATGGGCTCTCTTTTGGTTCCGTATAAAATTTAAAGTAGTTTTTTCCAATTCTGTGAAGAAAGTCAATGGTAGCTTGATGGGACTAGCATTGAATCTATAAATTACTTTGGGCATTATGGCCATTTTCACTCTTGATTCTTCCTATCCATGAGCATGGAATTTTTTTTCCATTTGTTTGCATCCTATAATATTTCCTTGAGCAGTGGTTTGTAGTTCTCCTTGAAGAGGTCCTTCACATCCCTTGTAAGTTGTATTCCTAGGTATTTTATTCTCTCTGTAGCAATTGTGAATGGGAAGTCACTCATTATTTGGCTCTCTGTTTGTCTGTTATTGGTGTATAGAAATGCTTGTGATTTTTGCACATTGATTTTGAATCCTGAGACTTTGCTGAAGTTGCTTATCAGCTTGAAGAATTTTTGGGCTGAGACGTTGGGGTTTTCTAAATATACAATCATGTCATCCACAAACAGAGACAATTTGACTTCCTGTCTTCCTATTTGAACACCTTTTATTTCTTTCTCTTGCCTGATTGCCCTGGCCAGAACTTCCAATACTGTGTTGGATAGGAGTGGTGAGAGAGGGCATCCTTATTGGAAGTTTGCCATTTATTCTTCCATCTTTATTTAAGCTACAATGCCATCAGCATCAGTGGCTTGAGTAAGGAATGGACTTTAGAAATACATACTCACATGTTGAACCCATGTATTTTAAAAGATTGTACATGTTATGTTCTCTATATATTCAACTTTTTATTTTCCAAATGTCATGTATTCCGTCATCTCATCGCAGAGTAGCTTACCAGGAGGAAGTGAAGCTCATTCCCTCAGTGGCCCTGGCTCTTTGCCTCAGCACTTAGTATTGTATAGTCGACCCATATTTTTGACAACAGCTGCTGCTTCATGCTTTTTCCTCTGAGTCCTTCCCTGATTATCTGGCAGGACAAACTTCATCCTGGGGTTGGCACTTTTAGCCGTTAGCCTAAAGCTGTTGGAAACCTGGGAAATAAGCACATATTAATCAATCATGCCCTGATGTTCATTTATTGTCATTCTGTGTTTGCAGCTCATAGGCTTTGATTTAGGCTCAAATATTCTTTTAAGGAAGCAAATGACTTGTGGCTCCGAGGAGGAATCAGTACATGCTCAATGTGATCAAATGATAGCTCAAGTTCCATTGCATTCATGGTAACAACTCCTCCTATCTATAATACCCACTCTTCCTTGTGCTCATTTCCCTCTCTCCCACTTTGCATTGTCTAAAGAGCAACCCTGGTATAAGTTTTATAAAGTAAAAGTGGTAAATTTCATTCTGAGTTTTCCCTTAGAAACATTGTTACCAGGCTGGGCATGGTGGCTCACGCCTGTAATCCCAGCACTTTGGGAGGCTGAGGTGGGCGGATCACGAGGTCAGGAGATCGAGACCATCCTGACCAACACAGTGAAACCCCGTCTCTACTAAAAATACAAAAAAAATTAGCCAGGCATGGTGGCGGGAGCCTATAGTCCCAGCTACTCAGGTGGCTGAGGCAGGAGAATGGCATGAACCCAGGAGCAGAGGTTGCAGTGAGCCAAGATTGCACCACTGCACTCCAGTCTGGGCGACAGAGCAAGACCCCGTCTCAAAAAAAAAAAAAAGTTACCATGGAAGTTTTGATTTGTAGTTGATGCACAACTTTAAAAAATCACCTTAAAAACTCTTTCTAATAGATTGTAAGTGATTTATAGTAGAGCATGGGGGAAGGCAGTATTAGAATCTTGATAGCTGATACTAGAATTCTTCTTCAACTGAGAACTGTCCCTAAAAGGAAGTCAGTTTAAATCGGTTAATAAGATCCCAGGATAAAAAGTGAGCCCCTGAGGGCAGGGCTTGCTGAAGGAGGGAAGAAAATAGACAATGAACTTGTTCTGCCAAGAAATAAATAGGAATGGGAGTGTGGCAGTTAAAGGGAAATGAGAGAGATGATGGCCAAGTCACACGGGTATGTGGGTGAAGAATTTAAGAACAGGAATTTCTTATATTTGATTTAAATGGGTTGCCTTTATATGTTCAACCCCTTCATTATTGATAATTCAATAAAATCTATTATTTATGTAAAAGCCCTTTAAGAGTGATTATTTTTAATTGAGGCCAAATTCTGTTTCTGGATTGATAAGGCAAGGGATGGGAAGGATCTGAGATGGCTGATTAGAAGCAGCTCCAGTCTGTGGCTCCCACTGAGAACAAAAACAGCAAGTGAATCCTACAGCTTCAGCTGAGGTATCCAGGTTCTCTCACTGGGACTGACTAGGCAGTTAGCACAACCCACGGAAAGTGAGGAAAAGTAGGGTGAACAACTACCCAGCTGGGAGCCTCACAGGGTAAGGGGAACTCCCATCCCCAGCTAAAGGAGGTGGTGGGTGACTGTGCTACCCTGTTAGGGAAGCCACACTTTTGCCACAGATCTGTGCAACCCATGGATCAGGAGATCCTCTTGTGAGTCCACACCACCAGGGCCTTGGGTCCCAAGCACAGAGCTGTGCAGACTCTTGGTGGCCTCTCACATATGCTGGAGACTGCCTAAGATGATCAAGTTCTCTGAGGGAGGGGAGGCTGCCATCACTGCAGCTCCAGTGGGCTATTTTCCCCTGCTGGTGCTGGGGGGACTGGGCAGTTTGGACCAGAAGGAATTCCCTACAGTGCAGCACAGCGGCTGTGGCAGATTGTGACCAGACTGCTTCTTTAGGTAGGACCTGGATCCATTCCTCCTCACCAGTGGGGCCTTCCTTTGAGAATTTCAGCCACTCCAACCAGGGGTTTACAGACAGAACTCTGATTTCCCTTGGACAGAGCCCCTGTGGGGAGGGGTGGCCATGGTTTCTGGTTCAGAAGACTTAGTCTTTTCCTCTGCTGGCTCTGAGGAATCCAGGCAGTCTGGACAAGTGGGATTCCCCCAGCACAGTGCATCCCATCTGTCAAGGGGCAGCCAGAATGCTTCATTAAGTGGGTTCTGGATCCCATGCCTCCTTACTGGGTGAGACCTCCCAATAGAGGTTGTCAAACACCTTATACAGGAGTGTTCCCACCAGCATCAGCTTGGTGCCCCTCTGGGACAGAGATCCCACAGGAAGGACAAGGAAGCCATCTTTGCTGTTCTGAAGCCTCCATTGGTGATACCTCCAGGTGCAGGAGGGGCCCAGGTGAATAGGCTCTGCAGTGGACCACCAGCAGACCACAGCAGCCCTATGGAAGAGGAGCCTGACTTTTAAAAGAAAAACAAACAAACAGAAAGCAACAACAACAATAACAACAACAATATCAACAAAAAAGAACCCACAAAAATCCCAACAAAATGTCAGCAGCCTCAAAGATCAAAGGTAGATAAACCTATGAAGATGAGAAAAAATCAGCGCAAAAACATGGACAAATAAAAAAGTCAGACTGCCTCTTCTCCTCCAAATGATTGCAACACCTCTCCAGCAAGGGCACAGAACTGGGCTGAGGCTGAGATGGATGAATTGACAGAAGTAGACTTCACAAGGTGGGTAATAGTGAACTTCACTGAGTTAAAGGGGTATATTCTAACCCAATGCAAAGAAGCTAAGAATGATGATAAAACATTACATGAGCTGTTAACCAGAATAACCATTTTAGAGAGGAACATAAATGACCTGATGGAGCTAAAAAGCACAACACGAGAACGTCACAATGCAACCACAAGTATCAATAGCTGAATAGACCAAGCAGAGGAGAGAATCTCAGAGCTTGAAGATTATCTTGCTGAAATATGACAGGCAGACAAAATTAGACAACAATGAATAAAAAGGAACAAACAAAACCTCCGAGAATTATGGGATTATATAAAAAGACCTAACCTATGAATGATTGGGGTACCTAAAAGAGATTGGGAGAATGGAACCAAGTTGGAAAACATACTTCAGGATATCATCCAGGAGCACTTCCCCAGCCTAGCAAGACAGGCCAACATTCAAATTCAGGAAATCCAGAGAACCCCAGTAAGATACTCTATGAGAAGATAAACCCAAAGACACATAATCATCAGATTTTCCAAGGTCAGAATGAAGGAAAAAATGTCAAGAGCAGACAGAGAGAAAGGCCAGGTCACCTACAAAGGGAATCCCATCAAACTAACAGTGGACCTCTCAGCAGAAACCCTACAAACCAGAAGAGATTGGAGGACAATATTCAACATTCTTAAAGAAAAGAATTTCCAACCCAGAATTTCATATCTGGCCAAACTAAGCTTCATAAGCAAAAGATAAACAAAATCATTTTCAGACAAGCAAATGCTGAGGGAATTCATCACCACCAGGCCTGCCTTGCAAGAGCTCCTCAGGAAGCATTGAATATGGAAAGAAAAAACTGTTACCAGCCTCTACAAAAACACACTGAAGTACACAGACCAATAACCCTATGAAAAAACTACATTAACAAGTCTGAAAAATAACTAGCCAGCATCATGATGACAGTATTAAATTCACACATAGCAATATTAACCTTCAATGTAAATGAGCTAAATGTCCCAATTAAAAGACACAGAATGGCAAGCTGGATAAATTAGAGTCAAGACCCATTGGTGTACTGTATTCAAGAGACCCATCTCACTTGCAAAGACACACATAGGCTCAAAAGAAAAGGATGAAGGAAAATTTATCAAGCAAATGGAAAGCAGAAAAAACCAGGGGTTGCAATCCTAGTTTCTGACAAAACAGACTTTAAACCGACAAAGATCAAAAAAGACAAAGAAGGGCGTTACATTAGTGGTAAAGGATTCAATTCAACAAGAAGAGCTAACTATCCTATATATATATGCATCCAATACAGGAGCACCCAGGTTCATTAAAACAAGTTCTTAGAGACCTACAAAGAGACTTAGACGCCTGCATAATAATAGTGAAAGACTTTAACACCTTGTTGTCAATATTAGATCATCAAGAAAAAAAATTTTTTAAAGATATTCAGGACTTGAACTCAGCTGTGGATCAAGTGAACCTGATGGAAATCTGCAGAACTCTCTACCCAAAAACAACAGAATATACATTCTTCTCGGTGCTACATGGCACTTACTCTAAACTTGATCACATAATTGGAAGTAAAACACTCCTCAGCAAATGCAAAAGAACTGAAATCATAACAAACTATCTCTCAGAAAACAGCGCAATTAAATTAGAACTCAAGATTTAAAAACTCACACAAAACCACACAACTACATGGAAATTGAACAAACTGCTCCTGAATGACTCCTGGGTAAATAATGAAATTAAGGCATAAAACAAGAAGTTCTTTGAAACTAGTGAGAACAAGGAGACAACATACCAGAATCTCTGGGATGTAGCTAAAGCAGTGTTAAGAGGGAAATTTAGAGCGCTAAATGACCACATCAAAAAACTAGAAAGATCTCAAATCAACATCCTAATGTCACAACTAAAAGAACTAGGGAACCAAGAGCAAACAGACCCCAAAGCTAGCAGAAAACAAGAAATAACTAAGATCAGAGTGAAACTGAAGGAGATAGACATGAAAAACCCTTAAAAAATCAATGAATCCAGGAGCTGGGTTTTTTGAAAACATTAATAAAATATATAGACCACTAACTAGATTAATAAAAAAGAAAAGAGAGAAGAATCAAATGGACACAATAAAAAATGATAAAGGGGATATCACCACTGACCCCACAGAAATACATACAACCGTCAGAGAATACTATAAACACCTCTGTGCAAATGCATTAGAAAATCTAAAAGAAATGGATATATTCCTGGACACATACGCCCTCCCAAGACTGAACCAGGAAGAAGTTGAATCCCTGAATAGACCAATAATGAGTTCTGAAATTGAGGCAATAATAAATAGCCTACCAACCAAAAAAAGCCCAGGACCAGATGGACTCACAGCTAAATTCTGCCAGAGGTGCAAAGAGGAGCTGGTACCATTTCTTCTGAAACTATTCCAAACAATTGAAAAGGAGGGACTCCTCCCTAACTCATTTTATGGGGCCAGCATCATCCTGATACCAAAACCTGGCAGAGATAAACAAAAAAAAGAAAACTTCACGCCAATATCCCTGATGAACATTGATGCAAAAATCCTTAGTAAAATACTGGCAAACTGAATCCAGCAGCACATCAAAAAGCTTATCCACCGCAATCAAGTTGGCTTTATCCCTGGGATGCAAGGCTGATTCAACATATACACACTAACAAATGTAATTCATCATATAAATGGAACTGAAGACAAAAATCACATGATTATCTTAATAGATGCAGAAAAGGCCTTCAATAAAAATGAACGTCCCCTCATGTTAAAAACTCTCAATAAACTAGGTATTGAAGGAACATATTTCAAAACAATAAGAGCCATTTTTGACAAACCCACAGCCAATATCATACTGAATGGGCAAAAGCTGGAAGCATTCCTCTTGAGAACTGGCACTAGATAAGGCGGCCCTCTCTTGCCACGCCTATTCAACATAGTATTGGAAGTTCTGGCCAGGGCAATTAGGCAAGAGAAAGAAATAAAGGGTATTCAAATAGGAAGAGAGGATGTCAAATTGTCTCTGTTTGCAGATGACATGATCCTATAACTAGAAAACCCCATCATCTCAGCCCAAAAACTTCTTAAGCTGATAAGCAACTTTAGCAAAGTCTCAGGATACAAAATCTATGTGCAAAAATCACAAGCATTATGTTCTCACTCATAAGTGGGAGCTGAAAAATGAGAACACATGGACACAGAGAGGGGATTAACAAACATTGGGGCCTATTGGTGGGGGCAGGGGGAGGGAGAGTATCAGAAAAAATAGCTAATGCATGCTGGGCTTAATATTTAGGTGATGGGTTTATAGGTGCAGCAAACCACCACGACACACATTTACCTATGTAACAAACCTGCACATTCTGCACATGCACCCCAGAACTAAAATTGAAAAAAAAATCACAAGTATTCCTATACACCAACAATAGACAAGCAGAGAGCCAAATCATGAATGAGCTCCCATTCACAATTGCTACAAAGGGAATAAAATACCCAGGAATACAACTAACAAGGGAAGTGAAGGACCTCTTCAAGGAGAACTACAAAACACTGCTCAAGGAAATCAGAGAGGACACTAACAAATGGAAAAACATTCCATGCTCATGGATAGGAAGACTCAATATTGTGAAAATGGCCATACTCCCCAAAGTAATTTATAGATTCAATGCTAGTCCCATCAAGCTACCATTGACATTCTTCTCAGAATTAGAAAAAACTATTTTAAAATTCATGTGGAACCAAAAAAGAGCCCCTATAACCAAGACAATCCTAAGCAAAAAGAACAAAGCTGGAGGCATCATGCTACCCAACTTCAAACTGTACTACAAGGCTACAGTAAACAAAACAGCATGGTACTGGTACAAAAACAGACAGACCAATGGAACATAATAGAGAACTCAGAGATTAGACCGCACATCTACAACCATCTGATCTTCAACAAACCTGACAAAAACAAGCAATGGGGAAAGGATTGCCTATTTAATAAATGGTGCTGGGAGAACTGGCCAGCCATATGCAGAAAACTGACACTGGAGCCCTTCTTTACACCTTATACAAAAATTAATTCAAGATGCACCAAAGACTTAAATGTAAAACCCAAAACTATAAAAACCCTAGAGGAAAATCTAGTCAATACCATTCAGGACATAGGCACAGGCAAAGATTTCATGATGAAAACACCAAAAGCAATTGCAACAAAAGCAAAAATTGACAAATGAGATCTAATTAAGCTAAAGAGCTTCTGCACAGCAAAATAAACTGTCATCAAAGTGAACAGGCAACCTACAGAATGGGAGAAAATTCTTGCAGTCTATCCATCTGACAAAGGTCTAATATCCAGAATCTACAAGGAACTTAAATATATTTATAAGAAAAAGACAAATGACTCCATTAAAAAGTGGGCAAAGGACATGAACAGACACTTCTCAAAAGAAGACATCTATGCAGCCAACGAACATATATAAAAAAGCTCAATATCACTGATTGATATTGAAATGCAAATCAAAACCACAATGAGATACCATCTCACACCAGTCAGAATGACGATTATTAAATAGTCAAGAAACAACAGATGCTGGTGAGGCTGCAGAGAGATAGGAATGCTTTTACACTGTTGGTGAAAATGTAAATTAGCTCAACTATTGTGGCAGACAGTGTGGTGATTCTTTAAAGAGCTAGAACTGGAAATACCATTTGACCCAGCAATCCCATTACTGGGTATATACCTACAGGAATATAAATCATTCTATTATAAAGATACATACATGGGTATATTCATTGTAGTACTATTCACAATCGCAAAGACATGAAATTGACCCAAATGCCCATTAATGATAGACTGGATGAAGAAAATGTGGCACGTATACTGTGTACCATGGAATACTATTCAGCCATAAAAAGGAATGAGACTATGTCCTTTGAAGGGACATGGATGGACCTGGAAGCCATTATCCTCAACAAACTAACACAGGAACAGAAAACCGAACACTGCATGTTCTCAACCATAAGTAGGAGCTGAATAATGAGACTACATGGACACAGGGAGGGAACAACACATACTGGAGCCTGTTGGGAGTAGGGGGAAGGGAGAGCATCAGGAAAAATAGCTAAGGCATACTGGGCTTAATATTTAGGTAATGGGTTGATAGGTGCAGCAAACCACTATGGCACATGTTTACCTGTGTAACAGAGATGCACATCCTGCATATGTACCCTGGAACTTAAATAAAATAAAATTTAAAACATAAGACAAAAGAAAGAGACAAGCGGCAGATAATTTATGAACTGTATTTATTCAGTAGAGTTTGTTCTCCTTTTCTCTTGCCCCACTCTGAAATTTGCAGAAAACCTGGAGATAGATTAGACTTTCCTAGGCATAGAATCAGGATTCTAGAAAATCACATTTGTATCTTAAAGAGAAGGAAGACCTCAACTGACATCCAGGTTACTGCTGTTATACCGTGTAGTACAAAGCTTTCTGAAATGGATGCAATCTAATTCGAGAAATTACATAATGTAGTGGATTGAATGGGGCTTACCCCCATTTCTCCTTGAAAAAAAAAAAGATATGTCTACTTGGAACCTGTGAATGTGACCTTACTTGAAAAAAGGTCTTTGCAGATGTAATTAAGTTAGGCATCTTGAGATGAGATCATCCTGGATTATGTTGGGCCCTAAATCCAACGGCAAGTGTCCTTATATAAAAAGAGAAGGGTAGAGTACACAGAGAAAAAGACCATGTGAAGATAAAAGCAGTGATTGGAGTTATGCTGTCACAGGCCAGGGTTACCTGGAGCCACAGAAACTGGCAGAGGCAAGGAAGGATGATCTCTTATTGCTTTAGAGGGATCGTGACCTTGCTAACACCTTGATTTCAAGGTCTCCAGACAAGAAGAGTATACATTTCTGATGTTTTAAGCTGCCTACTTTGTGGTAATTTGCTATGGCAGCCCTAGGAAACTAATACAGATAGTAACCCACTAGCCAAATCCAAGTTAATATTAATCTGTGGTGCTCTCTCTTTATCAATCTTGCTCAATTTTTATTGTAGGGAGTCAAGAACTAAAGAACAGCTTCAATAGGGTCATACAATTCAAAATTCTTTGAGGGAAGTCCTCACCAGAGCAACCTGGCAAGAGAAAAACATAAGAGGCATCCAAATTGGAGAAGAGGAAATCGCATTATCCCTGTTTGTTGATGGTATGATCATATGCCTAGAAAACCCTAAAGACTTCACCAAAAACCTCTTAGATTTGTACAGAAATCAATAGCATTTCTATACACCAATAACAGTCTAGCTGAGGATCAAATCAAGAAGGCAATTGCATTTATAATAGCTACCAGAAAATGAAATACATAAAAATAAGTTTAACCTAGGAGGTGAAAAATCTCTACAAGGAGAACCACAAAATACTGATGAAAGAAATCATAGATGACACGAACAAATAGAAAAACATTTCATGCTCATGGATTGGAAGAATCAATGTTATTAAAATAAACATACTCCAGCCTGGGCAAGATGGCGACCCTCCTATCTACAAAAAATATTAAAAAATTAGCCAGGTGTGGTGGTGCATAGCTGTAGTCCCAGCTACTTGGGAGGTTAAGGTGGGAGAATCGCTTGAGCCCAGGAGGCAGAGGTTGCAGTGAGCTGAGATCGTGCCACAGCACTCCAGCCTGGGTAACAGAGTAAGACCCTGTCTAAAAACAACAACAACAAACAAAACAAAAAAACAAACATACTACCTGAAATAATCTACAGACTCGATGCAGCCCCTATCAAATTACCATCATTTTTCACAGAATTAGAAAAAACAACCCTAAAATTCATATAAAATAAAAAATAGCCTGAATAGCCAAGGCAATTCTAAGCAAAAAGAACAAAGTTTAAGGTATCGCATTTACCTGACTTCAAATTATACTACAATGCTATAGTAACCAAAACAGCATGGTAGTGATATAAAAATAGACAGATAAATAGGAACCCGAAAATAAGGCCACATACCTACAACCAACTGATCTTTGACAAAGTCAACAAGAATATACACTGGGGAAAGAACACTTTATTCAATAAGTGGTGCTGGGAAAATTGGATTGCCATATGCAGAAGAATGAAACTGGACCCATACCTCTTACCATATACAATGATTTACTCAAGATGGAGTAAAGACTTAAACATAAGACCTGAAACTATAAAAACACTAGAAGAAAACCTAGGAAAAACTCTTCTGCACACTGATCTAGACAATTTATGACTAAGTCTTCAAAGACAAATGCAACAAAAACAAAAATAGACAAATGGGACTTAATTAAACTAAAATGTTTCTGCACAGTGAAAGAAATAGTCAACAGAGTAAACAACCTACAGAATGGGAAAAAAAATTTGCAAACTATGCATCTGACAAAGGGCTAATGTCCAGAACCTACAAAGAACTTAAACAACTCAAGAAGAAGAAAAAAATAATAAAAAAAATCATTAAAAAGGCAAAGTACATGAACAGACATTTTTGAAAACAAGACATCCACTTGGCCAAGAAACATGAAAAAAATGTCAGTAATCTTCAGAGAAATGCTAATTGAAATCACAACGAGATAGCGTCTTACACCAGTCTGGATGGCTATTGTTAAAAGGTCAAAAAATAACAGATGTTGGTAACGATGCAGAGTAAAGGGAATGCTTATACACTGTTAGTGGGGATTGTAAATAAGTATAACCTTTACAGCAAACAATATGGAGATTCCTTAAATAACTAAAAATAAAACTACCATTAGATTCAGCAATCCTACTACTGAGTATCTACACAAAGGGAAAAAAATCATTATACTAAAAAGATATCTCCACTTCTATGTTAATTGCATCACTATTTACAAGAGTGAAGACATGGAATCAACCTACGTGTCCATCAGTGAGGAATAGGACAAATTTAATATGTGGTGTATTTATACCACGGACTACTACTCAGCCTTTAAAAAGAATAAAATCATGTCTTTTGCAGCAACATGGATGGAACTGGAGGCCACTATTCTAAGTGAAATAACTCAGAAACAGAAAGTCAAATAGTAGAAGGTAAACAGTGGGAACACAGGGACATTCAGAGCGGAATAGTGGACATTGGACACTACAAAAGATGGGAAGGTGGGGAGGGGGATGAGGTTGAAAAATTGCCTGTTTGGTACAATGTACACTATTTGGGCAATGGGCACACTAGAAACCCAGACTTTACCACTACACGATATATGCATGTAAGAAATCTGCACTGGTACCCCTAAATCTATACAAATAAAAAAATTTTTAAAACTCATTGGAAACATTTTTGGGCCATTTTGCAGGAGAATTAAGTGATTTCGTTTTTTTTGTTTTTTTTTTTTTGTTTTTTTGGTTTTTTTTAAGCAGTGAATCCAGAGATGATGGCATTGCTCCTGCCTTTGTTATTCCATAAGTAGCATGTTGGAGAGTCCATTGTGGATCTTCTGGCTGTCTTTGCAATTGGGATCTTGTTCTTTGAAAATAACTGGGCAAGGATGTTTATGCAAGGTTGATGACAAGTGCTTGAAGTAGTAATATGAGTTTAATCTGTCAAGCCCTGGAAGTGAACATGCCTCCTGGAATAGCACTAAGTCAAGCCTTGCCCTACTCTCCCTCATTGTCTCATAGGAAGGAGCCAATGCTGACCAGTTGTGGCCTCCATGACCACTAAGCCTTAAGTTCCCTCTTGATGGAGAGGGGCTTTTATGAAGAGTTGGAAATAGTCCTTGTTGGTTGTATATTATTCTGTGAAATGAAAGCAGCAGAGGCCTTCCTTGCCAGATGTGAGGAAGCAAAAAAAAAAAAAAAAAAAAAAAAAAATCTCTGCCTTGTAATGTGGGCATTTGCTGCTGGGAGTGTCTCCTGCTGCTGAGCAATTCTAAACAAACATTGTGGGAAGTTAACAACAAAGAAACATAAGGAGGGAAGTTTTGGAGGCAAAGGTACAGAATAAGGATGAACATGAAAATTACTGAAATAAGTACTGAACCAATGTACAAAGTAAACACAACTTTATAAAAAGACACCCTTGTGTTGATGGGAAGCTGAAGTGTCAGCAATACAGACTACACGGACAGTCATTTCTCTGATGCCCGACATGGCAATATCTTCTGTAGCTTCTAATTCTTTTTGTGTTCCACAGTCAGCAAAAAAGGAGGCACTTGCATGAATGAATGAGATTGTATTAAGGACACAAGCCATGTTCATATTCTCTATTGCTCTTTGGGCTCCTGAGAGAATTTTTTTCCCCCTTTTTGCCTATTTCTGGATTCTTGGCAAAGTTCCATCTGGGAGAGATTGCCCACAAAGAAAGACATTAGTCACTCTGACACCTAACACTCCGAGAAACGAAGCAGAACAGCCCAGAGTGAGGCAGGCTACAGGAGTCAGAACTTTGCCAAGCCCTTAATTAGGGGCAGAGTAACCTTAGCCATTTCCCATCTATGTCTCTTTTGAACCATAGCTACTAACTTGTATCTTTTTTCAAAAGGATTTAACACTTACATTTATCCAGGAATTATCCAGGAAACTGCTAATTTTATTTGTCCTTTCAGCCTGTTATTTTAGGTTAAATCTATTAAGGCAAATTATTAAGGCTGTAACCGTAAGCCCACCAATTTTCCCAGGCCTCATTGTAAATAGCGTTATAGTAAGGTCCTATTTAAGCAGCTCCTAAATAATCAGAAGCCTCCATTAATCTGCAGTGTTTTTACTATGCTCCATTGTTTTGTGGGGGAGTGGGGCAGGGTAACAGAATCAATTAAACAACTTCATCACAGGGAGTTAAAAAGGCATAAAACACCTTTCAGGATATGCCTTCCACGTTTTCTTCATGTGTAGACAATATAATTACTCTCAGAGTCATTGAGAATTGGGGCTAAAAAAGGCTTTGGAAAATGTCATCCAAACATTACCTAAAGTCCAACCATCTTTTTAAATAAATGAGGATACAGGGAACCGGATATAAATTGTAATGTCTAAAGCTTCGGGCTCATCAGGGCTGAGCTGGACCTAGAACACAGACCTCTTCATTCCCAAGCTGACTGTTTTATTTGGTGTAATGGCCTGAAGCAGTTTCTAGATTATCATTTGCCAAATAAAATTTTCACTTCCTTATACTTAGTAAAGCAAGAAAATTAATACATTTTTGAAAGGACAGTGAAAACAGAGACAGTGCTGCTCAATCTTAAAGAGAACTGCCAATTATTCAGAATATGCTAAAGCTGCTGCTTTTTTGCTCTCTAAAATCTGCTATTTGTGTTCCTTTTTTTTTTTTTTTTTTTTTTTTTTTTTTTTAACTAGAGGCAGTAGAGTTCAGGATCCTGTTTTCACATGCGGGATATATTTCTAAAGAACTTACCGGGTAATTCAGGACTAATATTCTCATTGGATGAAATGTAAAGAAAATGTAAAGACAGCACATTTTTCAGAGCGGGATTAATCTGAGGATTAATCTGCTGCTCTAGGGGCCTGTTCCTGTGCCCTTATTCTAATAGCCATTTTACCAACCCTTTTCTCCTCTCCTCCATTATTCTTGCCCCATTGGCTCTCCCTCTTACAAGCTATGTTTTCTTGGACAAGTAACTTAACCTCTCTGTGTCTCAGTTTCCTCATCTGTAAAGGTAATGATGCTCTGCACCTCATAGGGTTGCTATCCCTTGTAGGGATGTTTCAATGGATAATTTATTGTGTGTTATGCTGTATTAGTCCATTTTCATACTGCTGTAAAGAAATACCCGAGACTGGGTAATTTATAAAGAAAAAGAAGTTTGATGGACTTACAGTTCCCCATGGCTGGGAAGGCCTCACAATCACAGCAGAAAGTGAAGGAGGACCAAAGGCACATCTTACGTGGTGGCAGGCAAGAGAGCATGTGCAGGGGAACTGCCCTTTTATAGAACCATCAAATCTCATGAGACTTATTCACTATCACTAGAACAGCACGGGAAAAACCCACCCCCATGATTCAATTACCTCCCACTGGGTCCCTCCCATGACACATGGGGATTATGGGAGCCACAGTTCAAGATGAGATTTGGGTGGGGACACAGCCAAACCATATCACATATGGAATTAGATTTGGTTGCATATATATAGCATATATATATAAGACAAAATAACAGTGGCTCAAACAAAGTAGAAATGTATTTCTTGCTTGAATTACAAAAAGTCTGAAGGCAGGCACCCAGGGCTGCTGTGGCAGCTTTTTTTTGTTTTTTAATTATTATTATTTTTTATTATACTTTAAGTTTTAGGGTACATGTGCACAATGTGCAGGTTAGTTACATATGTATACATGTGCCATGTTGGTGTGCTGCATCCAGTAACTTGTCATTTAACATTAGGTATATCTCCTAATGCTATCCCTCCCCCCTCCCTCCACCCCACAACAGGCCCCGGTGTGTGATGTTCCCCTTCCTGTGTCCATGTGTTCTCATTGTTCATTTCCCACCTATGAGTGAGAACATGCGGTGTTTGGTTTTTTTCCTTGCGGTAGTTTGCTGGCAGCTTTAACAGGACTGCAGTGTCTGTGTTTCTCCTCTGCCGTCCCTGTACAAGCAAAGCCTGCCCATCCCATACCTGTGACCCTCCCTTTTCTCTGGTGGTCACATCCTCTGAAACCCCCCAGCATTCCTGTGCCACAGCTGGCTGCTCAGTGCTCCTCAGCCAAGCTTTGTTTCACCTGGGGAGTTTCTTTTCACTGTCAACTTGGGAACATCCATTTGGAAAGAAGGAGAATAAAATTTACACGTAGGCAATGATGGTGGCTAGACCATCTTTAAGAAATTAACCTCCCATACTTGCCTTCATCTCTCCTCTGCTGTCTCTGCTTTCTTCCCCCAACTTCTCTTAGTTATGCCATTACTTTTACCCTGTTGTAATTTGTAACATTTACATCTTATTCTGTCACCATATGTATCTTTAATATTTTATTCATGACTGATGTTAATAAGAGATAAACATTATTGATGGTTAATTTTGGACATAATTTTTTTTTAGTCAGATTCTCAGCTGTCATCTTGGAATGATTTTTCTATTGATCTCTTGAGTTTTTCACTGTCTTTTGACTCTCATGTCTTTACCTTTTTTGGATTCTTTCTGCATTGCTGGAGCCTATCCTCATTGTTTTCAGAAAGTAGGCATGAGACATAAATCGTCTGCATCATTGCATACATAAACATATCAGTATTTTGTCCTCAAAATCACTAGTCTGAATTTCATAGAATTCTAAATTCAAAATAGTTTTCCTTCAGACTTTTGAAAGCGTGGCTCTATTGACTTCTAGAATCAAGTTATTCTGATGTCCAAAGCCAATCTGATTTGCATTCTCTTTTTACAGGACACACTATACTTTGGCTTTTATCTTGGTATTTGACCCAGTTTTGCCATTAGGTTTTGGTTTCAGCCACTGTAAGTCAAAATAAGTGAGACTTCGATGTCATTTCTGGCATCACTGAACTTGTGCATGATCAATTATGTTCTTGAATAAGTTTCTTAATATAAAATTAGTCCAATAATGGAATTAGAAGAAAGGCATATTGTTCAGATTATTGTTACTATTTAGATCCTTACTTTCAAATATAGCTAAGTACCTTAGGTATAACTTTTAGCAAGAAAAAAATTCTTTACATTCTGAAATTCTATCATAGTAAAAATGTGCAAATATTATAAGACTAACACGGCACACTAACAATTGACAATGATTGTCAGAATATCAGTTTTATGGATTAAAAATAATTATTAAGAACTTTAAAATACACAAACAAGAAACTAAGTTGAGAGTTAATATGACTATTAGAAATGGTGTTTCAGCTGGGAAATCCCCAGGTCTTTCTCCTCAACTCAGGCAACTGTTTGGTTTGCCCTGCCTGGCTTCTCATTACCTGTGCCATGTCTGGGAAGCTCTCCCAAGTTGTAAGCTGTGGGGCTTGGTTGCAGGCTCACCTTATTCATTTCCAATTTCTCAAGGATCATTGTCCTTTGTTCCTTGATGTCCAATGTCTTCAAAAAAAAATGTTTCATTTGTTTTGTCTGGTGTTTTAGGTTTTCATGCAGTAGGATAAATATGGTCTCTATTATTCCATCTTGACTAGTGGTGACAGTCTTATAAATTTAAATGTTTATATGAAGGAAAATTTCCTAAATAAAGTAGAATAGCACTCATGACAAATTAACTTTAAGACCCAGACCTAATACAGAAGAAAAAAGAATGTGATGAAAAGAAGAAAAATGAAGAATTCTAAACACATTTGTTCTCACTATACTGCAAAACTACATTACAGAATTATTTCAGAAGCAGTTTTCTATTATTTTGAATCTATAGAAACTGTTGTAGGTTGAATTGTGTCCCCAAAAAAGATACTTTGAAGTCCTAACCCTCAGTGCCTCAGAATGTGACCTTATTTGGATGTCATGTCTTGGCAGCTGGAAGAAGTGAAGGTAAGGTCATACTGCAGTAGGGTGAGCTCTTTATATGGTATGACTTGGTGTCCTTATAAGAAGACAATGTGAAGACACAGAGACATGGAGGGGAGAATGCCATGTGATGACAGGGGCAGGGGTTGGAGTGACACAGCTGCAAGCCAAGAAATGCCAAGGCTTGGCAGTGGCCACCAGCAGCTGGGAATAGGCAAGGATGGATCCTCCTGAGAGAATCAGAGAGAGCAGGGCCCTCTTGCCCCCTTGATGTAAGGCTTCTGGCTGCCAGAGCTAGGAGAGACTACATTTGTGTTGACTGAAGCCACCTAGTTTATGGTACTTTGTTATGGTAGCCCTGGGAGTCTCATTCAGAGATTACACCTTTTTTAAAGTTATTAAAATGATTCTTATAGTTTGCTAGCCATTTTTGGTTTTCAAAGCTGGAGAATTGAACAGTACATTCTAGGTAGAAGGCTTCTTCTAGCAAACATGCTACTCAAAATATTTTTCTGAACTATATATTTTTGCACATAAAAAGATTAGTGATATTATTAAAAGTGCCAGTTGAAGTTAATGTCTATTTAATATCCCAAATGGTGCAGTGACAGCAGGAGCAAGTTAGCAGCTGACAGTTCTGAAAAAATTGTCTGTCTTGCCCTATTAAAATTTGACTAACACTGAATTTGAAAATTAATCAATTTTGAATAAAATTTTATATTTGTTCTTATATCCCTGAAGTTTATTCCATGATGATGATTTTTAGCTTTGGCTGGGTATTGATTTTTACTCTTGGCCATTTGTTTTTTTGACCAATACGTGCATTCAGAGTACCTCTACCTTGAAGGTAGGGGTACTTTTACCTCTAAATCTGCATAGAAGCTTTTTGGATTCTCCTATCTGGTCTACATCATTGGGCATCTTACTGTCTGGCTTCTGGTTGGGCAGTGGGGAACACAGGCAAGCCATCAGATGGTTGAGGTATTTTCCTTTAGTTCTCTTCCTAGACTTTTCTTGGGCTGGCTGAGGATTGACTAAACATCACTGCTCCTCTCAATGTGACCTTCTCATCATGACTCTCTAATTCCAGGATGTGGAAACCCAGGAATTGGAAGCCCATCCCTTTGGTTGCTTCCAGCCAGGTGTGGTGACAGCTCCATTGCTACTTGTCCTAGAGGACTGCAATGTCCCTTCTAGTTTTCTATAGCCTTTTTTCAACAGTCCCTTTAAAAGCCCTTCTGGAATAATCTTAATTTCATTTTTCCATCTATTCCTGTTAGGACTATGACTGATACAGACCAGTTGGTAAATCACACTCTCAGTGTTGCAAAATGGTATAGCCCTGTAGAACCAAATACCATAATAGAATAAGGTAGGTCCATAACAACCCAATATCAAAGCCCATAACAAAGACTCCTGAGGGAAAAATGATTGAAAAAATTTTACTTCTCATTTTCAAGGGAGTATTAATACATGTTTTTCTAATAAAGCAGAAAAGCCAAATTATGCAGAGAATTCATTTCATTTTTCAATCCCCCCCCCGCCCCCTCACAACCCCCATTAGATAGTCACCTTCTGTCATTACACATATGGGTCTGTATTCTTTACACTTAGCAGAGCCTCATCCTTTAGCAAAGAGTTGTAAGTTACTTTTGCTTCTTATATGAAAAACTGTGGGTGTGAATTCAGGTTGCCACCTGACTGTACTCTTCCTGTATTTTTAGTAATGTGCCCATACCTCGCTCAGTCTGGCTGCATTTTGGCACTCTGTATTCAGAGCTGTCATCAGAAGGCTGCACCCTATTGAAGCCTACTGTGGCTGTTTTCTTGTAAAATTCCTTATTAATATCTATTTCTTAATGTGACATGTACTGTTATTTTGATATCACTTTCAAAGTCATGAGCAACTCTTTTCCTGGGAAAAATTCCCAGATTAAAAAAAAATCAGTGCATTTTATTTAATCTCTGTGGCACTCTATAGAACATAGCACTCACTTCTTGTCTTATTGTAAGGTCATTATTGCCACCCTAATTCCTCATATGGAGCAGGATGGTTTGCACTAAAGCAAAGAGAAGACTTTCTCAGGAAGAGACTATTTTTGAGAATTTTCCTTACTGATGATTCAAGTTCATAGAATGCTACGACTTCAGGGGCCTTAGCAATAATCTAATTTAAAGAGCTACAGTCATAGATAAAGAAGCCAAGTGAGGCCCAAAGACTTGCTGAAAGATGCACAGCTAGATAGTGAAGGAGTTAGAACTAAAACCAAGATCTCAAAATTGTTGGTCTAGTGCCTTTTCTACTGCACCATACATTCTTTTAAAGAAAAATATTATACAGTTGAATCTCATTATTTTGTGATAATTATGTTCTATAAAGTCGCTGGGAACACTGAGTTACCAAACTACTGACTTATTGCTCCCAAGCTTAGAGTCTTGAGAGCCCTCCAGTCAAAATATTTTTGTCAACCAGTTGACACATTACCTTGTTATATGTGTGTTTCTGTTTAAAGACATTTATTTAACATATATTGTTGATTCATTAACACTGAACTCATGACCAACAGCACCATAACTCACACCTGAAAAAAACTTCTTGAACTCATATATTCTCTCCATAAGGTGTTTCCTAGCTTTCTTGTTCTTAGAAACGTTAGATAGCACTTCAGCGTTACTTGAAGCACATTTTAACTAGTGAAATCATCAAAAAGCACAAAAATGTGGCACTAAGTAGATTGTGAAAAAGACACTTCTTTATGGTATCAGAGCTGAAACAAGAAGGCAGAGTGTAGCCTTGTTCACCTCAGCTAGGAACATGCACTTTGGGCAACTCAATTTTTTTGCCACTCTGTATATGTCTATGAATGATGGCAAAAGTTTCATGAGGTTTAATTTTGGGGTTTCAAATAAATTTTAGCAAATAGGCAAATGTGCAAATATGGAAGCTGAGAATAATGATGATCAACTGAATATAGAAAAAGAGATTAACAAATATATGAATGGGACAAATTATGGCTACAAAAGAGGTATTGTGACAATATTGGCACCTCTTACTAGAGAAATAAATAAGATTTTTCTCTAAAGAATGCCTATTTTTACAAAAACCTTTTCTACTTCTTATATTCTTCTCCAGGTATCTTCTTTGCTCCCTCGTCAGCAAAACTTGAACTTGTCTCTGCTTTCTCACCTCCCTTTCCTCTCCATTTCACTGAAAATATTCTTGCTAGATCTGTCTTGCCTAAACCAGTGGCAGATTTTCATTTTTCATCTTACTTAACCTCTAAAACCATTTAATCACCCCAGCCCTCTGAAACATCTTCCTCACTTGGTTTTCAATACAATATGCTCTCCTAGTTTTCTCCTACTCCATACGCAATTCTCAGTCTCCTTTGTCAGTTTCCCCTCCCTGCAATCTATCTCTAAATATTAAAATTCCTCAAGACTCAGTTTTTTGCTTTATTCTCTATCCTCTCTTTCTAGTAGCACAGATGGAAATAGATTTAAACAATTCATACTGTGGAAAATGAGGGGGGCTGTTATTGGCTAGGACTGGCTGCCCTGGGTTAAAAGGAGCATTATCCCCATACAATGTAATAAGTTTGGGAGAAACACTTGTACTGTATGACTTTCAAATTTATAGCTTCAGATTAGGCTTCTCTGAGCTCAGAGTCAGAGTCAGACTGAAATATTCAACTGCCCAGCCAATAGATTTTTGCATCTGGTCATGATGGAGTAACATGCATAAATTTACTTTCTACCTTAAACAACAGGAGAACTGGAGAAAGATATGGAACAGATGTTTTTTAAGTTTTTGAAAACAGGGAGTATAGTATCGGGATTCCAAAGAGAAGAGAAATAATTGCATCTACCCTCTAATTGCCCTAGATTTTCACTTGGGGAACAGGGAGGAGATCCCAAGTAGAGTGTGATGGCTTTGATTTCTCTGAGTTTTGGCAAACAGAAACCAGTGTTCAGGGTATCTGAGGGATCTAGAATTTATAAATCAGAGTTTCAGAAAGAAAGGAGCTACAAAGAAAAAGAGCTCCAGAAATGTACTTATGGATACCATTGAGTTTTTACTAAATACTAAGGCATGCACAAATAAGGTTAAACTTCATTTGGTCAAAGACCAAACAGGGAACTGAATGGTTTCTAAGCTCATAGAATCTTCCAAGAAATAGTCATGCTTTCAGCAGTCAGAGTGGAAAACCCTTGTTGAAGGCACCAAGAATGTAGTAATTGAGATACCAGAAGGTTATGTCTTCATAGTGAAGGTGAAATTTTCCCTGGAGAAAAGGCTGCTATAGGCCTACATAACAAAGACTGAGAACAAACCTTGAAATAATTTGCTTTATTCATAGGTAACTTAACTGTCTAACACAAACACAGCCCAATACTTTTTAAAGATAGATAATGAAATTCAGGTACTAAACAAGATAAAATCCACAATGTCTAGTATTAATAAAAATATTACATATTTCAAGAAGCAGGAAAATCTGATCCATAACCAGGACAAAAAACTGTCAATAGAAACTGACTCAGAAATGATAGTGGGGATGATATTAGCAGACATGAACATTAAAACAGCTATTTAAAAAATATGCATGGTGAGGAAAGGAATTGATGATATAAAAGTAATCATGTGGAACTTCTAGTCATGAAAAAATCACAATATCTGAAATGAAAAATTCTCTGGATGGCATTATTGGCAGATTAGACAATGTAGAATAAAAAAGTGGTACATTTGAAGACATAGCAGTAGACTTATCCAAAATGACATGCAGACATTTAAAAAAAAATTCAGAAAAAAAACTCAGAATCTCAGTGATATGACAATATTAAACAATCTAACATAAATGTATTTGGAATCTAAGAGGAAAAGGAGAGAAGCACAGAAAATAATATTTGTAGAAATTACAGTCAAATATTTCTAAAATTTGATAAAAATTATCAATCTATAGATCCAGGATACAGTACAAATGTAAAGAAAAACACATCAAGACACATCAGAATCAAACTCCTATAAAGCCAAAACACAGAAAATTTTAAAGCATTGAGGAGAAAAAAATAGTGCATTGTGTATAGATGAACAAAGACATAAATTACTGCAGACTTCTGTTCACAAATTATGTAAGTCAAAAGACAATGGGATACTATCTTTAAAGTCCTGAAAGAACTTGTCAACTTAGAATTCTATACTTATTTTTGGGCATTTTTTTAATGGAGAAAAAACAAGTTTGAATTAAACAAAAGCTGAGATGGTTTGTTATCAGTAGACCTGCTCTACGAGATACGTTAAAGAGGAAAGAAAACTTTACCAAATGGAGACATACATATATGCTAAAGGAAAAGAGAGAAAAACCAAATTATCAATATAAGGAATGAAAGAGGAAGCATCATTACAGAACCAACATTCATTAAAAAGAAAATAATGAAATATTATGCCCAACTTTACGATAATAAATCCAATGCCTTGGATGAAATGGGCAAATTTCTTGAAAGACACAAATTGTAAAGATTATTCAAGAAGTAATAGAAAATATTAATAGTAATATTTACATATATATAAAATATTGAATTTATAAGAAAAAATTTGTAACAATGTAATCTTCAGGCCCAGTTGGCTTCACTGGTGAATTTTCTCAAATATTCAAGGAAGAACTACTAATAACATATAAATTCTTTCAGAAAATTGAGGAGTGGGGAGGACATTCCAACTCTATGCCCCATGGCCAAGTGTTTTGTCTCTAAATCTAGGAGTCGAATAACATGCCAGAAACACTTTACCATGGGGCATTAAGTAACTAAGTGTCCATTATCATCTGGGATATATATAAGTGATAACGTCTGACATGCCCAGCAGTAGTTCATCATAAGATGAAAATAGTATATCTGAGAAAGCTCAAATATGGCCAGAGGGCCTAAATAAGCTGACCAGGAGCAGATAGCCCAGATCCCTATGTCAACCAGCACACAGCCCCTTCCCCAGCTTGCAACTATAGCCCTACGGGGGATGTCCCATATAATCGGCTGAAGGAGGGAAAAGCCTGAGCTTGGATTACAGATGGGTCAGCTAATTATGGGGAACAACTAAACATGGTTGAAAGCTGCATTGTAGCCACATTCAGGGGTGGCCTTGAAGGTCAATGAAAAGAAGAAACTTCAGCGGACAGAGCTGTGAGTCGTGCAGCTGTCCATTCACTTTATGGAAGGAGACATGGCCCAAAGTGATAATATATCCATATTCATAAACAGTAACCAATGGCCTTGCCATCTGGTCAGGGGCCTGAAAAGGAAAGTTTGGAAGATAAGACGTCTAGGATAAAGGCATGTGGATGAACATATGGGAGTGGACATGAAGTGTGAAGGTTTTTGTATTATACATTAATAAAAAGCCTCCATCTGTAGTTAAAATGGTTTAACCGGTTGGCATTAAGCAGTTTTTACTATTGGCCTACCTTGAACCAGCATAATTGGAGCATTAACAGAGTGCCCAAGGTGACAGAGATAGAGGTTATGCATGGTCTCATGAGCATAACCTCCTACTTCCAAGGCCAGTCCAATTATTCCTATATTTGAATGTTGAACCCAATTTACCTACTGGGATGTTGTGGTTTCCATCCCTGCATCTCTGGGTTCCTCAGGATTCTAACACCTAAAGAGGGTGCATTTTTACCAGATGACATAGCAAAGGTCACATCAAACTAAGTCTTAACAGTTGTCCCCAGGACACTCTAGACTTCCTGTATTCAGGGAATAGCAGCAAAAAGGAGGTATCACTCTTTTGGCAGGGATAATGGACACTAATCAGCAGGAAGACTTAAGGCTGCCTTTATAAAATGGGGACAGGACAGAAAACATGGAGATCAGATGATGCACTTTCCCCTGTTATAACTGTGAATAGACATGGTTAGCAATCCTAGCCCAAGACAGGGATTATTAGCAAGGGCCCAGAGCCCTCAAGAATGAAGGCTTGGTTCATACCACCTGGTTAGCCAGTGAGACTTCCTGCCCTCCTTTCATAGCTGTCCAACCTGCAACAGATATGAAGTCTCTGCTGGCTACTCCACTGCCTCCTCCTTTATCCTTCACAGGTATTTCCCCAAGTACATCTTTTGTGCATCTAATCTCATCTTGGCATCTGCTTCTTTGAGGAGCCAAAATGACACAGAATGAAACTTGCTCAACTTGATAAAGTGCATCTACACACAATCTACAGCTAGCATTACGATGACTGTTTTCTCTTTAAGGTAGGAAACAAGGCAGTAAGTACACTGTCAGTACTCCAATTCAATATTGTAGTGAGAGCAGTAAGGCAAGAAAAAGAAATAAAAAGCATATGGATTAGGTAGGACAAAATATAATTTATTTACAGATGATTATAAAGAAAATCCTAAGGTGTTTATAAAAAACTTACTAGAACTAAGTGTAGTAAGGTTGCAGTATACAAAATCAGCATACAAAAATAAAGTGTAATTCAAAACATTAGAACTAAAACATTAGAAATTGAAATTGAAGAAAAATATAATTTACAATAGGATAAAAATGATGAAATTTATAGGGATACATTTAGAAGCTATCTGAAACTGAACATAACCAAATTCTGGATTCTCACCACCTCCTGGGGGTAAGGTTCCAGTACTATCTCAGCCCATAGTACTTATGTTCTTTTAGTTGTCCAGACCAAAACTGTAGGATATATTCCTTACTTTCCCCCTCTTACCACATATCTAGTCTATCAACAAGTCTAGTGCATCTTTAAAATATATCTTGAATCCTATTTTCACCACCTTTCCTAGAGCAATCCATGTCCATCTCCCTTGTGTGACCTTCTGACTGGCCTCTGGGCTGTCATTTGTAGTTTCTGTGGCCCCATGAGCTCACAGGCAAACATGTATCTGAGCAGGATGTCCTAGCAGAATGGTCCTGACTCCTGAATGAAGGCTTCCACAGAACCTCAGTCCTCTTAGTGGGGAGAAATTTTCATCTGCAGAATTGTTTCAATCCTTGTTTTATAGCATATTTTGCCTAAAGATTGCTTGGATCTCTATGTCTGTGGATAGGGCTGGTTTACAATTTGGGGTGGTTTACAAGATTCCTAGTTCAAGAGCTCCCTCTGCTGTCAGTGTAGCAAAGTGTGGCTGCTTTCTTTGCTGATTGGCTGTGTGTGAGGGGTGGGGGCACTGATAGGAGGAAGAGTTGTGCATTCTTTTGTTTTTAAGGGTCCTAACTTTCCCATTCTTGCCTTTTCTTTCTGCACTGTACAGTTTTCTAAAGGTGCTTCTCCCTTCCCATTTATCCAGCTCTTCTTGGAAGAGTTACTTTTCCAAGGTGCCACCTTGAGTCCTGCACACACTTACAAGTCTCTTCTCATTTCACTCTGATCAACCACCACACTTTTCAGCATTTTGCATGTAGGAAGGACTTTCTCTTTCTGTGACTTTAGATCACTTTATAGCCTTTGCTTGTCTTCCCTCTTCCCCCCAGTCTTCCCTGGACAGTACTTGCCCCTCGACCCCCAACTCCAAGGCTTGGGGCAGCAGGACCATGTAGGGTAGTATGCTAGGATCTCATGCTCCTTGGTTTTTGTTTTTGTCTTTTTAACTTACAGTAATTGGGAATTTGGATTTTCTCTGTCTTTTATTCATGCCAAGGACAGATTTTTATGTTGCTTTCTTTGTTATTGCTGTTCTTTATTGAGTTGTTTTTTGGAGAATGTGTTGGAAAATACAAACTGACGCAGCAACTATTACCCCAGTTATGGAATTCCTTAGTTCCTGACCTCTTAGGATTTGGGCAACACTGGATATAAAAGGTTATTTCCAGGAAGAGCTATATTTCTAGAGGCAAGATTCAATTGTCCTCTGAGGGGCCGTCAGAAAAACAGTCCTCTGAAATCAAGACTGATTCAGGACAATTTCTGAATCCAGGCTGCAGTGTTCTTAGGAGAAGGGAAGAGTAAAGCCTACTCCGTAGACCTTCATCCATACCTAAAAATGGGTATGGGAAGGGGAGGGTAATTCTATCATTTTAGCTCATTTTTATATGTTTTTAAAAGGTTTATTCTATAGAAAAATTTAACTTTGTGTTATAGAAAAATTTAAATACATACAATAATAAGAAAATAATTTAATAAGCTCCATGCACCCAATAATAACTTTTAAGGGGGTACATGTGCAGGTTTGTTACATGGGTAAGTTGCCAGTTGCAGAGGTTGAATGTACAAATTATTTTGCCACCCAGGTAATGAGCATAGTACCCTGTAGGCAATTTTTTAACCTTCACACCTCTTGCTCAAACCCTCTAATGCAGTGCTGTCCAGTAGAAATATAATGTGAGCCACAAACATAATTTTAAACTTCCTACAAGACATATGGCTTTAAAAAGTAAAGAGAAACAGGGGAAACCAATTTGATCAATATAGTTTACCTAATAAATATATCTAAAATGCGATTTCAATGTCAATCAATATAACAAAATTATCACTGAAGTATCTAACATTCCTCTTTTCATGCTGACTCATCAAAATCTTGGATGTATTTGTTACTTGCAGCACATCTCAGTTTAGCCATTTTTCAGGTGCTCAACAGCCACATGAGCTGGTGCCTACCTTACTGGACAGCACAGTCCTAATACCTTCCTATTACTCTTAGAATAAAACCCAGAGTCGGAACATCACACTCTGGGGACTGTTGTGGGGTGGGGGCAGGGGGGAGGGATAGCATTAGGAGATATACCTAATGCTAAATGATGAGTTAATGGGTGCAGCACACCAGCATGGCACATGTATACATATGTAACTAACCTGCACATTGTGCACGTGTACCCTAAAACTTAAAGTATAATAATAATAAAATTAAATAAAATTAAAAACAAACAAACAAACAAACAAACAAACAAACCCAGAGTCCTTGCCAGGCCTCTAGGGCCTTACATAATCTGGCTTCTTTCCACCTCCCACTCAATCACCCTCCTTAATTTCTGGATTTGACACTGACTTTCTTGTTGGTCTCACCTCAGGGTCGTTCCATCTGCTATTTCTTCGATGGCTGATGCCTTTTCAGGGCTCCCGTCCTCACTTCGTTTTACTTTCTCCTTAAATGTCACCACCTCAGAAAGGCCTTCCCTGGCTATGTTCTATTGCCTGTTTTATTTTTCTTTACAGTGTTTTATCACTATTTGCCACTATATTATACATGTTTTTATGCATTTGTTTATTGTAAACTCCACAAGGGCACAGATCTGTGCTATTTACCATTCTATCTCTGGAACCTAGAATAACAACTGATGCATAGAGGCAGCTTGATAAATATTTGTTGAATGGAAGAAGGAACTGTATTTTTAGATTAGGATTGTATTGACCTGCTAATATTCATTTACCAAAAACTGAGATGCACATTTGGGAGACTATTTATTGAGTATGCTGAGGGTCTGCCACTCTGGTATTTTTTATTCTTAGGCGCTGGTTTGGAATAAAGTTGAATTATTCCTACAAAGGTCGCAAGAGTTGCATCGGGAGGCGAGGGTCTTCTGGGGTTTCTTTTTTCCCACCTTTGTTACCATGTGATGACTCGAATTCTGGTTTAAGACTTTGGTGGAAATATTATTATTGTTTTCTTTCCAACTTTTATTTTAGGTTCAAGGGTACATGTGCAGGTTTGTTACATGGGTAAATTGAATGTCACGGGGGTTTGATGTACAGATTATTTCATCTCCAAGGTAATAAACATAGTACTCAGTAGTGTTCAATCCTCACCCTCTTCTCACCTCCACCTTCGAGCAGGCCCCGGTGTCTGTTGTTCCCTTCTCTGTATCCATATGTACTCAATGTTTAGCTCCCACTTATTTTTTAATATTATATGATTTTATTTTAATTTTTTTGAGACAGTCTTACTCTGTCACCCAGTCTGGAGTGCAGTGGTGCAATCTCAGATCATTGCAACCTCCACCCTCCAGATTCAAGTGATTCTCATGCCTCAGCCTCCTGAGTAGCTGGGATTACCAGTGTGCACCATCACGCCAGGCTAACTTTTGTATTTTTAGTAGAGACGGGGTTTCGCCATGTTGGTCAGGCTGGTCTCAAATTCCTGGCCTCGAGTGATCTGCCTACCTTGGCCTCCCAAAGTGTTGGGATTACAGGCATGAGCTCAGCCTAGCTCAGCCTAGCTCCCGCTTATAAGTGAGAACATGCAGTATTTGGTTTTCTGTTTCTGCATTAATTCACTTAGGATAATGACTTCCAGCTGCAACCATGTTGCTGTGAAGGATGTGATTTTATATTTTTATGGCTGCATAGTATTCCATGGTGTATATATACAACATTTCCTTTATCCAGTCCACCATTGATGGACATCTAGGTTGATTCCATATCTTTGCTATTGTGAACAGTGCTGTGATGAACATATGCGTGCATATGTCTTTATGGTAGAGCAATTTATATTCCTTTAATTCCAATAATGGGATTCTGGGTCTAATGGTAGTTAGTGGCTGAACTAATTTACATTCCCACCAGCAGTTTATAAGCATTCCATTTACTCTGCAACCTTGCCAGCATGCGGTGGTTTTTTTTTTTTTTTTTTTTTTTTTTTTTTTTTTTTTTTTTTTTTTTTTTTTTAAACTTTCAAGTAACAGCCATTCTGACTGGTGTAAGATGGTATCTCATTGTAGTTTTGATTTGCATTTCTTTAATGATTAGCGACGTTGAGCATTTTTAGATGGAATGCTAGAAAACGTAGCATTCCTATACATGAGTTTAACATTGTTCTTAAATAATTGTTGGCCAAAGTTTCATTTGATGAATCTGATTTTTCTGAAATAGATAATTCTGATGATTCACATGATTCTGATGTTAGTTCTGTTTAGAAATAACTCCAAGGACAGTTTTTATATTTTATTTTCACATTGAAAATCAGTCAGATTTGCTTCAGCCTCAAAGAGTGTGTTTATGTAAAATTAAATGAGCACTGGCAGCGAACTGACCTTTTTTTTTTCTAGTTGAGAAAGGGTTAAGTCTTTAATCCATCTTGAGTTGATTTTTGTATATGGTGAAAGGAAGGGTTCCAGTTTCAGTCTTCTGCATTTGGCTAGCCAGTTATCCCAGCACCACTTACTGAATAGGGAGTCCTTTGCCCATTGCTTGTTATTGTCAATTTGTCAAAGATCAGATAGTTGCAGGTGTGCGGCTTTATTTCTGAGTCCTTTAACTTGTTCTATGTGTCTGTTTTTGTATCAATACCATGCTGTTTTGGTTACTGTAGCCTTGTAGTGTATAGGTTGAAGTTGAATAGTGTTATGCCTCTGGTTTTGTTCTTTTTGCTTAGAATCACTTTGTCTATTTGGGCTCTTTTTTGATTCCATATTAATTTTAGAATAGTTTTTTCTAATTCTGTGAAAAATGTTGTTGGCAGTTTGATAGCATTGAATCTGTAAATTGCTTTGGCAGTATGGCCATTTTTACACTACTCATTCTTCCTATCCATGAACATGGAGTGCTTTTTGTTTGTTTGTTTGTGTTGTCTCTGATTTCTTTGAGCAGTGTTTTGTAATTCTCTTTGTAGAGATCTTTCACCTCCCTGTTAGGTGTATTCCTAAGTGTTTTATTCTTTTTGTAGCATTGTAAATGGGATTGTATTCTTGATTTAGCTCTCAATTTGGACATTATTGGTATATAGCGATGCTACTGATTTTAGTACATTGATTTTGTATCCTGAAACTTTGCTGAAATTGTTTATCAGATCTAGGAGCCTTTGGGCAGAGACTATGGGGGTTTCTAGGTATAGAATCATATTGTCTATGAAGAGAGATAATTTGATTTTCTCTCTTCCTATTTGAATGCCTTTTATTTGTTTCTCTTGCCTGACTTCTCTGGCCAGGACTTCCAGTACTATGTTGAATAGGAGTGGTGAGAGAGGGCATCCTTGTCTTGTCCCAGTTCTCAAGAGGAATGCTTTCAGCTTTTGCTCATTCAGTATGGTGTTGGCTGTGGGTTTATCATATGTGGCTCTCATTATTTTGAGGTACATTTCTTCAGTGCCTAGTTTGCTGAGGTTTTTTAACATGAAGCGATATGGAATTTTAGTGAAAACATTTTCTGCATCTATTGAGATGATGATTTGATTTTTGTTTTTAATTCTGTTTCTGTGATGAATCACATTTATTGATTTGAATATGTTGAACCAACCTTGCATCCCAAAAACAAAGCCTACTTGATCATGGTGGACTAGCTTTTTGGTGTGCTACTGGATTTGGTTTGTTAGTATTTTGTTGAGGATTTTGGTGTCTGTGTTCATCAGGGATATTGGCCTGAAATTTTCTTTGTTTATTATGTCTTCCAGGTTTTGGTATCAGAATGATGCTGCCTCATAGAATGAGTTAGGGAGGAGTCCCTCCTCCCCTCCTCCTTGATGTTTTGGAATAGTTTCAGTAGTATTGGTACAAACTCTTCTTCTTCTTTTTTTTTTGAGACAGGGTCTCACTCTAACACCCACGCTGGAGTGCAGTGGTGCAATCACAGCTCACTTCAGCCTCAAACTCCCAGGCATAGGTGAGCCCCCCAGGTAGCTGGGACTATAGGTATACACCACTACACCTGGATAATTTTAGTATTTTTTGTAGAGAGGGAGTTTCATCATGTTGCCCAGGCTGGTCTCAAACTCCTGAGCTCAAGTGATCTGCTTGCCTTGACCTCCCAAAGTTTTGGGATTATAGGTGTGAGCCACCACACCTGGCGCAGCTCTTCTTTATACATCTGTGAATCCATTGGGTCCTGGGCTCTTTCTGGTTGGTTGATTTATTACAGATTTAATTTTGGAACTTGTTATTGGTTTGTTCAGAGTTTCAATTTCTTCCTGATTCAATCTTGAAAAGTTGTATGTTTTCAGAAATATATCCATGTCTTCTAGGTATTCTAGTTTGTGTACATAGAATTGTTCTTAATAGTCTCCGAGGATTTTTTCTATTTCTGTGAGGTCAGTGGTAATATCCCCTTTGCCATTTCTCATTGTGTTTATTTGGATCATCTCTCTTTCTTTCTTTGTCTAGCTAGCAGTCTATCAATCTCATTTATTCTTTCAAAGAACCAATTTTTGCCTTTGCTCTCTTTTGTATGGGTTTTTCTTGCCCCATTTTGTTCAGTTCAGCTCTCATTTTGGTTATTTTTTTCTTCCACTAGCTTTGGGACTGGTTGTTCTTGTTCTAATTCCTCTGGGTATGATGTTAGGTTGTTAATTTAAGATCTTTCTAACTTTTTGATGTGGGCATTTAGCACTATAAATTTCCTTCTCAACACTGCTTTAGCTGTGTCCCAGAGATTCTGGTATGTTGCATCTTTGTTTTTACTAGTTACAAAGAATTTCTTGATTTCTACCTTAATTTTACTGCTTACCCAAAAGTTGTTCAGGAGCAGGTTGTTTAATGTCCATGTAATTGTATGGTTTTGAGAGATCCTCTTGACATATTTTTGTTGTGCTGTGGTCTGAGAGTGTACTTCGTATGATTTCATTTTTAAAAAATTTTCGAGAATTGCTTTATGGCCAACTGTGTGGTCGATTTTAGAGTATGTGCCATGTGCAGCTGAGAAGAATTTATATTCTGTTGTTGTTGGGTGAAGTGTTCTGTAGATGTCTGTTAGATCCATTTGGTCAAGTGTCAAGTTTAGGTCCTCAATAGCTCTGTTAGTATTCTGCTTCAGTGATATGTCCAATACTGTCAGTAGGGTGTTGAAGTCTCTCATTATTGTTGTGTGGTCATCTAAGTCTCTTTGTAGGTCTCTAAGAAGTTGTTTTATGAATCTGTGTGCTGCAGTGTTGGATGCATATATATTTAGGACAGTTGAGTCTTCTGGTTGAATTGAACCCTTTATCACTATGTAATGCCCTTCTTTGTCCTTTCTGATCATTGTTGATTTAAAGTCTATTTTGTCTAAAATAAGAATAGCAACCCCTGCTTTCGTTTGTTTGTTTTCCATTTGCTTGATAGATTTTTCTTCATCTCTTTACTGTGAGCCTTTGGGTGTCATTGAATGTGAGATTAACCTAATGAAGACAGCATACAGTTGGGTCTTGCTTCTTATCCAACTTGACACTCTTTGCCTTTTAAGTGGGGGCATTTAGGCCAGGTACTTTTAAGGTTAATATTGATATGTGCTTATTTGATCCTGTCATCATGTTGTTAGCTGGTTGTTATGTAGAGTTGATTGTGTAATTACTTTATAGTGTCAATGTTCTATGTACTTAAGTGTGTTTTTATGGTGGTTGGTAACAGTCTTTTATTTTTATGTTTAGCACTCCCTTAAGGATCTCTTTTAAAGCAGGTCTGGTGGTAATGAATTCCCTTAGCATTTGCTTGTCTGGAAAGGATTTTGCTTTTTCTTTGCTTATGAAACTTAGTTTGGCTGGATATGAAATTCTTGGCTGGAATTTCTTTTCTTTAAGAATGTTGAATGTGGACCCCCAACCTCTTCTGGCTTGTAAGTTTTGTGCCTAAAGGTTCACTATTAGCCTCATGGGGTTCCCTTTTTAGGTGACCTACTCTTTCCCTCTAGCTGCCTTTAATATTTTTTCTTTTGCACTGACCTTGGAAAATCTGATCACTATGTGTCTTGGGGATAGTCATATAGCATCTTTTTTTATTTATTTATTTTTTGAGACGGAGTCCCTCTCTGTCGCCCAGGCTGGAGCACAGCGGCGTGATCTCTGCTCATTGCAAGCTCTGCCTCCCAGGTTCACGCCATTCTCCTGTATCAGCCTCCCGAGTAGCTGGGACTACAGGCACCCACCACCATGCCCGGCTAATTTTTTGTATTTTTAGTAGAGATGGGGTTTCACCGTGTTAGCCAGGATGGTCTCGATCTCTTGGCCTCATGATCCACCCGCCTTGGCCTCCCAAAGTGCTGGGATTACAAGTGTATTATGAAATTCTTGTAGTGAATTTTTCAGCTGTATCAGATTAGTTTGGTTCTTTCTTCAAATGGCTATTTTGGCTTTCAGCTCTGGAATTATTTTACTGGATTCTTTAGGTTTCTTGGATTGGGTTTCAACTTTCTCCTGAATCTCAATAATCTTCATTGCTATCCAGATTCTGAATTCTACATCTATCATTTCATCCTTTTCAGCCTGGCCAAAAACCATTGCTGGGGAGCTAGTGCAGTCATTTGGAGGGAAGAAGGCACTCTGGCTTTTTGAGTTGCCAGAGTTTTTGCACTAGTTCATTCTCATCTGTGTAAACTGATGTTCTTTTAATCTTTGAAGTTGCTGTCCTTTGGATGGATTTTTTTTTTTTGCTTTTATATTCTTTGATGACCTTGAGGGTTGGTGTTATACGTTGGATTCAGTTGACTGGCTTTGTTTCTGCACAATTTCAGGTGGCCAAGGCTCAGCTCAGCACTCCTGGGAAGTGTGCTGTCATCCTGGGGCACTGGGACCAGGCTCATGGCATTCTTCTCTGGCCCCTGAAGGTTAAGGCCCTGCTGTGTTGAAGAGGCCTAGGTGTCCCCAGTCTGCCGGCAACAACACTTCAATGGCAGGGGGAGGGAGGTTGCTGGCAAAAACTCTTCATCGAGGTGGTGGCAGCAGGGTCCATGTTCATGTGCACTGGCTGCAGCAGAGCAACAGTGCAGCAGGGTCTGCATGCATATGTGCCAGTGGCAGCAGGGTGGTGGTGCTGTGGGGTCCATGTATGCGTGCTTGAGCCAACAGTGGCAGGGTGGTGGGGGCTGCCCATGCACGCTTGCCCTAGTGGCAGGGTGGCGGCATGTGCATGTGTGTGCCCTGGAAAAGTGGTGTGGGAAGCTGCGGGAGAGTGCCTACTGAGGGGGGCCTATCTGTGGAAACTCTCCAATGGCTAGGCAGGGTCTGCTGGTGAAGGAGCTGTGGCAATGGCTGCTGGGAAGTGCCCCAGTTAGGCACCTGAGGCTGTGTTGTAAGCAGGTGCAGCCAGGCAGAACCCCAGGACAGGCCAGCAGACAGGAGGGTGCTCAGATTAGACTGCCTCGGTCCCATGGGCAAGATAGCCCTGTTCTGTCCAGTTCTGACAGTCAACAAAGGCAAAAGCCACCTAGAGGAGTATGGTGATCCTTGGGGATGGGCATCTCTGCCCTTGCTCCAATACAGCTGTTCCTGCACCAAACCTTCTGCACTCTGCACAGGCTGGAGTCTTGTTCCTGTCAACTCTCCAAGCAGCTCTCCCTGCCAGCTCAAATGTCTGTGGGGGTCGTGGGGTCTCCTGGAGCTAGGATTCTGGATGTCTGTGGTGATAGTGGGTCACTCTACACTCATTCAAGTCACCCCTTCCCCAGGAGCTGCTTGGGGCCAGGAATGAGTCCTGGTGCTCGGCAACCACATGCAGGGTTCCCAGCTTCCTCTCCCTTCAGCCCAGAGTCTCTGTCCTCTCTCCATCCACTTTCAATGACTTTCTCCCCTATTTTTATTATTAAGAGATATTTTACAATATTTTCTTACATACAAAGTCATCAAAATCTGGTGTGCATTTTAAACTTATAATACATCTCAGTTTGGGCTAGCCATGTTCCAAGTGCCCAATAGCCACATGGATTATTTAAATTATGGTGATTTCAGAGTGTAAGTAAATGTTATTAGTGATGTTTAAAAATTAGATATATAAAATAAAAGCTCCCTTTGATAAAACATGTGTGGTAGATTATATTATTGTTCCAATTTGTCATGCCTTCCCTCTATTAGAATTATTCACCAACTCCCTTTGTCTTGTGATTTTGAAGTTCTTTCTACTAGAAATGAAACATATTTTATTGCTTGATGGATGTTGGGATTAGTCGCTTGACTTGCTTTGGCCAATGGAATATGGGTGGAAACGTTAGTGTGTGCATTCTGGGCCAGTGCTGTAAGCCTCTGCCATTTTATATGAAAAGGGCATTTCCTGGGTAGTCACTAATCCAAGCAAGATAGAAGATATGTGAAACAGATCTATACCAAACCTGCAGCTAGATCCCAGAGACTGGAGTTCAGCCTCGTCTGGCCAAGTTGCAGCTGGCTGTAGACCTTACTGAGAAATAAATGCTTGCTGTTTTAAGTCAATGAATATTTTTTAATTAATTAATTTTTTTTGAGACAGGGTCTTACTCTGTCACCCAGGCTGGAGTGTAGTGGTGCAATCACAGCTCACTGCAGCCTCAACCTCCTGGGTTCAAGCAATCCTCCTGCCTCAACCTCCTGAGTAACTGGGACTACAAGCACATGCCACAATGCCCAGCTAGTTTTTTAATTTTTTATTTTTTTGCAGAGATGGGTTCTCACTATGTTGCCCAGGCTGATCTCAGACTCCTGGACTCATGCAGTCCTCTTGCCTCAGCCTTCCAAAGTGCTTGGATTACAGGTGTGAGTCTCTGTGCATGGCTAGTCAATGAATTTTGGGACAGGTTTATTATGTAGCATTATTGAAGCAATAGCTGATTAATGTACTACCTAAGATTAGAAGCAGGAAGGCAAACACTGACCACATGTCAGGGAAAAGCCCAAAGTATTCATCCACTTGAAACCTGGTTGTGCACATCAGATTGGGTACCTCAAAAATTGTAGCTAATAACTGGAGCATCTAGTCATCTCTTCATCTGAAATATCTGCACTTGTAGAACAGAATCAGGGATTTGAAAAATAAAACAAAATAACTGCAACGACAAAACACCTGGTAGGTCTGAATATAAGTAGAACAGCTGCCCTGAACAGGCCAAGGCAGGAGTCTCACATCCTTCCAGCTCCAGTGCAGGGTCCCAGGCTGAGCTTTCCTAAGACTGCTCAGGGGGCAAGGGCAACTTGCATTCTTAGTGTAATTTTAAACCTTTTTTCTCACATTTCTTTCCTTTTGGCTGCAGTCCCAGAGGTGGCCACAGACCTTGGAATTAAATACCCAATCCTTACCTCTCTCTGCTGTCAGGCCAATCTACAAAGCACCAGTTGTTGGGGTCATTTCCCACTTCAGAAGCTAAGAGGAGATGATATAAATTCTCTACACATCCTAAACCCATATTCCAATCCCCAGATGAAGCCGATTAGGATTATTAACAGTTGGTTTCAAAGAAATCTGTCCAGTGGTTCACAGCCATACAAATATGTACCTGATCATTCTCTAAGTTTGTTCTGTTTAGCAACAAGAGTTTGCATGTGTAGATGTCTGCACATTACTAAGTACTAATGCTCTGATAATTTATTTCCTCTGCTCAGCATCCCTCTGAGATAGGCAGAAATTACTCCATTTTACAGATGAGGATACTGAGGTTCAGTAAGGTCATATGGTTAATAAACAATAGAACCAGGTCTAGGTGCTATCTCCTTTGAACCAATCTTGTAATGTTTTTATTACCTATAATTATCCGTGTAGACATTTTCAAAATTATTATAGACTTCCTAAAATTAAGATACCAAGTCTCTCACAGCACTTTCTCAAGAATATAAGATTTGTCACTCAATGCACTTATCACAGGATAGATGCTAAAAGAGTATGAAAAACCTTAGTCATGGAGTAAAAAGTATACGCTATTGCTTTACTAAGCCACTTCCAGGTAACTGATACTGCCACAAACCTAATGATTTTGCTTTTTTGTTTTGTTTTGTTTTTGTATTGTGAGAATTTACAAATTGGCAAGTATTAATATGCATATAACAGTGTTTTCTAAAAGAAGCCTACTTCTATACGTCATAATCATTGGCAGATTAATGTACACAAATGCAAGCTACTTTGTCATTTCAGTCTACTTCATTTTTACATTCTTGTACTTGAAGTTGACAGTATCTAATCTGGTATCTATAACAGAAAACAGAATGTACTGTACAATGCCCAGCCCCCAACACATTGCACTTCTACCAAAGAAAGTATTCTATCCTGTTTCCTCAAACAACCTAATAAATACAGCAAGAAATGGCTTGGTTCAGACCCTAATACAAAAACCTCCAGCTACTGAGGATGATTTCTTGTAGCCAGAGTTGCCATCTTGTTTGTAAGGAAAACACAGCCATTTTCTTTATTGTGTATACAAGCACTGCAGAGCAGTTTGTTTGGTTTTTAACAAAGACAATACAAAAATAAATTAAGCCTCGATTTGGTTTAGGTAAGCAATCTTTTGAGCCACAGCTGTATTACTAACTCATCTATAATTGCTCTGCATTTATGAGGTACATAGTTTATTCTCTTGCTTGCCACACAATGGGCCATGCAAGTTAAAGAGCTCCAAGTTTCAAGGACTGGAGTTTTTGGGTGCCTGCCAGGACTGATCTGTTTAGCAAACAAGCTGGAGGGTGCTTATTAGTAGGTTGTGGCTTGCAGACCATGAAGCCCCTGGGGCAGAAGCACTGATCAAATGGTAGATCTATATACCAACAAGGCCATTGGATGGAAAGGAGAACAGCAACGCATTACTAAATATGCTTCTCACAAGCCTTAATTACGCCACTGTAAATGACTTCTTTTGTAACTCCTTCTGTTGGTCCAGAAGACAGGCTATTTAAGATTAACATACCAACTATTTTTCAAATTAAAATGTAGACAATTCTAATGAGTTATAGTGATATTATTCATATTACAAAAAACGAGCCCTGGTTAGATTGGGAGAGTGGAGTCATATTTCTAGTGGAACAAAACACATCTTATTCTCTCCAGTTGCATTTCTCTCTTTCTTGAAAAATTACTAGTCTTCTCTGCCCCCTGCTTAGATTTTTGTTTCTATTGAGTGACTCAAGGTGGCTTGAGGCTTTAAATTAATGCCTGGTAGAATATCATTGAGGCCTTAAAAGAATGAAGCCGGTCTGACCTATGATACCTCAAAAAAGAAAAAAAATCTGGATGATTTCATCTTTTGCCATTCTTGGTCTTGTATGTTCTCCTCTGCTACTTTCCCTAGTGTGTTCCGCATTTTAAGATAACAGTATAAAATGTACCTTATGAGTGTTGCTATATTTTAATAGAAGCTATTTTAATAATGCAAATACATGAGTTGAGAATTTTTTTGAGAGTCAGCCCAGTATTCCATTTAAATGAATCCTATTAGTGAAATCTTTTGTGTCTCTTGCTCTGCTGCTGATTGGTTAATAATTTGTTTTTTTTAAGTTATTAGACAATTGCTCATTAAATATCAATCTCATCAAGTTATGCACATCTGTAGTGTAGAGGAAGAGCATTGAGAATGCACAGAGCTATATTTGCTACCATGATAATGATTGACCGTAGTTATAAGGAAGAGTTACCCACATTATTATGATGAAAGTAGAGTATACAACAGTTTTGTAAGTGCTTATGATATTTCAATTCCAATTTTGAGAAATTCTGGGAAAGGGAGCAAACTACAAGCAATTTTTATTTCCAGTTTTGTGATATTCTTGGACCTACTTTACCATTGTAATATTGACATGGTTAGAAGTGATTTTTCATTATTTAGGAGGAAAATATTTACCTAGAAACACATAATCTTAAAATGTGTGGCTATTCTGTCAACTGTAATTATTTAGTGCTGATAAAATTGGCCACCTTTCGGGCAGATTACCTGAGGTCGGTAGTTCGAGACCAGCCTGACCAACATGGAGAAACCCTGTCTCTACTAAAAATACAAAAATTAGCCGGGTGTGGTGGCGCATGCCTGTAATCCCAGCTACTTGGGAGGCTGAGGCAGGAGAATCACTTGAACCCGGGAGGCGGAGGTTGCAGTGAGCCAAGATCGTGCCATTGCACTCCAGCCTGGCCAACAAGAGCAAAACTCTGTCTCAAAAAATCAAAATCAAAATAAATAAATAAGTAAAAATTGGCCACCTTTATTTCTTATCAAAATATTTAACCAAAAACAAATGCACTATAGCAAATTCCACACTTTTATTTAGGCCTCAAAACTATTTTACTCATAGAAATAACTTCTTTATTTTTTATTTCTTAGCTTTTGGCCTATGTTTGTATATGTGGGTCATTTTACTATTTTTAATAAGCTGATTGATGAAAATTAGTTATTCAAAGTGCTTAAGCTTGTAGTTTGGGCATGCAAATTACATTGGATCCAAAAGTTTAGACCATGGAGTAAATAAAAGTGGACAAAGTGGTCTATGAACCTGAAGCATAACTCAAAAATGCATAGGAAACAGAAATTCCTTCTTTAGATTTCTGTCATTTGCTTCATTCCAACACATATTTTTTGAGCCTCTACAATGTTCCTGCTTCGGTGTTTGATGCAGGAGAGATCAAGACCTGGTCCTAGCTTTCTCGGGGCTCAATTTCTTAGGGAATTGGAGTAAAAACAGAAAAGTCAACCTAAAACTATAGTTGAGTGGGGTGCATGCAAACATGGAGATACTTGTAGGTAGCCCAAAGGAGCTAGTGACCACCTCTGAGGAATGGGGCAGGGTAGCCTCTCTGAGGTGGTCTTTGAAAGGCCAGATAGAGTTTGCTAATCACAGAAAGGCAGAGGACATTACAAGGAGAGGGCTCAGCAATTGCAAAGTGACAGCCGGTGAGAGAGGAAGCAGGTCTGAGAGTACAATAGAGGGGAGTGAATGGAACGGGCCTAGGCCTTGAGGATGCAGGGGCTAGGCAGAAGCTAAGCTCTACTCTCAGGTGTCATGTTCAGGACTTCGATTTTAATGTAGTGGGGATCTCCTGAGGAACTTACAAAATCAGATTTGTGTGGATGTATTTTAATAATACACTTTCCTTTATAAGATAAAATACACTGGATGCATACAGTGGAAACCCCAATGTACTTACGCTCCAACAACTCAGAGAAAACTACTGTTAACATTTTGATGTGGATCCTTCTGATCACTTTTCTATTTATGTGTCTGATATATGTAAATATCTATATGCACATATATGTATTTAGAAATAGTTACATGTCATACTTGCTACTCAATAACCTGCTGTTTTACTTAGCAGTAGGTGTGTTTTGAACATTGTCATATCAATTCTTTTCTGCAAGATGATTTTTAATAACTATGCAGTATTTCATCATGTGGAAATATACCAATTGAGAAACAATTGTTGGACATTTATATTATTTCCATATGTTTTGGTATTATAAATAATGCTCCATTAAACATCATTGTGCACATACATCTTTGTGCCCATATCTAATTATATTCTTTTTTTTTTTTTTTTTTTAGACGGAGTTTCTCTCTTGTTGCCCAGGCTGGAGTACAGTGGTGCCATCTTGGCTCACTGCAATCTCTGCCTCCTGGGTTTAAGCGATTCTCCTGCCTCAGCCTCCCGAGTAGCTTACAAATATTCCTAAAAACCTAATTGTTGGTTGAGGGAGTAGAAGCAATTTATCATGAATTTGATAACATATTGCCAAATTACCCCCCAAAAAACTGAGCATTGTACTGAACAGGGGTGAGGTTATGGGCCAGGAGACACATGAGAAGGCTGTTTCTGTAGTTCAATGGAGAATAATTGGTGACTCACTAAAGGTGGTAGATCAAAAACAGGTAGGCATCTGGGATGATGCCCAGCTTCCTGTGTTGGGTGATAAGACCCATGGATATACCTAAGAGAGAAAGAGCATGCAGAGGGAATAACTCAATTCCTTTCAAGGCCGTCATTATGGACTCTTAGTTAGGAATGTGTATTCTGGCTAATTCCCTCTTCCTCATATCAACAACTTTTTAACTTTCTTGATCCAAATACCTAGACCCAAACCATTAGAAAAATTCTCTTTCATTAAGGGTAACTACATAAAAATGACCTTGCTTTATTCATAAGAGAACATTTACTGAGTAGTTTCTCTTTATGTGGTGTTTTGAACATTGTCATATCAATTCTTTTCTGCAAGATGATTTTTAATAACTATGCAGTATTTCATCATATGGAAATATACCAATTGAGAAACAATTGTTGAACATTTATATTATTTCCATATGTTTTGGTATTATAAATAATGCTCCATTAAACATCATTGTGCAGTGGCATGATCTTGGTTCACTGCAAACTCTGCCTCCAAGGTTGAAGCGATTCTCCTGCCTTAGCCTCCTGAGTAGCTGAGTAGCTGCCCTTCTGGGCAGGGCAGAAGAAGTGCTATAGAAATAATGGAGGATGTAGGAAAGCCTAGAGCAGGCATCTTATCATAATGCCCTTAAATGAAGGAATTCACTATCAACCCGAGGCAGAACTGTACTGAGATTGCCTCCAAGTCTGGAATGCACTTTTTCTGATAGTCCACAGAATTTTAGAGCTAGAAAAGGTCTTCCTGTCCAAAGCTTCCTGTTTTATAAATAAAAAACTGAATCTTTCTCAAAGCAAGGAATGTGCTGGGATGTTGAGCCCTAAGGCCAGGGGAAGACCAGAATGATCAGAGACTCCAGGCCTGTCTCCACTGCCTGGGAACAGCCTTGTCCACTTTTCCCTGTGAACTGTACAGATAATACCATTATCGGTGTGAGTGAGGTTGGGGAACCACTTCAAGCAGTAGTTTCCAAGCCTGAATCAGGGTCAGAATTACTTGGGGAGTTGTTTAAAAACAACAAAAAAGGGCACCAGATTCCTAGACTTGCCCTAAGTTTACAGAATCAAATCTTGGCTCCTGGGGTCTAAGAAGCTTCTTAGGTGATTCTGATGTTTTTGGTTTACAGATCAAGTTCCCAAAGCCCCTGGATTACAGTATGGGCTTTAGGATGAGGCACACCCATTTTATTTTTTATTTTTAATTTATTTTTATTTTCTAATTCTAATTTTTTTTTTTTTTTGAGACAGAGTCTTGCTCTGTCATCCAGGCTGGAGTGCAGTGGCATGATCTTGGTTCACTGCAAACTCTGATCCAAGGTTGAAGCGATTCTCCTGCCTTACCCTCCTGAGTAGCTGAGATTATGCCTGGCTAATTTTTGTATTTTTTAGTAGAGATGGGGTTTCGCTATGTTGCCCAGGCTGGTCTCAAACTTCTGGCCTCAAGTGATCCACCCACTTTGGCCTCCCAAAGTGCTGGGATTACAGGCGTGAGCCACCACACGCGACCCAGAGACATGCTCACTTTAAATCGTGGTTCCATTACTAGTTACTATGTAACACTGGGCAAGTGATATAAAGTCTTTGAGCCTCAGTTTTCTCATCTGTAAAATGGAGATAAAAACACATATATTACAAAGAAGGAGGAAGTACATAGACAATGTCTGGTTCTAAGAAGCATTAACTAAATTATAGTTGTTACTATTATTCTTATTTATGCTTACTGGTACTTTAATGACCAGAGTTAATGTAATTTCCCATGGTCAGTCCCATTTCTGTGTTTTTTTAATCACTCAGAGTTAAGGTTACTGAAAAACTATCCCTGGGCCATATATATTTAGCAGTTTGGCCCCCTCCCAGTGATGGGTTTGCACTTACAACTTCTACCTCCAGGTGCAAAGACTTTCAAGTTCAGAGCACAGCCAATGACCAAAGAGGCAAAAAGAATAACATTAACTGGCTCACCTGTGAGCTGACCATAGCTTTATTCATTGCCAGAGCCAACCTGACTGTGACTAATTTTAATACAGGGAGAGATAGCACTCAATATGTTCCATGGTAAGTTCAAAATCGGAACTTTCATTTCCTTTGCTACTGTAGAGAAACATTGGTATGTTGCAAGTGTAGGTTCTCATGTCTAAACATTTAGCTGTGCATTAAATTCTGCCTTTGACCAAGGCTTACCAGAGTATTAATAAGACCTTGAACTTTTGCTATATTCTACAAACTTCCCTGATCAAAATTAAGAACAGTGCCATCTTCTTTAAGGTTTTAGAAAAAAAACTCCAACTACAGCAAATGATTAAAAGGCAGCACCACTTTTAAAGATAAAAGTTTATAATTAGCATGGAGGTTCTGTAATTTAAAATGGAAAGTTTGTGAAGACACAGGAAAGTAGGATAAACCTCAGCTACAAAATAACAGGTTTTAGAGGCTAAAAATATCAACCATTTAACCCAAAGTGAACCAATTATAACAAATTTCCTGTAATGGATGGGCCTAAAACTTAGAGGTAAATCCACTGACTTCACAGGAAATAAGTCAGATTCTTAATACTAATTACCAAACTTTTGCCATATATTGCTCTCCAAATTTAGAATTCCAAATATCTATTCCATTTGAGTTGCTGAGCTCAGTGTTGTTTTTATGTTAATAGGATAGGAGCACTTGCATAGTATATTGCATTGAAATTTGTTATCTATGTAATAACCATCTATCGCTTATTTAATTATTACCCAGACAAATATGTTTTTCATAGTCATCTGGGATCTATTTGGAATACTGTAACTCCTGTTTCAGCTTAGAGTTAGTTTTATTTCAATATTATTTCACTTCTGTATATCAAAAGCATACTTTAGCAGTGTGACAGGTAATAAATTGTTATTTTCAAAGAACTGTCAATCATTTCATAATATATTCTTCTAATCAACTGGCATGAATTTGATACATGGTAGATAGCTTATCAAATGTCTGTTTGGATTCTTTCATTTGGAGTGTGTTAACTGAACCTATGGAATGATGAAACTCAATCTCAGGCTAAAGTAATGGAATTTTTATATCTAAAATATAAAGAGTTATTTTTGGGCAAGGGAGTTTAGGTGATGAAATGCTTCACTATGAAGTGCCAATTCCTTCCCACCCCCAAGAGTTAGTTTAAAATTGAGATCACTAAGTTCCAAAGCCCAACTGCACTCCAGGAAATAATTTAAACTATGTAGTGGTGTAAGTATCATTTTAATCATAGTGCATAACAAAAATAAATGTGACTACCAAAGGTTTCTTTTTAGAAAACCAATTGGTTTTTACCACTATGATCATATCTCTGTTCACACCCACGCTGAACAGCGGAGATAGCCCACTGGCTTCATTCTGGGGTCTGAAGTAAGTTTGGAATACTTTCCCAGCTATTCCTCCATGCCCCACATTAGATTCCAGTTATTAAATGAAATTTTCCCAAAGAGTATACTCATTTCTCAATAATAAAATGTAGAATTTATGTTCTGTAACTATTCATGTTCCAGACTAGGTCAGAGATTTCTCACACATGAAGTAAACAGAAGTCTAAGGCTTTCTAGGAACACATCAGGTTAAAAGGAGTCTGTGGTTTCTTCAATTGGTTTGATCTCTCATGTAGTAGATCTCCTTTCTCTGAACTTCTGTGACACCATATTCTAATGTAAGTTGTTTTGTTGTCACTTTCACATTTGTGGGGTTATATTCTTCACCTGGTTTATTTAAAACTCCTGGATTTATAAACCAGGTTCTGTGTTCCCATAGTGTTGGATTAGGAACATAGGATTTTAAAAACTCTTATTAATGGATTTGAATTGATTGCAACTTGTCTGGGTAACTTAGAGAACTTCCTTAATTTTTCTTCTTATATTTGCATATAAAAACACATTGCAGTTACAGCAAGACTCTAACCGTGATCAGTCACACAGTAAGAATGGAGCTACCTATCAATTCTGGGAGGCTCTTGGTTTAGAAAAAAAACAAAAACAAAACTGTGCAGTTAAATGAACATGGGGTCCGAAGTAAAGATGGAAAGAGGATGCGTGTAGAGAGGAGGGTCTTAGGTGGCTCTGGAGGTAGTGCAGTATTTTGGTAAAGGCACTTTTATCCACTCTAAGGCCCACTCTAAGGCTCTATTTCCAAAATCCTGTCACTGGGTCATATTCTTGCCAAAGGCACAAGAAGGGTGATCCATGTGGGCTGGGTATTTCCTTCGCCTGCAGGTCTCTTAGGTGCTGTTTCCCCTTGTCTCAGAGGTTCCATTGCAGATTCCTGAAGCCAATTATATCACATTCTGGAATAAAAGGTTTTCTATGTTCAGGCCACCATTTTGACTCCACATTGTTTCAATCAAACCAAGATTAGCCCAGAGAAAGGGAAAGTTACATTAACATGGAGGAAGTACGAGCTCCACAGAGAAAATGCAAATTAGCAAGTGGTAAATTTTAACGAAATGATCATCATAAAAGATTACAGACTCAGGGAAAAAAGAAAACCACAGACACTTTAGTCTGTTTGTGAAGAAGTTTATGTATAACCATCCTGTACAGTTTAGATCTATTTCTAGGCCACCTGTCTTCTTGCCACACTTTTTGAGAATATACATTTATCAAAAGTTATTCCTTACTGAATTATAATTTCCAGAAAGAGACTTTATGTATCCTCATGCTTAAAAGTGAAATGCTCCTTGAAGATTATAGGTGACTTTGATATACTATGAGAACGGCCCTTCCGTAACACACTCCCCTCTGCCATCTAATTTGACACTTAATCTGAGAATTAATAAAAACGTTCTTATGCAATGTTGTGTGTAATTGATCCAGGGGATTTGGAGACGGCCAGTATTAAGTGAAGAGAAGTAAGTAGGGTTTTCTGTGGCCCACCCCATTGCCTGAGTCCATACAGTTGTATGTCTTATCCCAATCAATGCCATAGATCCTTTCTTTGAAATTGCACAGAATTCAGTCCAAAATGTTATTGATGTAATACATGTGTGTGTATAATTTATTTACATACTTGGGGGTAAATTAGCAATCTAACTGCTTTATTTAAAAGAAAGTGGAATTTAAGTGCCATGACTCTGGAAAGTAGGGTATTTATAGCGCCATCTGTCTTCAGTAAAAATTTTTGAATTCCACTCCCAGCTCCATCCTCAACTTACTTGGGTAATAATACCTACAGCAGACAGAAGATTTGTCTAATGAGTTGTGAAAGTTGTTTCTTTTGAAAACTGGGTGCTTCTCACAGTACAATAATTAAGTAATTGCTGCTATAGTGTGAATCCATCTAAAATTGCAACGTTTGGGTTCACATGGGAACAATTTGGCATGGAGATAATTACTGAAAGTGTAAATGTAGTTTAATTCTTTGGCAAGTGGTAACAACAGACAGTTACCCATCATCATCCTAATTACCTGATGGTATTTGTTAAGCACACATAGGCCACTGGCTCTATATTATGGATTGCACCCACAATTAAAGTGGGCCCAGACCTTGCCCTCTGGGCACCTACAAGAGAGAACAGACAGCCGATTAATGAATGCACAAACTGAGCATGTCTTAATTCTCCTGGTTTTCAAACATCATGACTTTGCTGGCTGCCACATACCTTTAGCTAAACTGACATAGACAAGGTGAGCTTTAGGACAGAAGATGTAGGATTAGGATTTCCACAGGGAATTAAAGGTATTTTGCATTCACAAACCCATAAGGTAACACCTGAATGCCTCATCGCAGGTATTATCTTATGAGTTCGTAAATGCAAAATACATTTAGGATCAAAAGAAAATACTGTCAGGAATGTGCACGGGCTGCTCCATCTTTACAGCAGTCAACTATGGGCTCCTAGAAGAAAGCTCAAGAATATCAGATTTGGCAGAGATCTCGTAGGCCACTTAGCCAACTTCCCACCTATATGGAAATCTCAGTCAGCTGGGATTATCACTGGTAGTGTTAAAAATAAGCCTATTAAAGTTGTAGGGAATTTAAATTTTAATGTGCCTCTACATGGTACACTGGATTTGAAATTGGATTTACTTGGAAATATGAATACTGAGTAGCAAGAAAGAACTTCAACATTAATTCACTTTGTAGCATGTGTAAGCAGTAAGTGTAGGTCCTTTCATATGCATCATGGCTTATAATAGTCATTTGTCCTCTCTGCTCTTTATTTTGGCAATTTCATTCAAATACAAACTCCGTTTTAATATATTAATCCCAATTTATATAATATAATTGGGTTTTTCATGGAATGGCTCGCTATTGCTGATTTAATTTGGAAGAAACTGGAAGATCATTCTTCTTGTAAAAGATGATGATGCATCATATCTAAGGCTTAAAAGCTCATTCAATTTTGGGTGCAAAACTTTAGACCTGAATGGAGTTGTACAGTGGGAAAGAGAAGAAAGGGACTTCAGTCTTTGAAAAACTGTGTTCTCTCCTCACAATTATAGAATGGGGTCTCCAAATGATGACATTCATTGAGTAATCTGTCTTGAATATGAATTCTTGGGGACAGATCATCTTCTCTATGTTCTAAAAAGAACTTCCAAAATATTTCCTACAGAAGAATTCTCACTGTTAATCATTCGATGATGAATAATCCATTTTAGGTGGATATTCCCTTAATGAAAGATCTGCACAGGATAATGAGAAATCTATTATATGTTACCAAACATTTTTCTGTATCCATTTATTCATACTCTTTGCTAATGCACTTAATACATATGTCTTTATTATCATCACTCAATTAAACAATACCTTCCTGCATATTGTTGCTAATTGCAAAATTTCTGAAGAGATTAAGATATTTTGAAAGTTCTGGTGAGTTACAACCCTGCTCATACAAACACTGTGTATGTTAAACAATATATTATGGTTCTGTGTGGAATCTGGAGACTGATAGAACAGTATGTAAAATATGAGAGTGGGGTCATATTTTTGGGTTCATATAGCCTGATTTCCTTTCAAATGCAGGCTGTCTTTTTATTCCCACAATATATAGTACAGTTGTATTAGTCAGGGTTCTCCAGAGAAACAAAACTGGTAGGATGTATATAAACATAGAAAGAGATTTAATTTAAGGAATTGGCTGACATGATTGTGGCAGCTGTAAAGTCCAAAACCTGCAGGCTGGGTGGGCAGGCCGGAGACCCAGAGAAGAGCCAACATTGCAGTTCAGGTCCAAAGGCCACCTGCTGGCAGCATTCTCTCCTGCTCAAGGAGTATAGTCTGCTGTTCTATCAGCCCTTCAACTGGTTGGATGAGGCCCACCCACATTATGGAGGCAATCTGCTTTGCTCTAAGTCCACTGATGTACATGTTAATCTCATCTAAAAATAACCTCACAGAAACATCCAGAATAGTGTTTGGCCACATTTCTGGGTAATGTGGCCCAGCAAAATTGACACATAAAATTAACCATCACAACACCCAACAACAACAAAAAAATGAGACAGCATTTGGAAAGAGTGTTGCTTTTCCCTTTCTGTCCTCTTTGGGCAACCAAATTTTGATTGTAATAGGAAAGTAACACACACACACACACACACACACACTCCTTGGAGCAGTCCATAGTTAGACTTTATGAAAGCAGAGAATGGTTAATAGAGAAGGAGTGAATCCACACTTTGGAATGACGACGCTACATGATTAATATTAGCACCCGTATATATAACAATTTGTATGTTATTTAAAGTGGGAAAAGAGACCTGATGTAAAATTCTGATTCCTCATCACTAAGAGTCTTGTGACTTTTGCCCATGGAAATATATCCGGAGACTCTTCTAGGTTCTCATGATCCTCTTTTGTTTCTCCGACGGGAGAAACATACTGCAGGGAGCATACTTCTTTATTTCAGGACAATAGACTGACTTTGTTTCTGAACTTGCTCTCATCCCCTTTTCTTGTCTCTCTTGCTCTTCCATATTATGCAGAGGCTTCAGAGACTCCCAACCCTCCAAAGCCTGCAAACATTCAGACAGAAAGCCTGGCTTTTCTTTCTTTTGGAGATGGGGTTTCACTCTTGTTGCCCAGGCTGGAGTGCAATGGCGCAATCTTGGCTCACTGCAACCTCCGCCTCCCGGGTTCAAGCAATTCTCCTGCCTCAGCCTCCCGAGTAGCTGGGATTACAGGCGTGTGCCACCACACCCGGGTAATTTTTTTGTATTATTAGTAGAGATGGGGTTTCACAATGTTGGCCAGGCTGGTCTCGAACTCCTGACCTCAGGTGATCCACCTGCCTCAGCCTCCCAAAATGCTGGGATTACAGGTGTGAGCCACCACGCCTGGCTGAAAGCCTGGCTTTTCTATCTCTCTTTTCCCACACCATGCCATCCTTTTAACTTTTTAAACTTATCAAGTAACCCTTTAAATAATACTATTCGCATTTTCCCTGTATTCTCAATAACAAAGCAATTCTGGACGCTAAGCCAGCAAGTGAGAGCATTTCCCACTTTTCTTCCACTTCTCCAGATCTTGTACCTCTATATAAGAAGCCAGAACCCTGCCCAGCAAAAGCAGAACTCTCCTCAAAGATGAAGTAGGAAAGAGAGTGAGCAGGTGAGAACAAGATACTCTTTACTAGAGGTATTAGGGGTGGCGGCAAGGGGGAACATTGTGTAGCAAGGAGAAGTCTAGGAAATCACACACAGTAGTATATTTGTCCCAAACACATTTCTAATTAACCATTTATTTGCCAATATCATATAGGCTATGCGTCATCTTCAAAAGATACCATCTACTCTCTGAGGATGGAAACCATGCGAGTGTCTGATGCGGCCCATGGCAATCTTGGACTGCTCTAACTATGACAAATTTCCTCCTGTTGCATCACAGTCTTTTACTCTGAAACTTTATTTATCCCCCTACATCTGCCTCCAGGAGCAATGAGTCTAAATTTATTCTCTGTGATAGCTCTTCAAATACACAAATACTGTCAGAGCTCCTAAATCTAATTTTTTCCTGGTTTCAAGCCCCCAGTTCCCTCAGTCAAAATGTATATGATATGATTTTCAGAGTCTTCTCTGTCTTAGTTGCCCTTTTTGATGTTTGCTAGTTTTTAAATGTTGAGATGCTCAAACTGACTTGAACATTCTAGCCAAAGATTCCATGGCTTGTGCCTACTCAAGTGGAATTGTTATCATTTCTTCTATGATTTGTGCTTTTTAACATGACCACCGTATTTGCATTTGCTTTTTAAACTATCACATTACAATGGTTTGCTTATATTGAGGTTACAAACTCCAATCTCCTGGTCATTTTCATTACAATTATTGCCAACAGACTCCTCCAACCTGTATTTATTTAATCTTTTAACCTAAGCGCATTACTTTTCCAGCTTCATTGTTAAATGTCATCTGGTCCATCTATTGTTCTGGCCTTTTTACAATCTAGCTGCCTGAGAATCACATTAAAAACTCAAGGACCCAGGAAAGAAAAGCTCTAATATAAAAGGACTGCTAGTGACTGTGAGCAACAAAACCACACTAACATATATTTAAATTAAAATAATTGGTGTTACATTCATACAAAGCTGAATGCATATATAAAATAAATAATTTCTTTGAAAGTTAATGTCAAATTACTCTAAAAGTTATAAATAGAAAAGTAATAATTTAGTAGTAATGATCTAGATTGAAATCCCAGATGATGTCAATGAAGACCACATATCAAATGCAGGAAAGGATAGGGGAATGAAAACATACCAAATTCCTAATCTCACACAATGAAAATCAAAGGTTTTGTTTCATCCATGATTTTGATATTTTATGAAATGTAGGTTCACGTATGATTTGAAAAACTTAGCAGCAACCACCAAAAAATAAAATAAAAAAAAAGATGTCTATGTTCCAAATCACCATGGGAGATAAAAGCAATCAAAACACCAATCATAGAGAAAAACACAGGCACCCACAAAATAAACAGCAAGACATTACCCAAAAACGAGGAAAAAAGCAAAATGCTAGTGGTAAGGTCAAATATCAGATATAAGAATTGAAGTAAATTTTGTAAACTTTCCAATGAAGAGGCATATACTCCTTAGGATGAGTTTTTAATAAAAGATAAATAAGAGGGCAGACAGAATTAAAACAAAATAACAAAAGTTTAATTTTTAAAAACCCCAAAATTGCCACAAATAAAGCAGAAATGGTTACTGTCTTTTATATTATAAAGATGACATAACAATGGATAAGGAAAATAAATTATCATTAGAAAAATGAATAAAAGGGAAGAACAGACAATTCACAGAAGAACCATAAACAATAATGTTCATATAAAAATATTCAATATTAAATATGTAGTTAATGAAATTCAAACCAAATTAAAATTAGATTTTTCTCCCCCTGCTAAATCAACAAAGAATTTGAAAAGGAAAGAACATTTTGAATGCCGGTAAGATGGGTCCTCATTCAAACAAGTGCTAGCGGCAGTGTGAATTGGTACAAGCTTTCTGAGAAGTAGTTTGGTACTGTGTGTATCAAGAATCTTTAAAACATAATGTATTGTTTCATTCAAAAATTCCACTTCTGGAAATGTACCCCAAGGAAATAATCAGAAATGCAGATAAATATTTTTGAAAAGTAAATTGCAATTTTATAAGAAAAACAATAAAAAATTTCAGAATAAAGTAGTAATTAAATGAGTTATAATATGTAACTGATTTACTAGAAATTATGTTTATAGAGTTTTTTATGACATGGGGATCAAGAACTACAATAAAATGCCAACTGAACAAAATGTATGATTTCAACTCTGTAAATGTGTTCTTGTATATGTGTATGTATTTCCTCAATTCTAAGGTTGTTTTTTTTTATATTTCAGTGATTCCAAAATGAGGATAAATCATACACTTAATATAAATATTTTTTACAACCCAAAAAGCTATATTTAAATTAATAGATTATCTTACAATAAATTACATCTTACAGTCAAGGAAATACTGTGTCCACGTACTTAAAAAATATGGCTTATATAATAAAAAATTAAATTATTCTTTAAAAAGGAAAGAAAGTCCTGCATGGCATACCTTTAACAACTGCATTTCAAGTTTCTAAGGGGGCTATCTTACAGTTCTTCTGTGCCATGGTTATGGCATGTGCCCACATCTGCTCATCTATTTACCTTACTAAAAAGATAATCTATCTATTTTACTGAAAGCCCATTTGGAATGGACTTTCATTATGAATACTCACTAGATCCTACTGATCATCATTTTGTTTTGTGAGGTCCACAAGCCACCTCTTTTATTGTCCTCTCTGGAATTTTGCAATATAATAACATCATGTCTACTTATTTATTTACTGTTTCTAGAATTTGCTTCCAAACCCCCAATCTCCAACCTTTTGTAAACCCAAAGCGACTCTGTTTTGTTTGTCTTTCGACATATTTCTGTTTGTCCTCGATTCAATGGTTACCTCACAATCATGCCTAGGAGTTCCTTTAGATTCCTCTGGAAATGAGGGTAGGATTCATTTAAGCAGCCCTCCCTTTTCTAGAAATTTGTGTCCCCTTTAACCCATACTTGACGTTTAAGTTTTGAAAATAATTTTCCTCAATGGAACTGTTTCTCTCATCTATTAGCATTGTACTGTCATCTCCAGTATTGTACATTTTACTTTCTTGTTCACATCAGTGATATAAACAGAGTTGAAACGATTGGTTTTATTGCTTTTGTCACTGTTGTAAGCTTTGGCTTATGAGCACATTAACGATTCTGACAATTTTCTTAGACATTTCACAATTTGTGACCTTGGTTATATGACCTTCCTTGCTTTATATATGTATTCTTTCAAAATCTAAACTCATCAGAGGATTTCTGGGCAGTCTTACTCATGTCCTTATTTCCACATTTATTTATCATAACATGGTCAGAATTTCATTTTTAGAGCCCACCATCTCTCTTAGGCAATGCTCTCTCTTCATAAAGCTATATTTTCAACTTCCTCTAAACTACTTTTCAAATCTTCTTAGTCTTAAGGCCTTGGATATATGCTGGACTCTGACCAAAACTCAACATCTTATATATTAGTTATTCCTAGATGGCATGATCACTTTTTTCTGTAGTCCCTGTTGTTATTATGGTCTCAGAAAATGAAAGATTTAAATGAATAGTATACTTTGTCAAGATAATTAGGCTAAGTAATTGATATCAGCAAGTAGCTGTGTGGCAGGGGTCTGCCTAGTCCTGATTGCTTGGTTTTATTCTGTAACACAAAGTGAAAGCTGTCAATTTTAGGTTTTGGCCTTAGGGAAATGTAACATGACTAGTCCAGCTATAGCTTCGTTTGAAAAGCTTCCAAGTCTACATACATGTTATATAGAAGCACACATAGTACACACATGGCACATTGAAATCAAGACTCCGTAGTACCTCAACACGCTTCTCCAGGGCCCTGTAACTCATGACCACAATGAGCAGAGCAGCGGTGTTCCTTGTTTATTCCATCTGCGTAACCCAATAGTAGTAAAATTAAAGCTTCATAAACAAGAAGATATTGAACTCTTTAGCAAAGTCAAGTATGTTGTGAAAAAACCCAAATGGGTTTTTCAATGCAGACATTTTGTCGAGACGCTTAATTTTGTTTGTCGGACCCAAAATGTGGGAGTTGCAACAATCATTATTTCTTTTCCATGTGGGACATAACAACATAACAACTTATATTGTTAGCATTTTGTCCTAGCCTTCTTTGTTAGGTTTTGGTTGAATTCTCAATTGCAATAATGATATATGTGATCACTAAAGAACATAAGTCAGGATATCCACCATCTCTTAGATCAGCATTTGCTTAAGAACATCAACTGGTGTGAAGGAAGAAAATATTTGAACTTTGATTTTTACTTCTTATCTCATCAATTTTATTTTTTGTGCATGTTTTGTTATATATATAATATATTAATATAGGGGTACATTTTATAAAGCATATTGATAAATAAGTGTAAATATACTGGGGGATTAAACTGTATTGATTGTGGTTCATGATCAAAAAAGTTGGAGACCATTATGTTTTATATAAAAATGGCCCCCAACATTTTTGATTATATATAATATATATGAAACCTCCCAGAGCTTGGAACTTATATTTTGCTACATTAAAAATGGAATCTATTGATATTTATTGAGAACTCAATAGGAACAAATATGCTGGAGTATGAAAAACCAATTTAAATGAAAATAGAAATTCACTGACCAGCAAGGTCTGGCAAACATTAGAATGGGCCATAGAAATGGAGACTTCCGGTTGTCTCTCAATATCTGTTCTCTCTTCCTCCTTAGTAGCAGAACCCATGATTTTTAAACCATGCACATTCCTCAGTTTCTATTACTACTGGGTGCTATATGTGACTGAGTTATAGCTAATGGGATATAATCAGATGTATGCAACTTCTGAGATGTGTCCTTAAAAGGAAAGGAAGCCACTTGTGGTGGCTCATTCCTGTAGTCCCAGCACGTTGGGATGCTAAGGCAGGAGGATCACTTGAGCTCAGTAACTGGACACAAGTCTGGGCAACACAGTGAGACCCCTGTCTCTACAAAAAATACAAAAATTAGCTGGGCTTGGTGGTGTGCTCCTGTAGACACAGCTACTTGGGAGGCTAAGGTGGGAGGATCCCTCAAGCCCAGGAAGTTGAAGCTGCAGTGAGCTATGATCACTATACTCTAGCATGGACAATAAAGTGAGACTCTGTCTCAAAACAGGAGGTTGGGGGTGGGTATGCCATTCTTCTGCTCTTCCTTCCTGCTGGCAGGAATAAGACTAAACATCAGACATCTATCTTGAACCGTGAGGAAGAAGCCACTCACTGAGGATGATGGAGCCACACTCAAAAGGACCAAGACAGAAGGACGATGGAGTCATTATACCAGCTCCGGACTGCTGAGCTCCAGATTGCCTTTATGAGAGAAAAAAAAATCAATTTCTATTTTGTTAAAGCACTGTAATTTTGAGTTTTCTGTTGTTCACTACTGAATCTTATATGGCTAATGTAGTTATTAATTTTAATTAATTTATTAACAAGATTAAATTAAATTTATTAATTTTAATTGTGAAATATTTTAAAAGTACAGCATATTGAATATTGCATCATAATATCTTATATACTATGATTTAATTATATACACTTATTCCAACCTTTATTGAACACTAATGCATATACAGAGAGGAAAAGATAGTGATTACTTATAGTTAAAATAGGAGATGTAGACACAAACTACAACAATTAAAAGCAAGAGTGGGACAATAAAGGAACTGTAGAAGAGAAGAGAATATTATCAGGAGGAGGGAATGTGGAAGAAACTGGTAGATAGGGATGATCATGCAGACACAAAGTACCTTCTGATGACATTGAGAAAGCACGAAATGTCGACAAAAAGGGGTCAATAGATGGAAAATTGTTCCAAATTTGGTCTGGAATAAAACTCTTTGTGTGTGAGACACTTCACAACCAACTTTCTTCTGCAATGAAATTAGCATTCCTGATACATGCTTAAGCAATTTTCTGAGAAACTTTAATGCAATTAAAAGCTTTTCTGGGAAGTCAGCTCCTTACCTCCTCTATTGATGTTCTTTAACCAGACAGATTATTTTTCTGAATTTTGTCTAAAATTTTTATCTAAATATTCTCCTTTTCCATAATACCTCCCTACTAAAAGTGAATCTTTGAATTAGCCTCATTGGATTTCTTCCCCGGCAGCATGAGAAATAAAAACTTAGATATGTCTTTGTAAATAAATTTGTAGAAAAGGTTTTTTTATTGGCCTAATTACATTTTGACAAAATAAAGTGTGCATATGAGGACATAGTTGCTAAGACAGGCTAAATGATACTGGAAAGCAATGCATACTGGGCTAAGGAATCTAATCTCTGGTTGGGAGTATGGAGCCACTGAAAGTGGCCAGAAACACAGAAAATACTGAAATGCATAGTTGTTAAATTGCATTGAAGAGTGATGCAATCCAGATAATATTGTAGGGCTACTTATTTGGAAATAGTGTGCTGGGTAATCCAGGAGGATCTGAGCTGCTTCACTATTATTCAACAGAAACTGCTATGTGAAGTTCACCAGTACCCACCTTGTGCTACCTGTGATTTCTGCAGCACTGATCTCAGCCTTCATTCTTCTTGACCTACATGGCTCATTCATGGGGTTGTCTCCCCTCTCCTTATGAAAAGTCTTCTCACTTGAGCTGTCATGGCATTGTACTGTCTTGATTCTTCTTTTCCTCTTTACTTTACCAATTCCCTGATGACCATTATTTTGTCTACTCAGTGACATTCTTCCTTCTTCCAGCCTCAGAATGCAGCTTTCCTTCAGTGGCTGCCCTGTGACCTCCTGCTCTGACACCTGCTCCCTCTTAGGGTTTTCATACCTGATGGTACATCGGGACTTCCTGCAGCATAGTAAATATCTTTCACCATATAAAATGTAAGAGCCGTTTCTATTAGCACTATCTTGAAAATAGCAGATACATTTCCATAGACTTGGGCTGGGCTGAGAAATCTACCTGGATGCATGGGGGTGAATCAAATGACATCTCAGTAATTTATTTCTACACTGGGATCCTAAGCTTATGTTTTTGTGTTTTAACTTGGAAAATCTTTGTCTGACTTTAACCCTGAAGGACTATATTAAGGAATACTTTCCATATTAATATTAACAATATGGTTTATGGCACATTTAAATTAGACATAATCAAAAGTCTCATTTTGCAAGTCTGAAAAAAGAATGACACTCTATGATATGATTTTATCAGGTTATTTTTCTTTCTTATATCTATTTCATCTCAATGTCTTGTTTATGCATCTAATTTTGCAGTTGTCACATGGAATTATAAATTCAACTGTGAATTTCCTGTGAACGCATGGACTGTATGAGTTTGTTTCTGTATTCCAATTGTTTTAGTACATGCCTAGCATATAGTAGGTGCAAAACAAAATTTGCCAATTAAATTAAAACAAAAAATGATGTCATCACGAAAAAATTATGTAGCAAAAATTAGAAGCTAAATAAGAGTAGAAATTATATTGAGAAGATTTGGAAGGTCTGAATCTTATTCATGATTAATTTTAAGGAAATGTCAATGGAAACTACTTTTAGCTTTTATTCTTTGTGACTTTTTTTTTTTTTTTTTTTTTTTGAGACAGAGTCTTGCTCTATCAACCAAGCTGGAGTGCAATGGAGTGATCTCAGCTCATTGCAACCTCCACCTCCCAGGTCTAAGCAATTCTCCTGCCTCAGGCTCCCAAGTAGCTGGGATTACAGGCACATGCCACCACACCCAGATAATTTTTGTATTTTTAGTAGAGACGGGGTTTCACCATGTTGACCAGGCTGATCTCAAACTCCTGGCCTCAAGTGATCTTCCCACCTCGGCCTCCCGAAGGGCTGGGATTACAGGTGTGAGCCACTGTGCCCAGCCAATTTTGTGACTTTCATTTGCAGTTGACACTCACGTCTCCCTGACTTTCTCTGTGATTGTCTAAAAAGAATCTGCAAATTCTTTGATACTCCTGCAATAAAAGATTGAGTCTAATTACCCTTCCTTTGAACATGGGTCAGGTTTAGTGACTCAATTCTACCAAACAGAAGAGGGTGGGGGGCAACCTCCTAACAGTTCTGAGGCTGGGTTAGGAGCAGAGATGCAGCTTCTGCCTGACTCTATCTCTTAGGAGATGTGCCTTTTGGGGCTCAGGCTGCTATGTTAGAAGTCCAGATATCCTAGAGCTGCCCTGATGCAGAGAACAAGCAGAGAGACCACTTAGAGAAGGTCCAGTTATTCCAGTTGCCAGCTGTCTGAATCTTTCCAGCCAGAGCACCAGGTGTCAGGTATGTGAGTGAAGAAGTCTTCAAGATGACCTCAATCCCAGCCACTGTCTTCCTGTAACCTCATTAGACCCCAAACCACCCAGCTACCCTGCTCCCAAATTCCTGAGCCACAGAAATCTAAAAGATAATAAATGATTTTTATTATTTTACACCGCTAAGTTTTGGGGTGATTTGCTATACAGCCATAGATATACACTCTCACTAAATTATCATCTCTAAAATCAGCCAAATTCATCTATTTAAGTGCATCATGCTTTTCAAAACATGTTAAAACTTACATGTAGTAAATCTATTTATATGCTTCTAAATTTTATTCCCATTTTTTTGTGTATATCCCTGATTAGCTAAAGCAAAGACCCTCTCATGTCAGTTTGAGAGTTATGAATATGAAACTTCAGAACTTGCAGCCTTTCAGAGCTACCAAGAATGTAATACATTTAGGGCTGCCTGGGAGGAAGACGGATAGAGAAGGAGCAAGGGTACCAGGTAGCTATGGAAGTCAATCAGCAGGTGATTGGCACACACTGGTATCCCCAGTACAAACAGAGTGTAGTCTTCCAGGGCAAAAAACATGTAACTCTTAAAGGAAGATAGCATATCATCTTTTCTGTGACCGAGAACGTGGGAGAGTCTGAATCTGGACGATGACACTGTGATCCCACCCCATGTTAAGATCTGAGGTTCTGAAGCAGGAACAATTATAAACAGATACAATAAAACTTAAAAAGAAGGAATTTCTTATTTTTAGAGCTTTGAGTTTTGTTATAAGAACTGTGTTCTTTGATCTGACAGGAAGAGAAGTCTATGTTCCTCTTAAGATATATATGGTGCTCAGGTCTTTAGGTACTCTGGGTGAGACAGAAACAATTCCTGGCCAAAAGATTGCCAGGAAAGCCAGCTGGCAGGGCAGCTGGGCTAATATTGTCCCAGCTCAGTCAATCTGGAAGAGAACATGGACCACTCAGCTAGCAGGGGACAGTAGACCTTTGAGGATCAGTGCATGATTTTAGGAGCTCCTAAAAGAATCTTCAATTTTGAAAAGAACCTGGCATTTGTTAGTTGCCTGTGGAATTTTGGAAAACTTTTGCATATTGTCAAACTTCAGGTTCTTATGACTTGACTCGTCCAGGATATGTAAGAGAGTTTGGGAGGTTTTTTTTTTCCTTTCAAACTTTCTTTAACTTGTTTGTAATTAGGGCTCTTGCCTACATGTGGTTCCCTCTGCCTGGAATGCCCTTCTCCCAACCTGCACTCCCATAGGCTGCCCTCCCATCATAAGCATATGCTTCTTGGGGTGGCTTCCAAGAACTCTCCCTTTTGCCACCAGAGTTGATCACCACCTCATTTATGATATCACTGATGGTGCTTAGGCCTCTACAAGACCCTTTTCCATGTTGTGTGGTCATTATTTATTTTCTGACTTCATTCACTAGGCTGTGAGCTCCTAGAAGGCTACCTTTTTTTTTTTTTTGCCATGGATTTAATACAGATATTATGCCTTTCCTGGTTTCCTCTTCCCACTTCCCGGGCAAGCCAAGCAGTAGGTACTCTCCTAATGGGTCTTGACACTTGCCATTTATGGAAACACAGACAGGGTTTTCCACTGACCTTCTCTAGGTTGCCTGGCAAGAGCCATCTGGGCAGCTTGTATGCTCAGCACTGGCGTGTACTTCTTCCGAGAAGCTGGTAGTAAAACTTAGGTTATTTAGCCCTCTTTTCACAAGGCTACTGTCATGTGAGCCTTATAGAAGGACAGAAGAAGAGGGGACTGGGCCCCTCTTGTGTACTGTATCTGGCCCATCTAACCAACCTCTTAGTAGGAAAGGGGAGCTATGAGTCTACTGACTCTGCCTGTGCATCTCAGCCTGCTCTAGTGTCTCTTGTGCCATGTTCAACTGTGCCCTTTGCCTGATACTAGGCCACTGCTTGGAGATAAAGTGATCAAGAGAAGATGTATACACACACACATACATACATATATACATACATACAAAGTCTGTGAGTTTTGGGGAACAAGTGGTTTGCGGAAAAGCTAAGGTTTAAAGGTCTCCATCAACCCCCATCAGTCACTCTCTTCTCTTCTACTGATACAAAAAAGAGAGAAAGACCTTATTACTTTGCCTGAATGTGTTTTCTGCAACTTCCTTGTTATTTTGATTGAAAAGTCTCTTGATTTCTGCCATTGATCCTAGACAAAACTGATTCTTGAGTCCTATTTTGCCTTGGTAAATAATCAGGGTTTCTACTTAAAAACCCAGAGACTGGAAAGTGACAGCAGGTAAATGCACCTACTGGAAAGCTGAAATAAATTTAAGTTTAAAAATCTCATTGTTGATACCTGCTAAATTTGCTGCCACTTCATTTAGAGGTGACTTCCAGTATTTGGCATTCCAAAATTAAATATTAGGAGAATCTCTGCTTTTAAGCCAGAAACAGAAAGTTCTCTCTATCACAAATATCTACCCATTATCTTTCTGCAAATTATTAAAAGGATTGATGTCTCAAAAAAGGAAAACAGTAGGAATATAGTAACTTTCCCAGGGTATAAATCCATGTAAGGATTATGCTTGCAGGTAGAAACATTATGTTTCATGTAATCACCATTTGAAATTTTAATTTTGAATTGTAGTACTTGCCCAGGAGAGCCACTACATCAATCTCAAAACTAGGAAAAAACTCATTGTTTCAACTTGAGAGCTATTTTGGTATTGGTTTATAACATGCCTTTCTCTTAAGACTCCCGAAAATTATATTTTATTATAAAATTCCCCAAATCTTGTATAAAATATTATCTTTATGTAGATAACATCTGGAAGAGTGACCCAGCATTGCATAAAAGCAAATCAAGGACGGAGGTAAGAATAGTTCATTCCTGGATTTCCTAATTCTGTTCTTTTGTTATAAACTGTGTATTATTTTACTGGCTTTATGGTTTCACAAACAAAAGGTTCGGCAGAATCTTTGGACATCAAATGGCCTTTATGAAACAATGTCTTGATGAGTTAAATAAAAACGAATCAGAAACACATGGACTCGACTTCCCTTGAAATATAAGAGGACGCACAAATCAAGGCAAAGAGCACTTAACAAACACTGGGTTTGGGTTTCCTGAACCTGAAATGTTAAAATAATTAGCAAGGACTTATTGAGGCTGAAAAATGATCAGTTCCAGTATTTCTAACTCAAAACTAAAATGAGGAGAGGCGGGAGGGTCCTAGAAGAGAAGGGAATGGTCATGGGGCAGATGGAAACCTTTGAAAATTAGCTTTTCCTCCAAGCTGTTTGTTTCCCAAAGCTCACAAACTTTGCTTTTATTTATTTATTTTTTTCTCTTTTGCTTTGATTTCCAGATTTCAGCTGAAGACCTATCTAAAATATTCTGAATTGGTTCAGCTGAAGTCTTTCTAGTCTCTTCTCAAAGGCAGAAAACCATGATATTTAGTTAACAATGCTCTGTTCATTCTTGAATTGAAAGATAAATTCATATATTGGTTATCCAGGAAGTTCAGTTAAGTTGAATTTATTTCCTAGTGAGTTGGACTTCTCAGCATTCCCCAAACCCGCGAAATAAATTCTTTCAGAAAGCACTGTGAAAAAGTTGTAAGAAAGAATTATTACGTACTAGACTACAGATTTTAAAATAGATTGTAAGCCTAGAGGAAAAAAAAAGAAAAGCTTGAATTATTACAATCTGAGATACAACAGTTTCTTTGCTTCATCCTACACTGTATCTGGGATTCCCAGAATTTCTTCTCTGGCCCAGATCTGATTCTTTCTCCTTTCTTCCCGAGTTCCCCTGGGAACTCAGCCTGCTTCCTTAATTCTTCCACAGCTGTTTCTCTCTACTCTTTGCAATTTTTGTCTCCAAATCTGAGTCTGGCTGCAGTGTGAAGCAGTTACTCACGACTACTTCAGAAAGCATATATTTTTAAAAATATTATTTTAGGTATTTTATTAGTAATAATAATAATAGGAAACTGACTGGGGTGACAAACATAACAACCAAGGGGAGGTCTCAGAGTAGTGGCAGAGTAATCCCTGATCTCTTGGTTCCTTACTTCCTCTGTCAACTGAAAACTTGAATACAGCAGTCCTGCCTTACCTCTTATCTCTGAGGGTAGATCTCAGCTCCCAGACCTGCTCATCTGAAGGTCAAGTGGGTCCTTCATTGGCCATGCCTGGAGATACTATGCAGATTGCATCATTAAAGTCTACTTGTATTAAGGGAGAAGTTTCCATTTCTGAAGACCTTCTGATTATAGGACATTTGTTCACTACTGCTATGTGCGGTATAAAATCAACCTCTTTGGGCATATTCTCATGTACTCCCTCCTATTTATGAAAAACTATTTTTAAGGTATTTCAGACTCATCAATTTTTAAACTTTAAAGTTAAAAATAATATTTTTATCACTTAAATATGAGATGTTTCACTTAGTCATCAATATAATATATATTTGTTTCCAGTAGGTCCAAAATGTCTGGCACTGTGAATACAATGTGGTCAAGCGTGTGGTGTAATTTAAAACAACAACTGTGAAAGCATTCAGCAAAGCCCAAGAGTTCTAAGGGGAGTTCTTCATTAATGCTGTCAGCAAGCACCATCACACTGCTTCCTCTGCATCTCTACTAATAGTATTTTAGCACATGATGTAAAATAAAAATAATATTTTGGGTTCGGTGACTACTATTTTTTGTGCATATTGTCTTTCTCTTGTGATGCAAGACCTTTTCAGATGCTTGAGTTCATTGTTTCTTCTCTTGCCACTCTCATAGCTCCCTTCTATAGAGCACTTACTATGAGGCTTATGCCTCATTTAATCCTTGAGCAACCCTGTGAAGAAGTTAAATAATCATATTTCATGACAGAACAAATTTAGACTCAGACACATTAATTGGCTCAATACCAAGCCACTAATAAAGTGGAAGAACCCACATCTGAACCCAGATCCAATTCTATTTTCTTTGATTTATTTATTTATTTTTATTTTGTTTTGTTTTCTTGAGACAGGGTCTCACTCTGTTGCCAAGGCTGGAGTGCAGTGGTGCAATCTCAGCTTACTGAAGCCTCGACCTCCCAGGCTCAAGCAGTCCTCCCACTACGTGCATGCCACCACACCCAGCTAATGTATTGTTGTTTTTTGTTTGTTTGTTTGTTTGTTTTTTGTAGAGACGAGGTCTCACTATGTTGCCCTGGCTAGTCTCCAATTCTTGCTGTCTCGCGAGCCTCCCATCTTGGCCTCCCAAAGTCCTGGGATTACAGGGATGAGCTACCATGTCCAGCCCCAGATCCAACTCTAAGGTATATTTTATCTCAACATTCCTCTCCATTTTCTTGGTCGTCTGTACACAATGCCTAGACCTTTCAAAGAAAGGTGCTATATAAAAACCAGTTCTGAAGTTAGAGTAATAATGGACAGGAAAACCAACTCACTATTTTATAACTGTATCATTATAAGTCCATAAAATGTTAGAGTGGTAGGGGCATTTATGATCACCAAATTTAACCTCATTTTTACATAGAAAAAAGCCTCCTAGGAATAGAATGTCATCTTCAGAGTGGCACTTAGGTTGCAATCACAGTCCCCACTCCTCAAGCCAGTGTGCTTTCCAATGTATTTACACCTGGTCTGACGAATCATAGTATAGACAAAAGAGAAAAACTCCACCAAGGAAAAGCAACTCCACTTCACTAGATCCCCAAAGGTATCACTTTTTTTTTTTTTTTTGAGATGGACTCTTGCTCTGTTGCCCAGCCTGGAGTGCAGTGGCGCAATCTCCACTCACTGCAACCTCGCCTCCTGGGGTCAAGAAATTCTGCCTCAGCCTCCTGAGTAGCTGGGATTACAGGCATGCACCACCATGCCTGGCTAATTTTTGTATTTTTAGTAGAGACGGGGCTTCACCATGTTGGTCAGGCTGGTCTCGAACTCCTGACCTTGTGATCTGCCCACCTCGGCCTCCCAAAGTGCTGGGATGACAGGTGTGAGCCACCACCCTGGACCAAGGTATCACATCATTAAGGTTATTGCCAAAGCTACCATTTCTAAAACCAAGAGTTCTGAGGAGAGTTGTGAGTGTTTTGCATTGGATTCTAATGGCTGTCCAATCATTGAATATATGAAGTTCTTTTTGACAGTTGGATGTCAAGAGAGAAAAAGGCAGTGTGACCATTTTTCAAATGCCACATGTATGCGTAACATGGGCATGTGCTATAGTACCATTAATTGAGTCCTTGTTTTTTGTTTAGAGTATACAGTTGGGTCTAGAATTCAGCAAATCTGTAATAGCTCTTTGATTGCTTAGACTCAGGGGTCCTTCCTTATCAGTCCTAAATTATCTTCCTGTGTGTGCGTTTTTTCTTTATTTGCCACAAGTCCTAGAAATTCAGCTTGTTTTCCTATTTTAGTTTAAAAAGATGATGGAGCAACCACAATTATTTTTATTGAACACTTGTTATATGCAAACACTGTCTTTAGTGCTTTACATGCATTATTTTGCTAATCCTTGTGAAGTAGGTCCTATATTATTCCATATTTATAGGTGAGGAAACTGAGATACAGGTTAAGTAACTTTAGCAGGTTAAATCACAAGGAAGTGACTGAGCTGCTCTGCACTATGTCATTTTGGTTTCTCCCAGATTTCTCCTTTGTTACTCCTAAAAGGCAGGCACATACTATATGCCCTTTCCCATCACATTAGAAAAAAATAGGGTTTTGCTGGTAATTACTGCTACAAAACAGTAACACAATCTAAACATTAGTTAGTTATGAGGTAACAGGGCCTTACAAAGTTCTTTTGATTGTGATTTGTGGTCTGTAGTTTATGACTGCCTCCTGACCTGACAAAAAGAAGCCATAATCCTCTCTGTTCTCTTCTTTCTCGATCTCCTGACCTCGCGATCCACCCGCCTCGGCCTCCCAAAGTGGTGGGATTACAGGCTTGAGCCACCGCGCCCGGCCGTTCTCTTCTTTCTTTCTTTATTCTTTTTTTTTTTTTTTTTTTAAGACGAAGTTTTGCTCTTGTTGCCCAGGCTGATATGCAAATGGCACGATCTCGGCTCATTGCAACTTCTGCCTCCCTGGTTCAAGTGATTCTCCTACCTCAGCCTCCTGAATAGTTGGGATTACAAGTGTGCACCACCACCCCAGCTAATTTTTTTGTATTTTTAGTAGAGACGGGGTTTCACCACATTGGCCAGGCTGGTCTTGAACTCCTGACCTCAGGTAATCTGCCTGCCTCGGCCTGTCAAAATGCTGGTATTACAAGCATGAGCCACCATGCCTGGCTTGTTCTCTACTTTCATTTCCCTGGGGATAGCAGTCTTTTATTCCTGTGTGCCTTTTTGCCTACCTGAAGAAACTGGGGTGTCTAAAGACACTGGTGACGGAGGCTGAAGCAAAGGTGTATCTTGATCCCATCCCATGGGCTCATGTCACTACTGAGCCCCTCCAGACTCCATGGTATGCCCATCCCCAGGTTTCTGTGTATCCCAAAATGATCCCCTCTGGAAAGAGAAGTAGAAGGAAGGAGAGGATAAGGAAGGGAAGAAGAAATATTCTTATCAGTTAACATAATCAGCGTGTTTTCCTGTAGCATCTTGCTGGTAAATGTTGAGAGTGTACTTGGACTTAATTTTTCTTTTAAACAGATTCATCACTTCCCTTTATGGGCATAGTAAAGATAGATATGACTAGGATTATATGGCGAATTGGGCCATTGATTCCTAGCCTACTGGTTGTCCAGGCTATTGGCAGCAGGCGAGTAAATTTTATGCAGAAATGAGCTCCACTGTTTTTTCATAATCTAGTATTATGCTGACACTGTTATATGTTATAGAATAAAATCATAATTAAAATTTAAAAAAACCAAAGAAGTAATTCCAATGGGAAGACACATGCCTTGGCTCCGCCATTAATTAGTTTTGTGATTTTTGGCATATTCTTTGGCTTTTTGGGGACTCAGTTTCCTAGTTTTTAAAGTGAGAGAAAAAAACTTGTCATTTCTAAGATATCTTTAAGTTCCAGTATTCTGTGATTTATAGGAACCGTGTGAATAATGGAGGCTTTTGAAGCTTAAAAGTATAGTATTATAATGGATTTTATGCTTTTCTGTTATTTCAAATTTTATTAGACTTTTGGTTCTGGATATTAAAGCAGAATTGAATATTTTTCAATTAGCTCTGTAGGTAGTACTGAACACATATTTAATTCAGGAAGAAAAAAGCTAAAATCTTGTATTGGGGGAAAAAGAAGTGTTCTTCAGTTTTCTTAGACATTAAATGGCTCATTCAAAGCAACATTTTGATAAATTGTGTAAATGAGAGAAGAACATATGGATTAAATTTTCCTTGAAATACATACGCATTTAAAAATTAAGAAGAAAAAGTGCTTGGCAAAGCCCATTTGGGGTTCTGCCAAATGGAAAACATTTTAAAAATAGTTGAAGATGTAGTTTTATCTTGAAATGCTACAATATCACCGATCTTTATTGATTATATATTTTTAAATTTGTTAGTTACTCTCCTTATATTTATTTTTACACTTTTTTTTTAATGCTCTGGGGGCTTGTTCAATTATAGTACTTTTTTTTTTTTAAACAGAAAACACAGTCCATCAGTCACTGAAGAGCACGTCAGTGTATCCGTCTCTCCCTGTGTGAATCCTGTTACTTGGACTTGTGTAGAGGTTGCAGTTTCATCTTTCGTGTAGTAATGACTGGCATCAATTTATATCGATACAATGAAAAATTCTAAAGAACACTTTGTGGTAGAGAAATAAAGGAGATCTCGTCTTTGAAGATGCAGAATATGGCAAGTAACTTTCCAGTAAATCATTCTATTTTAGTGGAGGAGTTTTGAAGGAAGATAAGCCCTGAGTTTCCTGATTATGTATAATTCAAAAATAGATATTCAAAAGTCTCAGAGATAACATTCTTCTGTATAGATAGAAGAGTTTGCTTTGTCTATAGATCCCATTGTACAGCTTGAAGAAGAGAAGAATTATTTTCTCAAAATCTCAAAAATCATATTTCTGCAATTTTCTCAATCTCAGAATCACATCTAATTTCTGATCAAATTGGCAACACTCTCTAGTTCTAAGTGTTCAGTTCATCTGGAAAGAACTTGGTGCAATTTGTGTAATTACTTTACAGCTATCTGCAAAACAAACTGTGGGAGTCACGTCTCTGTCGATGAATGTATAGATTCAGGTCACTAGAACATAATCCTGAAACTGACATTCTCTGTAAGATTTTTCTCCTCTTTCGGTTCTCCTTTTTTTTTTTTTTTTTTTTTTTTTTTTGAGAAAGGGTTTCTCTCTGTCACCCAGGCTGGAATGTAGTTGCACAATCACGACTCACTGCAGTCTTGACCTCCTGGGCTCAGGTGATCCTCCCACCTCCCTCCCAAGTCGCTGAGAATACAGGTGTGTGCCACTACACCCAGCTAATTTTTGTATTTTTTGTAGAGATGGGTTTTCGCCATGTTTCCCAGCCTGTCTCCTTTCCTTTTTATGATTGAATCCTTTTGAAAAGAATGTTGTTTTGTTATAAAATTTTAATAAATGAAGAATTTATTTTGGTGTTAAAATCTTAAACCCTATTAGATGGTACCATAAGGGTTTGTATTCTACTCAGGATATGTCCAAGGAAATGATAGGATTTGTTTGCATAAGATGGTAACAATATCTTATCTTTTGAGGCTAATCTTTAAAACCCAAGAGTATGTGTTAATTGTTGGGTTGTCCTTTTTCTTCTATAGCATCAAAATATTATATAAGTTATTGTTAATAATTTTCAATGAATTCTTTATGATTTAAATAAAAATCATTCTTATTGGGCTCATATGTTTTACCCCCACAAAATTGTGAATAGAATTTGTACAGTTTCATGAACTCTGAAATAACAAATGTAGGCAATTTTCTTTTTCTTTTTTCTTACTCAGAGGTTTCCAACACATTTTATTTTGCAGACCACTGGTTTGTAGCTTTTTAGGACCAACATCTGTATCAATTCCTATAAAATGTTCAATCAATTTCAGTTCCATAGCAGGCTCTTCCATGCTGCGCACCATGCTTATGGCTGAAGGTCTAGTTACACACGCATAAAGGCTGCCCTTCCCGCTGGTTCCTGGACGAGGGCGCATCCAAGTTAAAGCCTCTTCCAGGAGCTCCATCTTCGCAGGGGGTCATTTCCTTTGGCAGTAAGTCAGTTTATGTGTGCGGCTTTGGTGCCTGTGAGCAGGAAGCACCAGAAACGTGCAGGATGTGCTATTTTTTCTCTGATGAAGATGGGCACTTGAGGATCCAGTGCTTGTGCTTAATGACAGGAATCCCTCAATTGCTTAGTAGGTTAAAATATAAGGAAGCCTCCACTTTATGCAACACAGATAACACCTAAATATAGGTCCCATGAAAGACTTAAAAGTTTTATAAAACTAAAATCTAGTTTTTCCCAATAAATTGTACTTTAGGCAAAACCCTCCCAATGCTTCTAAAATAATACTAAAAGGGGAATCTGATTATACAAGAGCAATTTAAAAAATTAAATATTTATTTGAATAACAAGTTTAAGTTGGAGCTGCAATGTTGGCCATGCAGGTTTTTAACACAGATCACAAAAAGCGTGCACAAAAAAGTACTGGTGCAAAGGACAAAATAATGCTAAGAATTAGGCTAAATATCTGCTGATTTCAAGAAAACAAAAGGCCTGAAATCACTGTACAAAATAGAAAATGTATTAAACACTAACATCCACAGAACAGTCTTTATTATTGATTATATTTAAAATTTATTTGCGTAATTATATATTTTGTAAATGAGTATTATACATGAGCCTCCTTTTGGAAGGCATTTCCTTGTAGCACTATAGAACGTCTAATTACATTGCAAAAAGTATCGTTCTTTGCTATCGATAAAGAAAACAGTTAGTGGTATTATTGTAAATATCAGAAAGGCTACAAAAAAGAAATAAGATTTCTTTTTTGTCTCTTCAAAGTGTTTTCCATGCAGTGAAGCACTTGCCCTGTTTAACTGAGTGCACTACTAGAGAATGTTCTGGGTCTGAGATGCTCTTGAGAGACAAGACTAGGCTTTTCCAAATCAAACATTCAAAGGAATCATGCAACCCTCTTATGACTGAGATACCGTCATGTGCCACTTATCAATGCTGTCTCTCCAGAAAACCATTCAAGACGCTTAAAAAAAATCAGACTTATGATAAATATACATAAAATGAAGACACCAACTGCTATTTGACAAGACTACTGGTAATGTCTGTGCTATGTGAAAGCACCTTTAAAAAGAGCCTATGCAGCAAGAGATAAGTGTCTAAAGATTCAAAATGAATCAACAGTATTGGATAACAATATAATTCTCAACTCAGAAGCTGCCTCAAGATTGGGTGCATCTTCAGTTAATGTAACAGGAAAAAAAGGTGACGGATTTTATTTTATTAATTGTATCCACTTACAAACCGACCTAAGGTCACCCGATGTGTAGACACAATGAGATTTCTGTTGTTTATAGTCTTTAATTGAAGTGATGATAAAGGAAATAGGTCTATTTAAAAACAAAACCAAACAGCTATTTCTGTCTAGATTAAGAGGTGGCCCCGTCAAGCATGTAATCCCAGCACTTTGGGAGGCCTAGGCGGGCGGATCACAAGGTCAGGAGATCGAGACCATCCTGGCTAACACGGTGAAAACCCGTCTCTACTAAAAATACAAAAAAATATTAGCCGGGCGTGGTGGTGCACGCCTGTAGTCCCAGCTACTCGGGAGGCTGAGGCAGGAGAATGGCGTGAACCTGGGAGGCGGAGCTTGCAGTGGGCCGAGATGGCGCCACTGCACTCCAGCCTGAGCGACAGAGCGAGACTCCGTCTCACAAAAAAAAAAAAAAAAAAAAAAAAAAAAGAGGTGGCCCAGGTGTGGGATTCATATTTTGGGTGGCCACTTGTGGTGCGACCTCGATGATCCAGGGTTTGTCTATGATTCTGGCTGTGCAGTTGCCCTTCTCTACAATCCCAATAATCCATGCTTGGTGGCCTTCACCATATTTGGGGGACTTTATCTCTGCACAGAACCGAGCTGCTTGCTGATGTGGTAAACAGATCAGAAGGCCGCCTGAGGTCTCTGGGCAGGTCCTGTGCATGAGGCCGAACATGTTTCCGCACGCCTTGCTCGCTGCAGCCATCTTGGCCAGCACCGGGAGGTTGTGAATTACAAATGACACCTCGTTCCTCTGCTGCTTGGCCAGGTTCTGCACGTGGCCCCAGATCCCAAAGCCCTTGATGTCAGTGGCCGCGTGGGCATTGAACGTGTGCATGAGTCCGGCAGCTGTCCCGTTGAGCCTTGCCATGTTCATCATCGCCTCCTGGTAGGCCAGCTCTACATCTTCTTGGGTGACCACTAGTTTAATCTTATTCCATTTCTTAGGAATATCCAGCCACTGGTGCACAGCCATTGCCACCTGTGTCCCCAGGGGTTTTGTCTACACCAGCATGTCTCCTGGCACTGCATTGTCTGCATGATAAATTCATTGGGCTGGCAGACAGTGGTAGCGACTCCTCCCAGGACAATCCAGGGGTTTAGAACTGTTTGGCCGCCTGTTACAGACGCTCCTGCGTCTTCAGCTGCGTCTTTAAAACCTTGGATAATCTGAGGCATCACTTTATCCCTTTCCCTGTCAGTCATTTTATTACTGACTCCGAGGAGCATCAGCATATTGTCGCATTCCATGACCCCCGTTGCGTAGAGGTCACTGAGGACATTGACTGACACATGCTATCCTGCCCATCATGTAAGGGTCGTCTACCATCGGGTAAACGTAATCTATGGTTTGAACCAAGGAAAGCCCACCGTGCCTCAAAGGAATGACACAAGTATCCATTCCAATGCCAAGCCTTGGCATAACGGCTCCCAGAAACTGCTCATCTTCTTGGAAGTGGTTCTTCTGTAAAGATTCCAGAAATTTTTGCAGGACATCTTGGGGCACTTTGCAGCCTGTACCCTTCAGTTCAGTGAATCTGGTTAGCCAGAAGCTCCTGTCCAATTCGTAACTTTCTGGGTTAAAAGGACTCCCGCGTACACATGGTTCTTGTGCCCCGCTCTCCTCACAGCTCAGCCCCTCCCCTCCCTCTGGGGGTTGGCTGGGTTCTTTACGGATCCACCAGCTCGCTTCGCGCCCTCCGCCTCCTCCCGAAAACGGGCCGCGGGCCGTTCCCACAATGCACCGGGCGCGGCCGGGCTCCGTTATCTCGCTTGAATAAAAATGCCGCGCCCGGCGGCGGCTGGGGGGCCCGCGCTTGGGCGCCGCGGGGGCTCGCCTGGCTCGGCTCGGCTCTGCGGCGGCCGGGGCGCCGCGTTCCCCAAGTGTAGGCAATTTTCTGTAACAACTCAGAGCAGACACAGAAGTGAAGACCTAGATGACACCTTGGAACTTCTCATGTGCTGGGTTTTGTGTTTAAAGGCCATTCAACATAATACAGCATATTTAAAACATAAAGGAAGTAATTTTTAAATGCTTTATTTACTTAGGGAATGTTATAAATACTGTAAAATGTTTACTCTCCAAACACTTTAAATATAAATTCTTTTATTCCTTGGTGTATTTGAAAGTAGTAGCATTTATTTAGTAAGTCTGAAAGAGAAATGAATGTAATTATTTTACTGATGGTATTATAGGAAGTTATTTCAGTTCATTAATAAAGGAAGCTAGTTACTTAAATGCCTTCAAGTGTAAGGGGTTAATTTATCATTGGTAAGTTAGACTTGAGTATATCACAGTGGTTTGGAGAATTAGATTATTGTCATAGTTTCTCAGTTACCATGAGAACTTACTTTTTTTAAAAAATCAACTTTATCAAGGTATAATTTACATGAATAAAATGCACCCATTTTAAGCGTACATTTAGATGAGTTTTACAAATCTGTACATCTGTGGAACTACCATCACCACAATCAGGATATAAAAACATCTACATCACCCAGAAAGTTTCTTCATGTTCCTTTGCATTCAATCCCCTCCCCTACAGACCCTCGGAAAACACTGATGTACTTTACACCACAATAGATTAGTTTTGTCTGTTGTAGAATTTGATATAAATTCAATTACAAAATATGTACTCTTTTGTGTCTGACTTCTTTCACACAACATCATGTTTTCAGATTGATTTGTATTGCCTGTATCAGTAGGTTACATTTAGGCTGTTCACAACTTTTGGTTATTATGAATAAAGCTACTATGAACGTTTATGTACTGGTCTTTGTGAGAACATAGGTTTCATTTTTCTTGGGTAAGTACCTAAAAGTGAAATTGATGGGTTCTATGATAAGTATATATTCAACTTTATAAGAAACTGTCAGATTGTTTGTCTAAAGTGGTTGCATCATTTTTTACTCTCACTGACACTTGCTGACACTTGGTATTAGTACTCTTGTTAAAATAAGCAAAAGAAGTAAAAAGCTGAAGAATCTAAAAAACCAACAACTCTTCTTGTATCTGTAAGAGGAGTGAGGACACAGGGAAAACTTCAAAATTGGAAAGACCGGCAGGGGAACACAGAGAATCACAATTTACTAGAATAGACACCCACAAACAGAAACCTCCATATTCTGTTCTTCTTAACAAGGCCTGTCCTCAGGAGAAACTATTTTATCAGACCCGAATCTGCTGGGGTTTAATCAGAGCCTTACCCACCAAGGGGAAGAGAAATGCACAACTCCAGTTTTCCACATGGAAAAGGAGAAATACCCAACTCCAACTTTTTCCACCCATCCTGTCTCACAGGGAGAGGGCAGAAAACTGAGAAGCACTGGTAAAGGTCATAGTTCAGGGGCACAGCCTCCCTAAAAGACTGAGAACTAATCACAGGAATATAGAAAACCACTTTGCCTTACTACCATATTATTAAAGGCCTATTTACCCTATACATCATTTTACCCCACGAATCATGTCTACCTTTTAACAGAAAAATTATAAGGTATCCAAAAAGGCAACAAGTATGGTTTGAAGAGACTGACAAGCATCAGAACCAGAGTTAGATACATCAGAAATGTTGATATTTAACCAGGAATTAAAACAAATAATTACTAGTATGCTAAGAGCTTTAATGGATAAAGGAGACAACATGCAAGAACAGGTAAATAATGTAAGCAGAGAGATGGAGATTCTAAAAAAGAGTAAAAACATGTACTAGAGATAAAAAATACTGTAGCAGAAATGAAAAATGCCTTTCATGGGCTTATCAGTAGACTGGACATTCCTGAGGAAATAATCTGTGAGCTTGAAGATATATGACAACAGAAACTCCCAAAACAGAAAAGCAAAGAGAAAAGAGACTGAAAAAACAGAACAGAATATCCAAGGACTGTAGGACAACTAAAAAAAGGTATACCATTTGTTTAATGCAAATACCAGATGGAGAAAAAAGGGAAAAGGAACAGAAGAAATACTGGAAGCAATAATGACTGAGAATTTCCTTAAATTAATGTCAGATGCCAAACCATAGATCCAGGAACCTCAGAGAACACCAAGCAGGATAATTGCCAAACAAAATCTGGGCATTTTATATTTCAAATTTCAGAGAATCAAAGATTTTTTAAAATTTTTGAAAGAAGCCAGAGTAAAAACTCCTTACCTAGAGAGGAGCAAAGGTAAGAATTGTCTCCATCTCCCCGAAAACTATACAAGCAAGAAGAGAGTGGAGTGAAACATTTAAAGAATTAAAGAAAAAAACCCCATCAACCCTGAATTTTGTACCCTATAAAATTATTCCCAAAACTGAAAGAAAAATCAATAATTTCTCAGCAAAACAAAAATGAGGACATTTGCTGCAAATATACCTGCCTTGCAAGAAATGTTAAGAAAAGTTCTTTAGAGAGAAGAAAAATTATATAGGTCAGAAATTCAAATCAACATAAAGGAACAGCATGGGGGAATGTGTAAGTGAAAGTAAAATAAAAACTTATTTTACTTATTCTTAATTAATCTAACACAACAATTTGTTCAAAATAATATCAACAATGTATTCAATTTTATAGATATAAATATAGATATGTTTACATATAAGTAAAATGAATGACAGCAATGAGGCAAGGGAGGGAAGGGAAGAATTGGAAATATCCTGTTATTACAAAGAATAACAGACAATAAATTGTGACAGAGCAAGACCCTGTTTCAAAAAACAAAAAGAAAAAAAAAGAAATTGCACTATGGTGAAGTTGTGTAGTGTTTTTTTAAAGTGGGCTTGGATTTGTTGTGAATGTATATTGCACACTTTAAGACAACCACTAAAAGAGAAAAAAAAGAAGCATGATGAAGCGTGACTAATATGCTAAGAAAGGAGAGAAGATGGAATTATATAAAATACTAAATTAAAACAACAAAAGGCAGAAAAACTATGGAAGACAAAAATAAAAACAAAGAAAAATGGCAACAGATAGAAAACAGTAAAAATGTAGTAGATATTCATCCAACTATATTAATAATCACTTTAAGTGTCAATAGTCTAAATAAACCAATTGAATGGCAGAGATTGATGAGTAGATTAAAAAAAAAGACCCAACTACACGTTGTCTGCAAGAATTCCACTTTAAATACAAAGACATATATAGATTAAAAGTAAAAGAAGGAAGATAGATATACCATGCTAATACTAATTTAAAAAGTAAAAGTAGCTATATTAATTTCAGACAGAGCAGACTTCAGAGCAAGGAAAGTTATCAGGGATAAAGAGGAGCATTATATAATGATGAAGAGGTCAGTTCTCCAAGGAGATATAAAAACTTTAACATATATGACAACAGATTGTCAAAATATGTGAGACAAAAACTGATAGAACTGCAAGGAAAAATAGATGAATTCACTCTTGTACTTACAGACTTTAACACTCTGTCAGAAATGAACAGATCCAGCAGGCAGAAAATCAATAAGGACATAATTTAACTCAACAGCCCCATCAGTCAACTGTATATAATTGACATCTATAGACTACTACATCCAACAACAACAGTTTACACATTTTTCTTAAATTCACATGGAACATTTATCAAGATAGATCAAATTCTGGGCTGCTGAAAATACACCTTTAGAAATTTAAAATTACAGAAATTAAAAAATGTCTGCCCTCAGACCACAGTGGAATTAAACTAGAAATTGACAACAAAAAGGTAGCTGGGAAATCCCCAAATACTTGGAGATTAAACAACATGTTTCTAAATAACACGTGCTCAAAGAAGAAATTTCAAGAGAAGTTTAAAGATATTTTGAACTAAATGGAAATGAAAATACAACTTATCAAAATTTGGGGAATGACGTGAAAGCAGTGCTTAGAAGGAAATTTATAGCATTGAAAGCATATATTAGAAAAAGGAAAGATTCAATAATCTAAATCTCCACCTTAGGAAACTAGGAAAAGAATAAAAATTAAATCCAAAGTAAGCAGAAATAGTAAAAAATAAGTGCAGAAATCAGTGAAATTTAAAACCAGGAAATCAACAGAGAAAAACCAGCAAAACCAGAAGCAAAAGGCCAGAAGCTGGTTTTTTTTAAAAGATCAATACAACTGATAAGCCTCTAGCCAGGCTAAGAAAAAAAGAAGGAAGACACAAATATTAGTATCAAAAATGAAAGACGAAACATCAGTACAGACCCCATAGACATTAAAATGATAATTAAAATGATAATAAATAAATATTATGATCAACTCTATACTCAATAAATTGATAACCTAGATGAAATAGACCCATTTTTTGGAAGACACAAGTTTTCAAAACCCAAACATGAAGAAATAGACAATCTAAATCGTCTATAGCTATTAAAGAAGTTAAATCAATAATAATATTCTAAAAAAGAAATGACTCATCTGTCATGAACCTACCATGACAGATGGGTTCACTGGTGAATTCTACAAAATATTTAAGAAGGAAATTACATCAATTTTCTGCAATCTCTTCCTAAGGAGAGAAACAGAGGGAATACTCTTTCTATGAGACCAGCATTACCCTAAGACAAAAATCACATAGACATTACAAGAAAGGAAAACTGAAGACCAATACCTCTCATGAATTTATAAATGCAAAACTCCTCAACAAAATATTAGCAAATTGAATCCAATAATTTAAAAAAAGAAATATACAATATGACCAATTGGAATTTATCCCATGTATGCAAGGCTGATTTAACATTTGAAAACCAATTAATGTAATTCATCACATCAAAAAGCAAAAGAAAAAAAATCACATAATCATATTAATAGGTGCAGAAAAAGCATTTGATAAAAATCTAACCCCCATTCATTATAAAAATTCTCAGCAAACTAGGAATAGAGTGCGAATTTCCTCAGCTTGGTAAAAAATAGCTACAGAAACCTATATCTAACATTATACTTAATGGTGACTAAGATTGGGAATAAGGCAAGCATGTCCTCTTTCATCAGTGCTTTTCAACATTGTACTGGTAGTCCTTGCTAACACAATTAAAGAAGAAAATGAAATAAATAAATATTATAGAGACTGAGATTAAACAAGTAAAATTTTCTTTGTTTGAAGATAACATGATTTCTTACATAAAAAATCTGAGAGTCAACAACAAAAACTCCTGGAACTTATAAATGATTATAGAAAGCTTGCAAAATACAAAGTTAATATACAAAAGTCAATTGCTTTCTTATATACCAGCAATGAACAAGAGGAATTTGAAATTAAAAACATATATCAATTCTTTTCAACTTGATCTATAGGTTTAATGCAATCTCAATAAAAATCTCAGCAAGTTATTTTATGAATATCAGCAAACCGATTCTAAAGTTTATATGCAGAGGCAAAAGACCCAGTCAACTCAATATTGCAGGAGAAGAACAAAGTTAAAGGACTGACACTACCCAATTTCAAGACTTACTATACAGCTATAGTATTCCAGATAGTGTGGTGTTGTTGAAAAAACAGATAAACAGACCAATAGGCAAGAACAGAGAGTCCAGAAATGGCTGAAAACTCCCCAAATTTGGGGAGAGAAATGGACATCTAGATTCATAAGGTGCAAAAATCCCCAAATAGTTTGAACCAGAAAAGGAATACACTGAGACACAGTATAATTAAGTTGTCAAAAAGACAAAGATAGAGAAAATTTTGAAATCAGGAAGAAAAAATTGACTCACATCACATACAAGTAAAGTACCATAAGACTATCAGACAATTTTTGAGCAGAAACTTTGCAGGCCAGGACAGAGTGGGATGATATATTCAAAGTGCTGAAAGGGGGGGAAACTGTCAACCAAGAATGCTTTATCTGACAACGTTGTTCTTCAGAAATGAAAGAGAGATGAAGACTTTACCAAACAAACAAAAACTGGAGGCATTCAATACCACTAGACTTGACTTACAAGAAATAATAAAGATGCCAGGTACAGTGGTTCATGCCTGTAGCCCCAGCACATTGGGAGTCTGAGGTGGGAGGATCACTTGAGCTTGGGAGGTCGAGGCTACGATGAGCTGTGATTGTGCCATTGCACTTCACATGGGCAACAGAGAAAGACTTTGTCTCAAAAATAATAGGAAAAAATTGACCAGGTTTGGTGGCTCATGCCTGTAATCTCAGCACTTTGGGATGCTGAAGTAGGTGAATCACTTGAGGTCAGGAGTTTGAGACCAACCTGGCCAACATAGCGAAACCCCGTCTCTACTACAAATACAAAAAACTTTAGCCAGGGGTGGTGGCAGATGTCTATAATTCCAGCTACTCAGGAGATTGAGGCAAGAGAATTGCTTGAACCTGGGAGGCGGAGATTGCAGTGAGCTGAGATCATGCCACTGCATCCCAGTCTGGGCAACAGAGTGAGACTCTGTCTCAAAAAAAAAAAAAAAAGGAAAAAAATAATAAAGGAAGTTCTTCAAACTGAAAAGAAAAGGATGCTAATTAAAAATGTAAAAACATGACTGTACAAAGCTCATTAGCAAAAAAAGTATAGTTAAATTCAGAATTCTGTAATATTGTAATTGTGCATAAACTGCTTTCAACTCTAGTAAAAGAGTGAAAGACAAATGTATTTTTGAAGCCACAGTAATTTGTTAATGGATACATAATATTTAAAAATTTACATTGTAGCATCAATAAGTTGAAATGTGTGTGGAGGGGAAGTAAAGTATACAATTTGTATATGCAAATGAAGTTGTATGACCTTAAAATTGGTTGTTATAACTATAATGTTTTATGCAGCCTCATGGTAACCACAATAAAAAAACCTGTAGTAGATATACAAAAGATTCGGAGAAAGAAATCAGAGCCTGTCACCACAGAAGTAATCAAATTGTAAGGGAAGACAGCAAGAGAGAACGAAAGGAACAAAGGAAATACAAAACAGTCAGAAAACAATTAACAAAATGTCAATAGCAAATCCTTACCTATCAATAATTACTTTAAATATAAATGAATTAAATTCTTCAATCAAAAGACATAGAGTAGCTAGATGGATTAAAAAAAAAAAAAAACAAGATCCAAGTACATGCTTCCCACAAGAGACTCACTTTAGCTTTAAGAACATGCATAGGCTGAAAGGTGAAAAAAATAGAAAAAAAAATTCCATGCAAATGGTAACCAAAAGAAAGCAGGATGGCTATACTTACATTAGAAAAAAAGAGCCTTTCAATAAAAAACTGTCAACAGAGACAATAGATCATCACAGAGTGTTAAATGGGTCAACTCATCAAGAATATATAACAATTATAACTATATCTGCACTAAATGTAAGAGCACTTAACTATATAAAACAAATATTAAAATAACTGAAAGGAGAAATAAACAGCAATATAGTAACAGTAGAATACTTTAATACCCCACTCTCAACAATGGATAGATCAACCACATAGGAAAATCAATAAGCAAGCAGTGGATTTGAATACCATTGTATAATCAATGGACCTAACAGACACATATAGGACATTTTATCCAACAGCAACAGAGTATACCTTTTTCTCAAGTGCATATGGGACAGTCTCCAGGATAAATTATGTGTTTCAAGAAGACTGAAATCATATCAAGTATCTTTTCTGACCACAAAGGTAGGAAACTAGAAATCAGTAACAAGAGGAAAATTAGAAAATTCACAAATCCATGGAAATGAAGCAACATGCTCCTGAATGACCAACAGGTCAAAAATAAATCAAAAGGGAAATTAAAGCTATTATGAGAGAAACAAAATTGAAAACACAACAAACTAAAAGATATGGATGCACCAAAAGCAGTTCTAAAAGGAAAGTTTAGGCTGGGCGTGATAGCTCACACCTGTAATCTCAGCACTTTGGGAGACCAAGGCGGGTGGATCACCTGAGGTCGGGAGTTTGAGACCAGCCTGACCAATATGGTGAAACCCCATCTCTACTAAAAATACAAAATTAGCCAGGCATGGTGGCACATGCCTGTAATCCCAGCTACTCGGGAGGCTGAGGCCGGAGAATTGCTTGAACCCGGGAGGAAGAGGTGGTGATGAGCCGAGATTACGCCATTGCATTCCAGCCTGGCAACAAGAGTGAAACTCTGTCTCAAAAAAATAAATAAATAAAAAATAAAAGGAAAGTTTATAGCTATAAATGCCTATATTTAAAAAGAAAGATATCAAATAAATAATCTAACTTTACACTTTAAGGAACTAGCAAAACAAGAACAAACCAAGCCCAAAGTTAGCAGAAGAAAGAAAATAATAAAGATTAGTGCTAAAATAAATAACACAAAAACAGAGAAACAATGAAAAAGAATAAAACGAAGAGTTAGTTTTAACAAAAATAAACAAAATTGATACACCTTTAGCTAGACTAACCAAAAAAAGGGATGACTCAAATAAATAAAAAGAACAAAGAGGAGACATTACAAATGATACCACAGAAATACAAAAAGGACCACTATGGACAACTATATACCAATGAATTGTATAACCTAGAAGAAATGGATAAATTCTTAGAAACATATGATCTATGGATACTGAATCAGAATCATGAAAAAAATAGAAAGCCTGAACAGACCAATAACAAATAAGAAGATTGAATTGGTTATCAAAAACCTCCCAACAGGCCAAAGCCCAGGAGCATAAGTCTTCACTGGTGATTTCTACCAAAATTTAAAGAATAGTTGATGCTAAGTGTTCTTCACTTCTCTTAAAAAATTGAAGAGGAAGAAACAGTTTCAACCTCATTTTATGAGGCCAGTATTATCTCCATAATAAAGCTAGATAAAGACATTACAAGAAAAGAAAAGTACAGGTCAATATCCCTGATGAACATAGATGCCAAAAATTTTGACAAAATACTAGCAACCAAATTCAACAGCACATTAGAAGAATCATACAGCATGATCATGTGAGACTTATCCCCATAATGCAAGGATGCTTCATCATGCACAAATCAATAAATGTGATATACCATATTAACAAAATGATGGATAAAAAGCATGATTATCTCAATACATGCATAAAAAGCATTGACAATATTCAACATCTTTTTATGATAAAACCTCTCAACAAATTGATATAAAAATAATGCACCTTAACATAAAAAGGCCATACATGTAAAACTCACAGATAATATTATATACTCAACTATGAAAAACTAAAACCTTTTCCTGTAAGATCAGGAATAGGACAAGAGTGCTCACTCTCACCAATTCTATTCAACATAGTACTGGAAGTTCTAGCCAGAGAAATTAGGCAAGGAAAAGAAATAAAAGGCATCCAAATCAGAAAGGAAGAAGTAAAATTATTCTGTTTACAGATAACATGATTTTATATATAGGAAATCCTAAAGACCATACCAAACAACTTTAGTATCTAAAACTAAACTAAAATTAATAAATGAATTCAGTAAAGTTGCAGGATACAAAATCAATATACAAAATCGTTGAATTTCTACACATTAATGACAAAAATATCTGAAAAAGGTATAAAGAAAAGAATTCCATTTATAATAGCATCAAAACATAAAATACTTAAGAAAAAATTTAAGGAAATGAGAGATATATGCACTGAAAACTATAATATATTGATGGAAGAAATTGATGAAGGCACAATTAAATGGAAAGATATCCCATGTTCATGGGTTGGAAGAATTAGTACTGTTAAAATGCCCATACCACCCCAAGTTTTCTATAGATTCAATAGAATCCCTATCAAAATTTCAATGGCATTTTTTTTGCAGAAATAGAACAAACAATTTTAAAGTTCATATGGAATCAAGAAAGACCCTGAATAGCCAAAGAAATCTCGAGAAGGAATAAAACTGGAGGCATCATCACACTTCTTGCTTTCAAACTGTATTACAAAGCTGTAGTAATAAAAGCAATATCTTACTGGCATAAAATCAGACACTCAAAATAATCAAAAATAAAGTTATTCCATATTTATCCTGGAATAAATCCTGTTCATATGCCAATGGAATAATAGCCCAGAAATAAACTTATGCATATATGGTCAAATAATATTTGATAAGGGTATCAAGAATAACAAGGGGAAAGGATGGTCTTTTCAACAAATGGTGTTGTGTTGAGAAAACTGTAATGTCCACATGTAAAAAAATGAAATCGGACCCCTATCTAATAACACTCACAAAAATTAACTCAAGATAGATAAAAGACTTAAACATAAGACCTGAATCTATAAAACTCATAGACAAAAACATAGGAGAAAACCTTCTTGACAATGATCTTGGCAGTGATTTTTTGGATATGATACAAAAAGCATAGGCAACAAAAGTAAAAATAAACAAGTGGAAATACATCAAACTAAAAGTTTCTGCACAGCAAAGGAAACAAGTAAAAGGCCACCTATAAAATAAAAGAAAATATCTGCAAACCATATATCCAGTAAGGGGTTAATATCTAAGATACATAAAGAACTCATACAACTCAGTAAAAAAACAAAACAAAACAAAACAAAATAACAACAATACAAATGGCCAATAGGTATATGAAAAGGTGCTCCATATCACTGATCAACAGAGAAATGCAAATCAAAACCACATAGAGGTATGAGGTACTACCTCACATCTATTAATATGGCTACTATTAAAAAAGACAAGAGATACAAGTGTTGATGAAGATGTGGAGAGAAGAGAACCTTGTGCACTGTTGGTGGGAATGTAAATTGGTATAGCCATTATGAAAACAGTATAGAGGTTTCTCAAAAAATTAATAATAGAACTGTCATTGATCAAGCAATCCCACTCATGGAAGTATATCCAAAGAAAATGAAATTTGTATGTCAAATATAGATATCTGCACTCCCATGTTCATTGCAGAATTATTCACAACAGTCAAGACAGGGAAACAACCTAAGTGTCTGTTGAGAGATGAATGAATTTTATACATACATGATGAAATATTATTTAGTCATAAAAAGGAATAAAATCCTATCGTTTGGGGGAAATGAGAAGATGTTGGTCAAAGCATACAAATGTTCAGTTATAAGATGAATAAATTTTGGAGATCTGATCTACAACAGGTGACTATAGTTAACAATAGTGTATTGTATATTTGAAAATTTCTGAGTGTTGTAGATTTCAAGTGTTGTCACTACACAAAATCATAATTCTGTGAAGTGATAGATGTGTTAATTAACCTGATTGTGGTAATTATCTCACATCGTATGTGTATGTCAAATCATTACATTATACACCTTAAATATATACAATTTTATTTGTCAATTACACCTCAATAAACTAGGTTAAAAACAACAACAACAAAAAAAAACTGATTACTTGTAAACCAGCAAGCACCATGACCTCATCTAGGGCAAATTAGGTACCTCTGCAGCCAGGTGATGCTGTCTTGCAATAGAGTCCTTTGGCTTTTTCTGGATACCATAAGTTTACCAGTAGATGTGATGATGGGTTGTCCTTTCCAGCCAGGTCACAAACAGCCACAGTTAATGTTCTTCAAATCAGCAAGTGCATTTTTAGCTTCAAGTCTCATTCATGCCATTTCCTCCCTATCAAGAATAGCTTTATATCAGTCAGAATCCTGGCAACAGGATCACTACATAATTTTCAGGGCCCACTGAAAGAAGAAAATGCAGGGCCTCTTGTTCAAATATATTAAGAATTCCAAGACTGTTGCAGAAGAGCATTAAACCAAGCATGGGACCTTTCTGAGCATGGAGCCCCATGTGACTGCACAGGAAACAGACAGCACATTCACCTGGAATTTTGAGGTGACTTTTAAGTTAAGGGATAATTTGCAGAGATGTGTGCAGAGCTGAGAAATCAATAATGAATATTGAAGTACCAAGACATTAGCTAGCAGCAGCAGCAAACTTTTGCCACCCTAGGCCTGAAGGGACACAGGAGAATAAGGAGTGGCCAGAACCTCATTGAGAGCTAAAGCAATAAATAAACAGCTACCCCCAAATAGATGTAGCTATAGAGAAACAAAACTACTGCCAGAATTATGGCAACACACAGAGGAAGTGGGAAAAATAATAACCTGTTATCTCTCCCTTTCCACCTTCAATGTCCAGGTGGTACCTATTATTGGCTGAGTCCAACCAGAAGCCAGAGGGCAAGGGAGCCAGCCCCTGGGTAATCTGGTTTCTGGACAGCCTCGTGGAGACTGGAAGAGAATAAAGAAAAATGGAGAGTGAATCTGGAAGCAAATATTTTAACCAGCACGATTTTCAACTGTTTTGTCTGTTTACACATTTTCCATTCTTTAGAAGAATTCTCATCAGCTTCAGCTACATGTTAGAATTATCTGGGGAGCTTTAAAAACTTTTATCACCTAGGTTCTAATCCTGGAGATTCTGGTTTAAATGATCTGGTGTACAGTTTGGATATCAGGATGTCTAAAGTCTTCCCAGGTGTTTCTGATGGGCAGCCAAGGTTGAGCTTTAGAGCAGTGTTTCTCAATCTCAGCAGACTGACATTTTGGGCCAGATAATCTTTTGTTGTGGAGGGATGTCCTGCACATTGTAGAATGTGTCTTTCATCCACCAGATGCCAGTAGTTCCCCCACCCACACTTTGTGACCACCGAAAATATCTGCAGACACTGCCAAATGTCCCCTGGGAGCAATGTTGCTTGCCCCACCCCTGTTTGAAAACCACTGCTTTGGAACAGGGGTTCTCAGAGTGTGGTCCCTGCACTGGCAGCATCAGCAGAGCAGGTGGAGGTGAGGTTGAGAAGTTGTTAGAAACGCAAATTCTCAGCCCCCATCTCAGAATTAACTGCATAGAAAACTCTGGGGTGGGGCGCCAGATAATTCTGATGCATGCTCAAGTTAGAACCACTGCTTTAGAGCCTGAATTGAGTTTCTATTCTTCAGAAAGGACTTTAAAAAACAAAATCTGTGTCAGCTTTTACCTATAAACTTGTACCTTTTATTTGAACTTCTAGGGTACTATTTTCTGTATTTCTCATGTTAATAATCATATGTTTGTTACCAAATCAGTAACTTTGACACTGGGTTATTTTAGGCAAGTTTCTTCTCCTTAACAAGATTTCGTGCTCTTCAAGAACAAGGACTGCCAAGATGACACTCAGCAGACTTTACAGCCTAGTCCTGCTTGGGGAGGAGGTGGAGGTCACCTGGGGAAATGACTCTATGAGAACTGACCTTAAATTCACTCATTTCCCAGGTAAGCACTTAGAAGTGTATCAGGGAAATGCTTCTCAGACTTTCATGTGCAAATAAATCTGGAGATGTTAAAATGCAGATTGTGGATCACAACATACTTTCAGTGGCAAAGTGCTTAGGTGCTCACCAGTCAGTCACTTGCACCTAGTAAGTCAGACAGTCCAACAGTCAGAGACTACAGAACAACTGGGTGGTGCTGGAGGTTAAAACCTTCCTGAAAATGGCAAAAGGAGCTTCTAGAAGGACCCAAAATGATTCATACCCTTGTTAGCTGATTTCATTTGGCAGTGATTGGTCATCTTAATATAGTTACGTTCTTGTAGCTTTTACCGATATTAAAGGAACTTTGTTCTTTGTGCCTTCTAGTACCTTTCTGTCAACCACTGAGCCCTTGCAACAACTGTCAAAGTCTATATAGCATTCTTTTGCTTTCTCTCAACTCCAATTTAGTGTTATATATTTGATCAATACTTAATAAAATAGATGAATAGGAGGGGGGATCATGGCAGATGGGAGGCAGGACTAGATTACAGCTCCCACTTGGACAGACAGAGCAGTGTTTGGAGGTTCACACTGAATTTTTGCTCCAAAACAACTGCAGAAACAAATCAGAAAACCTGAGAGGACCCACCCTGAAGGAATCAGAATGCTCCTGAAGGACCCAGGAGACACCCCATATACTGTGAGTGTCCAAACTGTAGAACTGGGAAAGGGAGATCATCCACCTCTGAACACACACCCCCACTGGGGAAATGGAAGTCCTAGGTTACAGAAGATTTTGACCTTACCTGGAGTTGAGTCAATTTAGAGAGTCGAGAGAAATACAGGGGTAGAGGAAACAGCAGGAAAAGCCATGGCAGCTCTGTGAGTCCCCTAGCAAGCTGTTTTTGCCTGGCCTCACAGGGGTCCTTTGGGAGGGTGGCCAGAGGTGATGGGAAAAGGCCACAGGGAGAAGGAAATCTCCAGCAGAACTTTGTAACACTTTGAACTGATTGAGAGGCCTCCTGGCCAGAACTTGGGGAGGGCGTGAAGCCGGTGTGCAGACTCCACAGGCAGAGGAAGAAGGAAAGCCATATTTGCTTCTGCAGCTGGGTATGTGGCCCTGCTCACCCACTGCCTGGAAACAGACTTGATGTTGTTGTGGGGAGCATGGTGGGAGTGAGACTGGCCTTTCAGATTGTGTGGGAGCTGGGTGAGGCCTGTGACTGCTGGCTTTCCCCCACTTCCCTAACAACTTTCATGACATAGTAAAGACAGTCGTAATCCTCCGAGGGCTATAACTGCATTGACCTGGGAACCTCACCCCCATCCCCAACAGCAGCCGCAGCAAGACCCACCCAAGGAGAGTCTGAGCTCAGACATGCCTAGCTCTACCCCCACCCGGTGGTCCTTCCCTACCCACCAAAGACAAAGGGCATATACTCTTGGGAGTTCTAAGGCCCTGCCCACCACCTGTTCCCCACCTTACTACCACAGCTGATGCTCTCTGGAAAGTGCCATCTCCTGGCAGGAGGCCAGCCAGCACAAAAATAGTGCATTAAACAACCAAAGCTAAGGACCCTTACAGAGTCCATTTCACCCCCCTGCCACTTCCATCAGAACAGGTGCTGTTATCCATGGCTGAGAGACCCACAGACAGTTCACATCACAGGACTCTGTGCAGACAATCCCCAGTACCAGCCTAGAGCCTGGTAAACTTGCTGGGTGGCTAGATCCAAAAGCAAGAAAACAATCACTACAGCTTGGCTCTCAGAAAGACACATCCATAGGAAACGGGGGAGACTACTACATCAAGGGAACATCCTGTGGGACAAAATAATCTGAACAACAGCCTTTAGCCTTAGACCTTTCATCTGACAGAAACCACCCAAATGGGAAGAAACCAGAAAACCGACTCTGGTAATACGACAAATGAGGTTCTTTAACATTCCCCCCAAATCACACTAGCTCACCAGCAATGGACCCAAACCACGAAGAAATCCCTGATTTACCTGAAAAAGAATTTAGGAGGTTAGTTATTAAGCTAATCAGTGAGGGACCAGAGAAAGGCTAAGCCCAATGCAAGGAAATCCAAAAAATGATACAAGAAGTGAAGGGAGAAATATTCAAGGAAATAGATGGAATAAATAAAAAACATTCAAAACTTCACAAAATAATGGACACACTTTTAAAATGCAAAATGCTCTGGAAAGTCTTAGCAATACAATTGAACAAGTAGAATAAAGAAATTCAGAGGTTGAAGACAAGGTCTTCAAATTAACCCAATCTAACAAAGACAAAGAGAAAAGAATAAGAAAATATGAACAAAGCTTCCAAGAAATATGGGATTATGTTAAACAACCAAACCTAAGAATAATTTGTGTTCCTGAGGAAGAATAGAAATCTAAAAGTTTAGAAAACTTATTTGGAGGAATAATTGAGGAAAACTTCCCCAGCCTTGCTAGAGACCTAGATAGCCAAATACAAGAAACACAAAAATACCTGGGAAATTCATCGCAAAAAGATCATCACCTAGGCATATTGTCCTCAGATTATCTAAAGTTAAGACAGAGGAAAGAATCCTAAGAACTGTGAGACAAAAGCACCAGGTAACCTATAAAGGAAAGCCTATAAGATTAACAGCAGATTTCTCAGCAGAAATCCTACAGGCTAGAAGGGATTGGGGTCCTTATCTTCAGCCTCCTCAAACAAAACAATTATCAGCCAAGAATTTTGTATCCAGTGAAACTAAGCTTCATATATGAAGGAAAGACACAGTCTTTTTCAGACAAACAAATGCTTAGAGAGTTCACCACTAACAAGCCACCACTACAAAAACTGCTAAAAGGAGCTCTAAACCATGAAACGAATCCTGGAAACACATCAAAACAGAACCTCTTTAAAGCATAAATCTCACAGGACCTATAAAACAAAAATACAATTTAAAAAACAAAAACAGGTCGGCTGCAGTGGCTCACACTTGTGATCTCAGCACTTTGGGAGGCCGAGGAGGGTGGATCATGAGGTCAGGAGATCGAGACCATCTTGGCTAACATGGTGAAACCCTGTCTCTACTAAAAATACAAAAAAAAAAAAAAATTAGCCAGGCTTGGTGGTGGGTACCTGTAGTCCCAGCTACTCTGGAGGCTGAGGCAGGAGAATGGCATGAATCCAGGAGGCAGAGCTTGCAGTGAGCTGAGATGGCACCACTGCACTCCAGCCTGGGTGACAGAGTGAGACTCCATCTCAAAAAAAGCAAAAACAAAGACAAAAACAAAACTTTGAACAAAAAAAAAAAACAAATAACCAAAAACCAAGGTATACAAGCAACAAATAGCATGATGAATGAAATGGTACCTCACATCTCAATACTAACATTGAATGTAAATTGCCTCAATGCTCCACTTAAAAGATATGGAATTGCAGAATGGGTAGGAATTCAACAACCATCTGCTGCCTTCAGGAGACTTACCTAACACAAAAGGACTCGCACAAACTTAAGGTAAAGTGGTGGAAAAAGACATTTCATGCAAATGGACACCAAAAGTGAGCAGGAGTAGCTATTCTTATATCAGACAAAACAAACTTTAAAGCAACAGCAGTTAAAAAAGACAAAAAGGGACGTTGTATAATGATAAAGGCCTTGTCCAAAAGGAAAATATCACAATCCTAAACACATATGCACCTAACACTGGAGCTCCCAAATTTATAAAACAATTACTAACACACTGAAGAAATGAGACAGACAGCAACACAATAATAGTTAGGGGACTTCAATACTCCACTGACAGCACTAGACAGGTCATCAAGACAGAAAGTCAACAAAAGAAACAATGAATTTAAACTATACCCTGGAACAAATGCACTTAACAGATGTATACAGAACATTGCATCCAACAACCCCAGCATATACATTCTATTCAACAGCGCATGGAACTTTCTCCAGGATAGACCGTATGATAGGCCGTAAAACAAGCCTCAATAAATTTAAGAAAATTGAAATCATATCAAGCACTCTCTCAGACCACAGTAGAATAAAACTGGAAATCAACCCCAAAAAGAACCTCTAAAACCATGCAAATACATGGAAGTTAAATAACTTGCTCCTGAATGATCATTGGGTCAAAAATGAAATCAAGATGGAAATTTAAAAATTCTTTGAACTGAACCACAATAGTGACACAACCTATCAAAATCTCTGGGACACAGCAAAGGCAGTGCTAAGAGGAAAGTTCATAGCCCTAAACGCCTACATCAAAAGGTCTGAAAGAGCACAAACAGACAATCTAAGGTCACACCTCAAGCAACTAGAGAAACAAGAACAACCAAACCCAAACCCAGCAGAAGAAAGGAAATAACCAAGATCAGAGCAGAACTAAATGAAATTCAAACAAACAAACAAACAAACAAACAAAAAATAAATAAAACGAAAAGCTGGTTCTTTGAAAAGATAAATAAAATTGATAGACCATTAGCAAGATTAACCAGGAAAAGAAGAGTGAAAATTCAAATAAGCTCAATGAGAAATGAAACAGAGATACTACAACTGATACCACAGAAATACAAAAGATTATTCAAGGCTACTATGAACACCTTTATGTGCATAAGCTGGAAAACCTAAATGAGATGGATAAATTCCTGGAAAGATACAACCCTCCTAGCTTAAATGAGGATGAATTAGATACCCTAAACATACTGATAACAAGCAATGAGATTGAAATGGTAATTTAAAAATTGCCAACAAAAAAAAAGTCCAGGACCATACGGATTCACAGCAGCATTCTACCAAACATTCAAAGAAGAATTGGTACCAATTCTATTGACAGTATTCCACAAGCTAGAGAAAGAGGGAACCCTCCCTAAATCATTCTATGAAGCCAGTATCACCCTAATACCAAAACCAGGAAAGGACATAACCAAAAAAGAAAACTACAGGCCAATATCCCTGATGAACATAGATGCTAAAATCCTTAACCAAGTACTAGCTAACTGAATCCAACAACATATCAAAAAGATAATCCACCATGATCAAGTGGGTTTCATACCAGGGATGCAAGGATGGTTTAACATATGCAAGTCAATAAATGTGATACACCACATAAACAGAGTTAAAAGCAAAAATCACATGACCATCTCAATAGATGCAGAAAAAGCATTCGACAACATCCAGCATCGCTTTATGATTAAAACTCTCAGCAAAATTGGCATACAAGGGACATATCTTAATGTAATAAAAGCCATCTATGACAAACCCACAGCCAGTATAATACTGAACGGAGAAAACTTGAAAGCATTCCCTCTGAGAACTGGAACAAGGTGAGGATGCCCACTCTCACCACTCCTCTTCAGCATAGTACTGGAAGTCCTAGCCAGAGCAATCAGACGAGAGAAAGAAATAAAGGGCATCCAAATTGGTAAAGAGGAAGTCAAACTGTTGCTCTTTGCTGATGATATGATTGTTTACCTAGAAAACCCTAAAGACTCCTACAGAAAGCTGTTAGAACAGATAAAGGAATTCAGCAAAGTTTCCAGATACAAAATTAATGTACAGAAATCAATAGCTCTTCTGTACGCCAACAGTGACCAAGCTGAGAATCAAATCAATAACCCAACCTCTTTTACAATAGCTGCAAAAAATAAAATAAAATAAAATTCTTAGGAACATACCTAACCAAGGAGGTGAAAGACTTCTACAAGGAAAACTATAAAACACTGCTGAAAGAAATCATAGATGACACAAACAAACGGAAACACATCCCATACTCATGGATGAGTAAAATCAATATTGTGAAACTGACCATACTGCCCAAAGCAATCTACAAATTCAACACAATTCCCATCAAAATACCACCATCATTCTTCACAAAATTAGAAAAAGCAATTCTAAAATTCATATGGAACCAAAAAAGAGCCCACATAGCCAAAGCAAGACAACAAAAAGAACGAATCTGGAGGCATCACATTAACTGATTTCAAACTATAAGTAAGGCCATGGTCACCAAAATGGTATTGGTATAAAAATAGGCACATAGGCCAGGGGGGGTGGCTCATGCCTGTAATCCCAGCACTTTGGGAGGCCAAGGCCGGAAGATCACTAGGTCAGGAGTTTGAGACCAGCATGACCAACATGGTGAAATCCTGTCTCTAATAAAAATACAAAAATTAGCCAGGCATGGTGGCACACACCTATAATCCCAGTTACTCAGGAGCCTGAGGCAGGAGAATCACTTGAACGTGGGAGGCAGAGGTTGCAGCGAGCAGAAATCATGCCACTGCACTCCAGCCTGGGTGACAGAGCGAGACTCTATCTCAAAAACAAACAAACAAACAAACAAACAAACAAACAAACAAACGGCACATAGATCAATGGAGCAGAATAGAGAACCCAGAAATAAACCCAAATACTTACAGCCAACCGATCTTCAAAGCAAACAAAAACATAAAGTGGGGAAAGGACACCCTTCTCAACAAATGTTGCTGGGATAATTGGCTAGTCATACGTAGGAGAATGAAACTGGATCCTCATCTCTCACCTTATACCAAAATCAATTCAAGGCTGATTAAGGACTTAAATCTAAGACCTGAAGCTATAAAAATTCTAGAAGATAGCATTGGAAAAGCCCTTCTAGACATTGGCCTAGGCAAGGATTTCATGACCAATAATCCAAAAGCAAATGCAATAAAAACAAAGATAAATTGCTAAGAGTTAATTAAACTAAAGAGCTTTTGCATGACAATAGGAACAGTCAGCGGAGTAAACAGACAGCCCACAGAGTAGGAAAAAATCTTCACAATCTATATGTCTGACAAAGGACTAATATCCAGAATCTACAATGAACTCAAGCAAATCAACAAGAAAAAACCAACAATCCCATCAAAAAGTGGGCTAAGGACATGAATAGACAATTCTCGAAAGAAGATATACGAATGGCCAACAAACATGAAAAAATGCTCAACATCACTAACGATCAAGGAAATGCAAATCAAAACCACAATGCGATACCACCTTACTCCTGCAAGAATAACCATAATCAAAAAATCAAAAAATAGAGTAGATGTTGGCCGGGATTTGGTGAACAGGGAACACTTCTACACTGCTCGTGGGAATGTAAACTAGTACAACCAGTATGCAAAACAGTGTGGAGATTTTTTAAAGAATTAAAAGTGGAACTACCATTTGATCCAGCAATCCCACTACTGGGTATCTACCCAGAGGAAAAGAAGTCATTAAACCAAAAACATACTTGCACACACATGTTTTTAGCAGCACCATTCACAATTGCAAAAATGTGGAACCAACCCAAATGCTCATCAGTCAACGAGTGGATAAAGGAACCGTGGTGTATACATACAATGGAATACTACTCAGCCATGAAAAGGAATGAATTAATGGCCTTTGCAGCAACCTGGATGAGATTGGAGACTATTATTTTAAGTGAAGTAACTCAGGAATGGAAAAGAAAACATCGTATGTTTTCACTCATAAGTGGGAGCTAAGCTATGAGAATGCAAAGGCATAAGAATTACACAATGGGCTTTGGGGACTCAAAAGAAAAGGTGAGAAGGAAGTGAAGGATAAAAGACTACAAATAGGGTGCAGTGTATGCTGCTGGGGTGATGGGTGCACTAAAATCTCACAAATCACCACTAATGAACTTATTCATGTAACCAAACACCAGCTGTTCCCCAATAACCTATGGAAATTAAAAAAATTAACAACAAAAAAGTAAAGTAACTACATTAAATGAAAAAATAAAATAAAATAAGGCTGGGCACAGTGGCTCACGCTTGTAATCCCAGCACTTTGGGAAGCTGAGGTGGGCAGATCACTTGAAGTCAGGAATTCAAAACCAGCCTGGCCAACATGGCAAATCCTGTCTCTCCTAAAATACAAAAATTATCTGGGCATGGTGGGAGGTGCCTAATAAACTCAACTACTTGGGAGGCTGAGGCAGGAGAATAACTTGAACCTGGGAGGCGGAGGTTGCAATGAGCTGGGATCGCTCCATTGCACTCCAGCCTGGGTGACAGAGCGAGACTCTGTCGCAAAAAAAAAAAAAAAAAAAAAAAAGAAAGAAAGAAAGAAAGAAAAGTGAGGTGAATAAATGAATAAGCCTTCATTGACCTTTTGGATTTTATACCTCCAGATAAACCCAGTTAATGTGGTCCCTAACCAAATTGTGGGCACTTTTATAAACTGAACTACTGTTTCATTTACTACACTTCCATCCTTCAAATCCAGTCAAAGAGGCTAGATGTGCAAACCCCTAAGCTAACTTTGGGCTATTAACACCAGCAAGTTAACTCCACAACCTTACTTCTGATTTATAACATCTTCATGACATTTCCAAAGTACAAAGACAGAACTAGGATTCCCTGCCTTGTAAAAATTTGAAAAATCGCTATCATTGAAATACTGACAGATTTTATGACTAAATCATCCCTCCCATTTTCTTAAAAAAATTGGAGTACTAGTTTCTGTTCCTTTATTTGGTATCTCTTTGCCAAAACTTAAAATCCTAACATTCAGAAAGTTATTTTTATGTATTTTTACCTAATACTTTTTTTCTGCAGTTAAAGTCCATTTCTACTTATTATGGCCTTTGGACACATGTGGAAAATTTGACCTGTACATAAGTACTTTATGTGTTTGAAACCTTACTGTATTAGAACAATCTGAAATTTTATTTGGCTAAAATAAATAATCCTTACTAAAATCCATTTTTCTTTTCTTCCCTTTTCCTTGTTGGCAATTCTATCAAAATAATGAATAAGGGGGAAATCTGTACCTCCAGAGATAATTGAACAGGCAACAATAAGCCGCCTGGGGTTTATAACTAAGCAGGGAATGTGTTAGGCCGTCCTATCAAGTGTTGCTGGGAAAACATTATCTGGGAAGATTTTATGGGAAGAAGACAACTTCCAAATAAGGCTCAAGTTCATAATGGAAAAGTTAAATATGATTTTTTTAATAGTTGGCAGAGTACCCCAACACAATACATTACTATTTCAGACTTCTCATGAGTTATGTCCTACTACAAAGATAATGGAAGAGATGCGTACTTACAGCTTTATTAACAACCTCATAATTTGTGTCTATTGTGCCAAAGACTTACCACAACTTAATCTCTCAGGGAACCATAATGCCATAGGGACAGAATCTAATGTCGGCTCCTATCTTCAGACAGAGCTACAACTAAACCATCCTTCCCAATTTTTTTTTTCCTAAAAATTGGAGGACTGTTTTCTGTACCTTCCTTGGGTATTCCATTACCAATGTTAAAAACCCTAAAATTCAGAAATTTTTAAAAAAATTTTTCACCTGAAGCTCTTTTTCTGCTGTTAAGTTCAGCTGCTACTTATTTTGGCCTTAACAGAGATACAGAAAATTTGATCTGCACATGAGCACTTTATGCATAGGAAACCTTACTATATTAGGACAATCTGAAATTTTATTTGGCTAAGATAAATAGTCCTAATTCTGTTTACTTCTCCTCAAATACCCTATTACTTAAGCCTCAAATCATCTTTATTATATCCTTTTAGGCCTCTCTAACATTTCCATGTCCTTCTAAGTTGTGCTTCTAAAACTTAAGTACAATTGTTTATTAAGGGCTCATGCAATGCCCAGGAGAAGGAGGTGGTTTGTATTCTTAAGATTCTTATATGTTTCCCTTTTACTTAGATAACTCAGAAGCAACCTGATTTTTGTCTTCCCATTAGGAACTCTTGCTTGAAATAACCCTTGTTTAAAATTGGGCATTAACTTCCAGTTTAAAATGTTAGACCGAGCACAGACATCTACCTCCTGTTCCTTAAAAGATGCTTTTGAAATGACAGCAAATATTTTCTTTTAATGAAAGCAGAACAATGCGGAAAAACATGTATTTGTCAAAAATGTGAAAGAATTCCTAGAATACTGAAAACATATGTGAACCAATAGACAGAGACAGAGCAGAGGAAACCATAGCCCAAGATAACAAGAATACGTATGGGATGTTCTCAGGAGTCCCAGGAAAGCTCCAAGTTCAAAATCACTAAAGGCAAAGGGTAACAGTGGCTAGTTCCAGGTTATTCCTTTAAAAGAGCATCCCTAACCACTCCCACCATAAGTGGCCAGCAGTGGGAATTTTTGTCCTTGGGCAAAAGCCTGAAAATTACACTTTAAAGGAAATGAGTGATTTTTGCCCAAAGCTTTGTAGTTAGGGTTTTGGGAGCTGAGAAGGAATCAGAACCTAGGCTGAGTATTTCCAGAATATACAACAGATATGGAGGGGCTCTGCTTCTACATCATCACCATCCCCACTCTGGCTGATGGAGGAACCACCACATGGAACATTGTCATTTGATGTCGCAGATGTAAAAGGAGAGTTCTAGAGGCCTTGGAATAAAAATTTTACATGTGGAAACTTAAAAAGTTGATCTCAGGCCGGGCGCGGTGGCTCATGCCTGTAATGCCAGCACTTCGGGAGGCTGATGTGGGTGGATCACCTGAGGTTGGAAGTTCGAGACCAGCCAGACCAACATGGAGAAACTCTGTCTCTACTAAAAATACAAAATTAGATGGGTGTGTTTGGTGCATGAGTGTAATCCCAGCTACTCGGGAGGCTGAGGCAGGAGAATCGCTTGAACCTAGGAGGCGGAGGTTGCCGTGAGCCAAGATCGCGCCATTGCACTCCAGCTTGGGCAACAAGAGCGAAACTCTGTCCAAAAAAAAAAAAAAGAAAAGAAAAAAGAAAAAAAAAGTTGATCTCAAAAAAAAGAAAAAAAAAGTTGATCTCATAGAAGTAGAGAGTAGAATAGTTACTGCTAGAGACTACAAGGTTTGGGGGGAGACAGTCAGAGATTGGTTAACAGATAGAAAAGTATAGCTAGATGGGAGAATAAGTTCTAGTGTCCTATAGCACTATAGAGTAACTATAATCAACAATTTAGTGTATATTTTCAAATAGCTAGAAGAGTGGATTTTGAATATTCCCAACACAAAGACATGATAAATGTCTGAGGTGATGGAAATGCTGATTAACCTGATTTCAGCATTACACATTGTGTGCATATATAAAAATATCACACTATCTCATAAAGGTACAATTATTATGTGTCAATTAAAAATAATTTTAAAAATCTGAGTTATGGACACTTTCTTAAAAAAATAAAACAGAAAAAAAGCAACATACATGTACACACAATTTTGCAAACCACTTTAAGAGATTTGCCTCTAAAACTTATCCACAGAGCTCTGGCAGCACAGGCCCAGGTTAGGAACCTTAGAATGGTCTTACTTGGAATCTGTTTGGACCTCATGATGCTGACACCTGCAGCCTAAGAGCTGGAGTGAGCACATGGATGGGGCAAGACAGTCCATGCTTTTGCTTCTGGGAGCAGGAGTGTAGTCTCTAATTCTGCCTCTAACATTATAGCGGTTCTCTAGGACCGCCTCATGTGAGTGAGGAAATGCAAAGAACCAAAGGCTGCCTGATAGTTGTGTGTGGTAGGGTGTGGTTCCACAGGAAACAAGTTTCCTCTGATCCAGTGGCCACTGTGCTGTGAATTCTTGACTTTTGTATACCACGCAGCAATTCACAGAGCACTTTTATAAACGCTGTCTCATTGGACTCACGAATATCTCTGGAATCATGAGGTCAGGAGCAGCAGTCTCATTTTACGAAGTAAAGCAGTGAAGCCTCAGAAGGGTTAAATGACTTGTTGAGGGTCGCCCAACCAGTTAGTGACAGGGTTGAGACTAGGTTTTCTGACCATAATCAAACAATTTTTCCATTTTACCCGCCCCCGCCAACCCCGGCCCAGGCTAAACTTCTGTGTGAGTAAAATGTGGAATATGATTTTGGACTCTTGAAAAAGCCTCCTTTCTCTAATAGCACACAAAGACTTTCTATTCACAAGCAGAGAGACGGCTCAAAATGCAAAATAAATTTATTATCACCAGGAATACTTGCTATAGCTATTCGAGAACAGGGGCTGGAGGCAATAGGGACTATCCTGTGTGGTAGTCTGTAGGGAGCCTGTGTGAGGCACTGGATGCCCGAGAAAAAATATAGAGATTAAGTAGATTCCCTAACACAGCTGTTGGGCCCCTACTTCCCAACAGGGCCTAGAGCTGGCCCTAAGAACATTAAAGAACAGCAGGAGGTTTGCGAGAGAAGGAAAAGTACAAATAACTTGTTTTGTAGAGGCCTAGCCATTTAGGAACTGGATCTACCTCAGCTGTGTATCTCCTAGCCCAGCCCCAGGGCTGGCAGAGAGTAGATGCTCAGGAGCCGTGTGTGCTAAGTGGAGGAAATGCAAATGGTAAACCGGCCCATGGAGGATCAAGATGAGTAACTATCTATGAGATACTCTGAGACTGTCAAAAATGACTTTTCTACCAGTGACATTGTCAACTGGCATACCATTGGTTAGAAGGCAGTATTGGAACTCAGAAAACTGGGGTGGACAAAGAACTGAATATAATTTTTTGGTTATTTGGGAGTGGGAGGGTCACATACTGGCAGGTGGTGAACCCAGTGACCCAAGAGACCTCTTTTATTTGTGAGTCCCCTATGGTTAAATAACAAACTGCTTTTCACAGTTTGGTAATTCAGTGGTTCCTTTCCATAACAGGAAAAAAAAATGAAAGTAACTAACCATCAACTAAGACCTTGAATTCCCTCAGCTGAGAGAAGAGACTAATGCACATAGGTCATAAAAAAAATTAAAGTTCTGCTGCAGCAAAGAGGGAGAGACAAGGCTGTGCTAACGATCTATCTCATGCTTTCTTGTTGTATGAAGAAGGCCATGATGACAGCTAACTTTCAAGACCTCCAGTATGAATCAGTGGCATGACCACTGTGCTTCCCTAGGTAGACCCTGAAAGAAGCACAGAGAAGAGAGTCTGGTGGGGAAATCCTACCTCCAGGATTTAACCCTCCTCCATTTCTCATAGCGTAGTTGAGTAACCCCAGCAACATCCTCTAGCCCAGGGTTTCCCAAACCAAAGTTATTTCTTTATAATGGTCACAATTTTTGTCTTATCCAAGTACCAGCTGTATTTGTATTTCTTTGACATTTTCCTGTAAATTCATCTACATTTTTAAACCTGATGCTAGAGCTTAACACCAACTGCTTGTTCAGTATACAAGCAATTATTTTTCTAGAAACAACAAAATAGCTTCAGTTTTTTGTGTGTTTTGTGGCCTAAAAGTACATTTTTTTATTATGATTTTTCTTTGAATATTAGGTTCTTGGGGAATGACATCACTTAAAACAGAAACTGGGGAAATACTTTGTATAAGCCTTTAAAATGTGGTTAAAAGTTGGGAAAAAACAGATTCTTCCAATCAATGATAGTTTTGGAAGAAAGTGGTGTACCCAGAAAACTTCTCTCTCTCAGTCCTTGGTTGTGCAAGTAGGGAAGGAGGTGACTTTCATTCAGAAAATGAAATATAATAAGAATGAGGTAAATTTGGTCAAAATAATGACAAAGAAAATAAAATATTTCTTAAAGACAAAATCACACTGCAAGGCAATTTGTATTCACTACAGAAAGCTTGCCCAAAGTGAAACTTAAGCTATTTCAGAATTCTTAGTGAAGATTAAATCTCTCTAATTTGTTCCTACTCAGGGGAATCACAAGATGTGGAATTTACAGGTTTCTAACCTAAATGGTCTTTTGCAACTGAAAGGACATCCCTAAAGAATAAGGAAAAGATTGGCCTCACTGGCCTCTCAGGGAATGGCATGGTTTTGGACTATGTAAATCAGCAAATGTATTGCTTTCTTACCAAGTTCAGAGTCTGCATTTTGTAAACCCAGGAGCACAAAGGTAAAAGATAGAAGTCCTACTCTGTGTGAGTTGTAATTGAGTGAAAGGAAAACAAGCAAACAAAAAATTGCAGTACATTGCAAGTACTGAAGGCAGTAAGAACTGACATGTATTTAGTGATCATCATATGATACACATAAACCTACCAAATCCTCATGAAGATACACTTCACATATGGAGAAACTGAGACACAAAACAATCAAGCCATTCATCAAGGTGGCAAAGTTTATAAGTAGCAGAACCAGAAATCAAATTGAGACTGGTTCCAGGGCCTTAGGCATCACAAGTTGGGGAATCTTCAAAGAAAGTGATCTGAAGATGAAGAAGAGCTTACCAGGCATATGGAGATCAAGGGGCGAGAAGCTGAGATATGACACTCCAGTCCTAGAAAACAGAGTATATGAAACATCTCTGAAATGACTATTTAAATATGATGAGTTGCTAGATGTGCTTCAAAGTGAATTATGAGGCACAGTTCCCACCTTCATTACACATTTATTAAGCATCTGTTATGTGCCAGGAATTATATTCCACAGTAGGAATATGGCCATCAAGAGGACACCATCCCTCTCCTAGGCCAGAAGGGTCATTATATGTGATTTGAAAATCCATTGAGTTTGGATAAATTGTTTGAGAAGGGTGGCATAAACTCTTAACCTCATAAAACTTAATTAGAACTGGGAAATCTGTCAAATTTGGGGGTTTTGTTTTACACCTCGATAAAAACAAACAAACAAGCAACAACAACAAAGATTCCTCATCCTTTCCCCACTGGCAAAACACTTTTATTTTCCATAAATGCTTTAATCAGTTTGGAGTGTTGGTTTAAACGTTTAGAGTGTATTTGAGAGCTTTAAGTATCAAACAGAGTTTTAAAGTGGCTTTTCCTGTTAACACAATGTTTCTTGTAACCAGTGAGTTGTGCCAAAACTCACTGTAAAGTAATACTGTCAGGTGGGGTTGTATTTTGGCAGTAATGCATCAACCTTTTGAATGGCACTACATTTTTTCTAAGTGTTCAGTTCACATTTTGTCTTTGCGCACAACTTCCAGAACATCACTTTGCCATCTTGTAAATCGGTTTGCATTATTTGTGATAATACTTACCCTTTATTATAATTACCACAAGTCATGGGAAGGTTCAACTGTTTCACTAGTTAACTGAGAACAACAAAGTCTAAAGTTTCATTGAAATCACATGTAATGCTTGTGTTCCAAGGTCAGCTGGAAACTAATAGGAATAATTTAAGCCATGATATCCCAACTGAGGCTGAGCCACGCTAATCATTCTGCAGGTCATACTAGAGTGATTCTGGAAGGAAAAAAAGACATCCCATTTCTCCCTCATTAAGTATACTGAAGACCAACTTTGTAGGAGGAAAGGATTAATCTATAGCAGGGTGGTCACAGTTCATGCCTGGAGAACCACTCACAGGCAACCCTTGGCAGCCAGGAGCCACAGCCAAGTGGGTCTTAGGGGACTAAAGAGCTGATTCCCCTTTCTCCTTCCTTTTTTTTTTCCTTTTAGGTGTCTCTTCTCTCTTCCATAATCTAGCAAGTGTGGAACCAGGGGATTCTGAGAATGTCTAGAGTCCCTTGGAAAATTTTCTCACTCACCACCTTCCAAAGCTGTAAATGTCAGGAAGCTTTGAGAATGAGGAAGGAAAGTCTTGCCATTCTGCCAAAACAGCCAACTGGAAAGCTCCCTGTGATACCCACTGGCCTTTTGTCTAAAAATTTCTAGCCCTTTACCTGTAGTCATTATTTTTATTTGATAAAGTCATAAGGGACTTACCTTCTTCACCATGAGTAAAGGAGCCTGTCTCAGTCTGCTTTGTGCAGCTATAACAGAATGCAACAAACTAGGAACTTTATTAAAAACAGAAATTTATTTCTCACAATTCTGGAGGCTGGGAAGTCCAAGATCAAGGGGCCATATCTGGTGAGGGTCTTCCTGCAGGATCATAACATGGCAAAGGGCATCCTATGGGTGAGAGATAAAAGGGGGCTGAACTTTTCTTTTTATAACAAATCCATTCCCGAGATAACAAACCCACTCCTGCAATAACAGCATTAATCCATTCATGAGGGCAGGGTCCTCATGACTTAAACACCTCTCAAAGGTCCCACCTCCCAGTACTGCTGCATCGGGGATCAAGTTTCCAACACATGAACTTTGGGGGACGCATTCAAACCACAGCAGAGCCTCTTCTCTCTTCAAGCTTTTGTCAGGCACTTCCCAGGGGTGCCTTTTTTCTTCTGTGAATAAAATCAAGCTGGGAAGACTGCTTCTATGAACTGCAAACTTAAATAAAGAAGAAGAAGAAAATATGTCTAGGCAAAATAAATATAGAATACATATAGTCATCATCTGCCTAATTGTGGCATTTTAAACAAAGATGGAAGAGAAAATAATTTTATAGGCTATTGGAAATCCTGAATCTGTTAGTCCACAAAGTAAACGCAAGCTTATAAAACTGGAAATTCCCAGGAGACCACGTTACTGCCCCCCACCATACGAACCCCATTTTCTCCATTTGCTTTGAAGGAAGGAGAATGGGAGTGGGGGAAACAAGAGTTCTAAGTAATATATTTTTCTGCTTTTGGAATACATAAAGGTTCTACACAGACCTCTAAGTAACAACAGTTTTCAGGAATGTTGAAGAGGGGACATAATTGTTGACACAGAGGATGCCAGACCAGGGATCAAAGAGTTGCCTCTGGCTATAAGAAACTTAGAAGCTGCTGGGTTGTGCTTCCTTAACCCTCATACTGCTATTCACACCAAACTTGGGCACTTACCAGAATCTCCTCTCTCTATCCCTTTTCTTTGCTTTCTAATTCCCTTTGAATCTTAATCCCTATAGTTATTTATGCTTTGCAAAATGCATTCATAAATTATGATGAAAATGAAATTTCATCTGAAATTGCTGATAGTAGCCTGTTTTGCCCTACAAATGGGTATTTAGTACAATTTAATATACTGCCTCATTTTATCACCTTGATACCCTTTTTGCAGACACAGCCTGTTAACTGTGGTGAGACTCAGCCCCAGAGATCATATAACAAAAGAAGTGGCTGACCTAGAACTTGAACCTGGGTGTCTGACTCTAAATCCAGTACTCTTTTCTCCCTGCACTGCTGCTTCCTGCTTCTTGGGCTGACCCTGCAAGAGAAGAACAAGAAAAAAGGAAGATGTGTCTAGGTTCTGGGTTCTTCACTGTGGATGAACCACCTTTGCAGGTCCCAGGCAATCTTCTCCAGGCAATCTCTCCTCCAGTGCTCAAGATATCAAATATATAAAAATGCACCCACATCTCGTATTACTTATAATTTTTATAAATTTTAAAAATTGATGCTTATAATTGTGTATTTGAAACTATTTGGCTATGAATAACACATAACTTATAATTGACTATGATTTCTTGATCACTTACAAAATGATGAAATCTAGCCTACAAATTGCTTTCAAATATAATGAAAATTTCATGAATTCTAAATTTAACACCCAATGAATTTGGCATGGAATTACCTTTTGGAGATATTTAATTAAACATTTATTAATTTTAGTTTTGCCCTTTTTGCATTCAGAATAAATGCTCTTTTTTTTTGTAATTTCAGCTTTTAAACTGTTTTTTAGGTCCTCAGAAATCTCATAGGCCCCAGATGTTATGCATTTTATGCCCAACGTGTAAAAGAGCTTGGCAAAGTCCACTGGCTCCAGCGAGCATGGCCATTCATTCATTGCCCATTTTGTGTGCACTATATATGGAAGAAGACATGGTCTTTCCCATCAGACCTAAGGCAAATACTTTGAAAATTTATTGTCACTAAGAAGCCTCCCTGACATTACCAATAAATATACTATTAGAGAGTCTGCTGATCCTGCACCAATGTAAGCCAGCAAAACCTTGAGAAATTGGAATTTCTGGGTCTTCTAGAAAGGAATTTGGGGTGTCTCATAGTTAACCAGAAAGCATGTTTCCTTTAGTCCTTCTTGTTTTAGCTTACTCTCTAGCCCTAGTGAATAGCATATGTGGAAAAAAATGAGATCTTTCATGATGATGATTATCACGAATAGGCTCTGAAGGTGCATCCATTTGGAATGATCCAGAAATAGTTTCTGGACATTGATTTTCTTCTTTAAAACAAAATTTCTGCTTAAGACTATTTCTATGGCCTTGAATTTTTTGTGACAAAAGTGGAGTGCAGCAAAAATTCTGAGTTACCTTTGCTAGTTAGTGTTTTTGCGATGTCACAATACAAAAAGCCAAATGAAACATTTAATCAATGTAATAGATTATTAGCTGTCTGCTCTGAAACATTATCTTACTCAAAAAATTTGAGAAAAAATCCTTTAACTTCACGGGCAATATTTTATTCTGCACCTAATATTATAGGCCCTTATCTTTCCCTATATCACGACTTCTAACATCTTCAATAGGAGATATATTTTTCTTTTATATTAAGGAAAAAGATGTTTCCTCAAACATTTATCATGATGCTGATAGACTTAGCAACTACTCTAAGCTCCACACTACATTAAGAAAAGAAGTCTCAGTATTTCTGGTCTATAAAGAAGAATGATGATGACACTCTCCTTGCTCTGATTCACTCGTTGACTCATTCTGTACACACATTTATTCATTTAGCAAATGTTTATTGATCATCTACTCTGTTAGGTACTAGCAAGACACAGTATTAAAAACTGGAAATGTCTTCACTTCGAATTTAGTATTTTATCACTAATAACACACACACACACACACACACACACACACACCAACAATATCCAACAGGATGGTGTAAATAAATAGTGGTCCCAGTACCATTATTTTTTGTTTCTGGGATTTTAGTTCAATAAATGCTATTTATAGGCAAGGCCCTACATTGGGTGCTGTGTATGAATATTTCTTGATTCATTTCTTCAACAATAATTCACAGAATGTCAACAATTTGCCAACACTTTGCTAGTCGCTGGAGCTACAGAGGTTAACAAGAAGCAGTCCCTCCTCTCAAAGTGTCTCCCCTTTCTTATGGGGTCAGCAGACATATACATGAACATATACAAACCACATAATAGGTGTTACAATGGAACCGGCATTCCAGACAGAGTGGGAACACACCCAGGGAAGGCTTCTCAGATGAGCTTTGTAAGCCATTTTGTTATCCAGACCCTCCAAGGATGCGTGTGCAGCATCCCTAAGGGGAATTGTTTATATTGTAGACATCATTAATCAGTATATTTTAAACAAGAGTTTTTAAAGTTAACAAAATTAGTATAGTTCAACATTTCTCCAACAGAGGAAAATGAAGGGTCTTGAATAAGGTGTGTGTTTTTCTAGTGTGCATGGAGATGCCACATAAACTAGAAGGCTGTGGAAGAAGGGCATTCCAGTTATGGAAAATGTGCACAGCATAGATCAGCATGGTGCATTGGAGGAATTTTAACTATTATATAGTTTTATATGATTGAATTATAGGGTGCCAAGCTCAGGTGTAGTGAGAGAGGCTGAAGACAAAAGCACAGGCTCAATCACATTTTTTTTCCTTCCTTCCTTCCTTCCTTCTTTCCTTCCTTCCTTCCTCTCTTCCTCCTCCCTCCCTCTTTCTCTCCCTCTTCTCTTCTCTCCTCTCCTCTCCTTTTCTTTCCTTTTCTCTCTCTTTCTTTCTTTCTTTCCCTTTCTTTCTTTCTTTCTTTCTTTCTTTCTTTCTTTCTTTCTTTCTTTCTTTCTTTCTTTCTTCTCTCTCTCTGTCTCTCCTTCCTTCCTTCCTTTCTTCCTTCTTCACAGAGTCTTGCTGTATTGCCCAGGCTGGAGTGCAGTGGTGTGATCTCAGCTCACTGCAACCTCTGCCACCTCCTGGGTTCCAGCGATTCTCCTGCCTCAGCCTCCTGAGTAGCTGGGACTACAGGCGCATGCCACCATGCCTGGATAATTTTTGTATTTTTAGTAGAGACGAGATTTCGCCATGTTGGCCAGGCTGGTCTTGAACTCTTGGCCTCAAGCAATCCAACCACCTCGGCCTCCCAAAGTGCTGGGATTACAGGCATGGGCCACCACACTGGGCCTTGATCACATTCTTTTAATACCTACACTTCTACCCAGGCCTGTTGTTAGCTTTCAGCATCATAACTTAATGTGATATAGTTTTCCCTTCTTCTATAGTAAACGAGATGTTGATCCTTCACAGGATCCCATTACTTAAGTGGGGATGTTGTGACTTCATTCTAATTTCTTGGGGCATGTATAAAAGTCAATGAGGGATTTATCAATACTATTGAACTCCATAGAGGAAACCTTCCTCCAATCCTGTATTCTTAGTGCTTTTTTTAATCATAGGACAATCTTTCTCAAGTCATGGATCTTGTGTTTTTTGGCATTACAAAAGAATCTCTAGGATTCTATGGATCTGAGAACTATTTTTAATGCAAACCTCCTCATTATGCAGCTTTTTCACTCAGGTTATTCAATATTATTTCCTTTATCTTACTAGTCCTTTTACCCTAACTTGGTTGGATAGAAGTCTCTTTCACTGTCTTTCATTAACATCATCATTTTTTATTTGTAGCATATGGTTATAGATACAGCTTAGTGTAGGTGAAAATATCATTATTCTTAAAATGAGCAGAACAGTGGGATCTAATATCTTCAGTAAAAGCTCTTTGTTTGCAAATAGCCTACTGGCAAGCACCCTGGCCAGCATCCATTCTCCTGGGAGAGGGTCATGTTCCAACTGGTGAATGCCTTCTCCCACAGGTGAGCCAATTGGTAAAGATTTTGATTGACACCTCTGATTGTAAACAATAGTGAAGAACTTTGGCTAGGTTAAGAAAAGAGAAATTAATGGGAAAGACATGGAAGAGATAAAGAAACAAAAGTAAGACCAAATAATCATATTGGGAAAAGTTCAGGACTCAGGGCAGTCAGATTCTGGGTAGTAGAAAGTAATAGTATTGGCAAGTCACTGCCTCTAGACAGAGTAAGCACCCACCTGTCCTTGCTATGCTGTGCTCAAGACTCAGTCTCAGGAATGCAGTCTGTCTGGTGTACCTTGGCTCAGGCACTCATTCACTGGCTGGGGGAACAGGGACATCTTAATGGCAGACCTCTCAAGACTGTTCTTTATGGGGTCAGGTGATTTCCTAAAAAGGAAACTGGAGTCTTGTTACCAAAGAAGTAAATAAATAAACGTATGTGTGTGTGTGTATGTGTGTGTGTGTGCTCATGGTAAAAAAACTTCACAATTTGGCTGGGTGCAGTGGCTCACACCTATAATCCCAGCATTTTGGGAGGCCAAGTGGGAGGATTGTTTGAGGCCAGGAGTTTGAGGCCAGCTTGGGCAACATTGAGAGACCTGTCTCTACAAAAATTAAAATATTAGTCAAGCATGGTGGCACACACCTGTAGTCCCAGCTACTCAGGAAGTTGAGGTGGGAGGATTGCCTAAGCCTAGGAGGTCAAGGCTGCAATGAGTTATAATCTAGCTGTTGCACTCTAGTCTAGTTGACAGAGTGAGACCTTGTCTCAAAAAAATAAACAAAACAAAAACCCAAACCCACAATTGTCCGTTATGGTGTAGTATGGTATACTATACAGTATTTTTTCTCTTTTCCAAATTATGAAACTCTTACCTTCCTTTTTTCATGGAGGGGAGATGTTGGTAGAGGAGTTTTAAGAGCCTCCTGGGTTTTAGGAGCTAGGAAATGGTAAGAAACACACAGAGACAAGACTCAGGAGTTTATTTCACCATTTCGGATTTCCTCAGTCAGATTTTTTTTGTTCCATTTTATAATTATCAATCACATGAACTTGAAAATGTGAAAATAGAAGAAAGAAAATCATTGGGGAGAGGAGGATTTTTTAAAGGAAATTTTTTTTTGAAACTTGACTTAGAATAATGGGATTTCTTCAATTTGCTGTATGCAAAGTAACAGAGAGCTTAGTGTATCCCAGAGATGGATTAGACAGATGTAGCACTTAACTATTAACATTTGTGAGGTTCATTCCCACCAGTGAGATTTGTGAGCAACTTCCATGAGATTCTACGCAAAATCAGCTTAGTACTTTCCTCATTTGTCACTGCGCCGTGAAACTGGTAAAATATAGAGGAAACAGAAAATTGGGCACATCTGTGAATTTGGTTGTGCCCTGATTATAGCAATGCAGTTCCACAGATGTGCATGTTTTCACAGGAGAACAGGTTTCTATTTGACTCCAAGCTCCATCAATGCTCAGCTGATATTTTATAGCCCCCTGTGGGTTTAGCATACCCTCCCTTTATAGAGCCAAAACAGTAGCTTAGCTATAAGATTCACTGGCACCACTTTGGTACCTATTTTCTTAAATTATGGCAAATGGGGATTTGTGGCATACCTATATCAACTCCACCTACATATTTTCCCATGATAGTGCTTGGCACATTCATGCTACCTCTCAGCAGAGAGCCCCAAACATTTAGTAAACATTTATTCTTTCTTCCATCAAAAAGAGTTTGGTAACTTTCATAACTCCCATTTTATAGAAGCATAAAAATGAAAGGCCCTTAGCTTATTAAGGAAGGAATACAGAAGTATAAGTATTAATGATCTGTTTCCTTCTCAAAACAAAGTCAGAAGTGCTTGAAATTGAAATAACATCAGAGATGGTGTTGATATATTCAACTGTTTTCTGTGTCAGAGGTTCTCACAGTTGGATGTGCATGAGGATCATCTAGAAATCTGGTTAGGACAGAGACTGCCCATCGCCATCCCCAGAGATTCTGATCCTGGAAGTCTGGGGTGGGGTTCTAGCATCTGCATTTGTAACAAACACTTTTGCTCTAAGTGATTCAGAAAACCACACATTGAGAAACAAATTTTAAGACCATAAATAGAGAAACAAAAGCATAGTTCTCAAGAGACTACAAATCCTCTCCTTCTCCAACCACGCCCTGCCTCTCAAAATTATTCCATTTTTGAAAAATATTTCTTGAAAGCAGCTGTCATTGTCACCATAGTTGAGGAGTCCTCAGAAGGAGAACTAATTGCAAAAGAAAGGTAATAAAGTAAAAATTATAGCTTGAGTCTAGTTTTGGATTCATTTGTGTAGCTAATCAAGGGAACATGGCCATCTATGGCTAAGGATCTCAATTTGTCCCACCAGGGCTTGTAGTCTAGAACCACATGGGTTATTCAGAAGAAGCAGAAGCTGTTTCCAGGGGCAACCAACATCTCTAGGAATTTTTCTAACATCCATCAAATGGCTTATCTTGTGGCAAGTGAGCCTCCTAAAACACATTTGGCCTGTTACCATGATTCCACTAAAGACTTTTATGACCATGGTAATAATGACAGCTAACATTTATTATTTACTATATGCCAATCAACTGGTATTCAGTTTTGCATTTGATCCTCCTGACAATCTTATGAGGCAGATACTGTGTATAATGATTTTACAGTTGAGGAAACTGAGATAGATTAAATACCTAGCCACACAGACTAGTAAGGGTATGAAGTGAGTAAGCCTTGATTTGAAACATATTTTATATATCATTGAGTCCCTGCACATAAACGCTATCATCACATTGTCTCTCTTGGTAGAAGGACAGCGAGTTGGCCGGGCGCGGTGGCTCATGCCTGTAATCCCAGCACTTTGGGAGGCTGGGGTGGGCAGATCACGAGGTCAAGAGTTCGAGACCAGCCTGGCCAATATGGTGAAACCCCGTCTCTACTAAAAATACAAAAAATTAGCCGGGCATGGTGGCGCTCACCTGTAGTCCCAGCTACTCAGGAGGCTGAGGCAGGAGAATCGCTTGAACCCGGGAGACGGAGGTTGCAGTGAGCCGAGATCGTGCCACTGCACTCCAGCCTGGGTGACAGAGTGAGACTCCGTCTCAAAAAAATAAAACAAAATAAAATGAAAATAAAGACGGTGATTTACAAGGGCAAAGTTGTTCAAATGTCTTTGGAATAGAAAAGGAGGATATGGGAGAATTACGCCCACTGCTTATAGGCAGAGGAAAGTAGGATTCTCATTTCTCAGAAATCAGACTACAGAAGAGGATTGCACTAACTTACATACCGTGTATTATTCTCCATGTAATTATACTGAGTAAAATACCTTTAGAGTAATTGTATACATAATCAAATATTGCACAAAACTAAAAGCTTGAAAGTGCCTGCCAGCCTCCTCCCACCCTGGATCAAATGAAATCCTATGTACTAAACCATAGTTATAATTTTCCCCCTGGTTTCACTTGGATTTCCTTTAATAATGTTTGATTGTAATTAAAAATCAGTGTATATGTGGAATAGAGAAAGAAACCAAAATTACTCTCTTTTGTCTTTTAGAAAAGTGACAGTTATAAAAATGCTCAATATAATCAATTCACTCCCTGCCCCCACTATTGAACTAGCATTTTATCAACCACAAATATGCTTCTCCACATAAGACAGTAACTACAGTTCTGTGGTAAATGCAACAGGACTGAAGTCATTGCCAAAGAAGCATCAAAGCTTTCAGAGTGCTATTGATGTGCTCAGTTCATAACTCAAAGAAAGAGCAAAGAGAAGAAAGCCAATGGCAGGAATGGCTTCAGGCTATGCTTTCAAAATAGGTTTAATATAAAGGCTAAAATGGCAGTAAGATACTCATATATAAAACAGATACCTGCTGCTTAGCAAGCCGAATGGAATGAGTTTCCAGAAACTCTCAATGTTCAGGCACCACTGATCCCAGCAACAAAAGGCTTGAAAAAGATAAGAGATTCTAATAGTTTATTCTGACCTAATGTTGTCTGTGTGGGAAATCTAGAGATCTTAGTGATGAGGCATTAGGATTCATTCACTACCTTTGTCAGTCCTGTTGTTATTAGGATCAGGAGCCAGAATATTCACAGGTTCTGGGATCTAATTCTACTGTTCAGGATGAAGTGACTGACCACCATCCAGAGGCATGTCCTGGACATCCAGGAGAATCCTAGTCTGTTCTTGAGTAAACCCACTTATTGGGTTAAAAGTCAGTCACAGCCCTAGGTTTTGGAGGCACTGGCAGCAGCAATATTATTTGAGAAATTCTACTCTCTGCACAGCTACTCAGAGATATCTGACTTCACTTGTTTATAACACTGTCTTCTCCCTTTCTACCTAGCTTGATGTTGCCACTATTAGGGTTCTGCAGGGACTGAGGCTGAAATCAACACTTGCCACCTAGTCACAGACTTTCATGACAGCCATGTCTTTAATGGAGAAGAATCCCCTTTTCATTTCAGGAGACAACGTGTTATAGTGGGAAGAGGGCAGTGCTGGAGGACATACAGAATCTCGTCTAATCTGAGAGTTGTCATTTATTAGCTTTGACACATTAAGCAAGTTACTTAATCTTTCTGAGCCTCGATTTTCATCAGAAAGTTGTACTAAAACTCAACTTATAGGGTCATCCTAAGGAATGGAGATACTAGTCAGAGCTAAACAAAAGATGACTTAGTGTGGTTGTTGAGGTGATGAAAGCAAAGTAGAACAGTTAGTCTAGCTCTCATTTTTTTTTAAAGGATAGGGTTCATTTTGGCGATTTTCAAAAGAAGATGGAAGAAGGGAAACAAGGTCACCTGTTTTTCATGGTTGAGGGAAGATACCTGGTGGTAAGCAACTAACAATTTTCTCCAAAGAGAATGAGGTGGTACTAAGTGGGGGCAGAGATTGGTGGAGTGAGATGGGGTTGTGGTCCCTTTGGGAGATGCCAAAAGAAGAACTCACCAAAGATGACCTCAACTCCTTCACAACTCTTAAAGTCCTTCTTGACTCTACTTGAAAGCGGATGCTAAGTATAGCACTGGGCAGTTAGCTGTAAATGAAAATTATGGCATCTGAAAGTGAGATGATTGGGAAGTCAGTGACAGTCTTTATGCAAAGATCTCTGAGACCCCAAATTCTTCTTGCTAGAAATAGATAGGTATTCTCCAGGAGCGTCTGTGGCTTGTCATTAGAATATTCTTTTCCTGGCTGGGTGCGGTGGCTCATGCCTGTAATCCCAGCACTTTGGCAGGCTGAAGCAAGTGGATCACCTGAGGTCAGGAGTTCAAGACCAGCCTGGCCAACATGGGGAAACACTGTCTCTACTAAAAATACAAAAAAGTAGCCAGGCATAGTGGTGTGCACCTGTAATCCCAGCTACTCCAGAGGCTGAGGCAGGAGAATCCCTTGAACCTGGGAGGCAGAGGTTACAGTGAGCTGAGGTCGTGCCATTGGACTCCAGCCTGGGCAACAAGAGCAAAATTCCGTCTCAAAAAAAAGAAAGAAAGAAAGAAAGAAAGAAAACAAAGAATACCTTTTTCTCTGAGGTCTTAGGCACTAAGGCTGGAAACCAACATAAACCTAAAAGGAGAGGCCCTATGCCCACAGGCCATCCACAATGCATCAGAGAAGATTCCTCATCCTTTCCAGTCTCACAACTCTCCTCTCTGTTCACATGAGATTCCTGTGGCAGATATATCTCTTCTGAACAGCGCTTTTAGTCTACAGACTATAGACAGGCATACTGGTGTATTTTCTCAAACTTCTCCAGCAGTTAGTGTTTCAAGAACACAAGATTAATTAGAATTAATTATACATTTGAAAAACAAATCTGGCTGTTTGGCAGAAAACAAGAAGTAATAATTTTGTAGATCACATCTTTTTACATTTCTCCATTTAAAAATATGGATTTTGTTTCATTTTTTTATGGAAAATGTACTTTTGAGTCCAAGTGACATAACTAAAAGAACTGGTGATGATGAGTGAAACTCACATACCTATTTCCTCACAACCTTAAAACCTTTTTCTTAATTGGCAAGAACATTTTTTTTTTTGAGTTGGAGTCTCACTCTGTCGCCCATGTTGGGGTGCAGTGGCGTGATCTTGGCTCACGGCAACCTTTGATTCCTGGGTTTAAGCAATTCTCCTGCCTCAGCCTTCCGAGTGGCTGGGACTACAGGTGCATGCCACCATGCCTGGGTAATTTTTTGTATTTTAGTAGAGACAGGGTTTCACCGTGTTGCCCAGGCTGGTCTTGAACTCCTGAGCTCAGGCAATCCGCCCACCTCAGCCTCCCAAAGTGTTGGGATTACAGGAATGAGCCACCGTGCCTGGCCACATTTCTATTAAATGCATAAAAATTACAACCTTCTAAAAGAGGCCCAACTGTATATAGAAAATAATAAAAATCTATAAGGCGATGATTTTTATGACATCATGGCCTGTTGCTATGGAAACTATGATGAAGCAGATTGAACAATATTATGCCAATAGAAAAGGTAGGTATAACAAGGGTGAGAGTTGAGAGAGAGTGAAGTCCTATATTACTGCATAAATACCTTACATAATTAGAAAATGTAGCAGAAAAAATGTATAATATGGAAGTAAAAGGTAAATAGATTTCTGTTTGATTGGCTTGAAAATTATCCTCATCACTAAAAACAGAATCTTCAAACTTGAAATATAAAGATGATTACTTTTTAATTTAGTGTACATTTTTATACTACGCACAGCCACTTTGAACTCCTTAGTCTTCACCATCTGTATAACTCAATTTCTGTTTTATAAAAAAAATGGCTGACATCTGTTTAAACCTTAATATCTCCACAACCATGTAGAATGTTAACTCAAGCTTGATGTCATGTTAAATCACTTGAGCCTTAAAATAATATTAAACTTATGGTTCTGTTTCAACTTTGTAATGATACTACATTTAACCCTTCAGATATTCCAAACTGTTCACCAACGAAAAATCTTGGGCAAAAAAATGAAATCAATTGTGGACCCTTCATTTTCAAAATGATGCTCCATTAGGGATTGTCTAAAACCAACCCAGAATCTGGAATCTTAGAATATAATGGGCAGTTAAAAAGTCGGTAATTTAGTTTACACATGGGAGAGTCTGACCTCACTAAGACATCTTCTCTTACTGACTATGGCAGCTGATTCTGTGCCTGGGCCAACCCAAGTCAAAATTGTGAGGTTATGAGAATATCTTGCAAAAAAATGCAAAAATTAGCCAGGCATGGTAGTACGCAGCTGTAGACCCAGCTACTCAGGAGGCTGAGGTGGGAGGATCACATAAGCCCAGGCAGTTGAGCTTCACTGAGTCGTGAGTGTGCCACTGCACTCCAGCCTGGGTAACAGAGGGAGACTCTGTCTCAAAAAAACAAAACAAACCCTTGGATTTATAAAGTGTTGAAAATAAACTGAAGTCCTTCCACATTCATGTTCTGATTAAATTTTTAGAACAGCATTGGTAAATGCAGTGGTGAGGTACACCCCAGATTTCTCTCTCCACCTTCACCTTCAGGACTGAGGTTCCTGTTCTCCCAGCTGCCAGGATTCTTGCCTGTTGATGGCTGACAGTGAGTTCTTCCCCAGGAATTGCCCTGAGCCTGAAAGGTGCTGCCTCACACTAGTGTATGTCCCTGCCACAAGGGCAGCCCATATCCAATGAGGTCTTTGTCAAGAAGGAGGCGACAAAGACGAGGCCCCTCTCACCTCAATTCAAAACACCTGTGCAGGGCTGTCCCAGCTCCAGAGATTCCCCAGAGGATGGACTGAAGACTCTGTTGCAGTTCAACCTTTCCCACTGCTTAATCTTGTTCCTTATACACCCTCCCCCATACATATTGTTCCTACAAGTATCCTTAGTGAAGTCTCTAATTTTTGGAAGTAGGTCATCTGCTAGTTGGCTGGCAATGAGGTTCTCATCCTTGGTAAATAGATGGAATATGAACAGTCTCTAGCATTTTGTAGCCGGGCAATTGTTAAAACTTTATCTGACAGAGAACTGGGATGAAGTAGAAGGGAAAGGAAAGCACTGGCAGGTGCAACATCTCAGATGTTTGAGAAATTCAGAAAGGAGTAATTATAAAGACAAGGGAATTAGGTTGCTCTTGTTGAGTGTGATCAATGCATTGGAAATAGACAACGAAAAGGTGAGGGTAATTCATGACCAGTGTAAGGGAGAGTGTGAAATTCAGAAGCCTCCCCAGAAGCACATGAAAGGACAATCATCCCCTGCAGCCACAGAGCAGAAATAGTTGAGGATCAGGCCTAGGACTTAATTATAAGAGTAGCTGCGCACCAGAGAGAAATTTAAATTGTCAATCCCCCCAGCAGAGTCCTAGTTAGGAAGAAGTGGGACTCTAGGACCTGGATGGGGATATCTGGGTCAGTGCACTAAAGAACCTTGAAATCCCAGGTCCTCTTAGACCCTTGGCATATGCAAAAGTAACCCACTTTTCCCTATTAAAGGATAGCACTCCCCCTTGTTTGAAGACAACACAAAGTCCTCTGCTTTGCAGGACAACACATTCCCTCCCCTTTGCCCCTCCTTTAGAATTTACTCCCAATTCCACTCTTGGCTGCTCACCAGTTATTAGGGACACACCATAACATAACCTGATGGAGGATATGCTGGGCCTGTGAAGGGTGGAAAGGGACTAGGAACCGAAACAGTTGTATGACCTAGGAAACCAGGAACCAACAGAATACATATTGGACTTTTTGATGGCTCTGGATCAAGGTTTACTGGAATATAGAGCTGACTAAAGGTTAATTTATCAATATGTGAGCACCTTCCCATCATATGGGTGATCTTGGGCAAATACACAGGAGGCAGTGCCAATATATTGTTGGTCCATAGTAAGTGAAAAAGAAAGGGCAGAACTGCCATGCAAATGGTGAAAAATGGAATCAAAGGCTCAAAGAAAAGCTCAAAGAGGATATCCTGGGATAAATATACTTTATGAAGCCAAAAACACACCAGCCAACTGTGTTCCACAAGTTGGACTAAAAAACACTCTGTTTACTAAAGTAATAAGGACTATACTGAAGAGAGCTTCAGCATCCTTAAAGACTCAGTGATAACTTTCCTCTATAGACCAGGACAAATGTAGGAGATGCTGTTACAGAACTCAGTCCCCTAGCAGATGAGGAGATGATGGGATCTCAAAATAATGAAGGCCAAGTAGTGGTACTTAACAGTCAGCATCCAGGTTGATGGGACTGCCATAATGAGTACAAGTTCAGAGCACATCAAGAATTGTGCCTGACCTGCAGAGAGAGCGATAAAGATGCCTAGATCTCTAGAATAAGTTGGACAGTCAACAACAGTATTGTTCAATTTATATAGTCAGCAACAATTAAGGGTTGATTAGGGCTTAGAGCAGAATAGGTGCCCAGTTTCTGAATCTGAGCCAATTTTCAGATTCAGAACTTTTTGAATGAAGGGGAGCCTGGGCCATAAACAGGAAGACTCCAATATCATGGTGAGATTATTTGGTAATAATTTGCTTGTGCTTTGTCAAAACTATCTATGGCCATTTAATCCAGTAACTCATCACAGGAGGACAGTGAATACCTAAATATTTCAAGGACTATTGGACACAGAATTTGAATTAAAATTAATATTTGTTGATATTTGTCATCATGACCTCTTAGAATAGGAACAGTGGGAGCTACATAATAAATGAAGTCCTGGCTCAGGTTTGGCTATGGTGTGTTCCCTGAGTCCATGAATGCCCCCAGTGGTCATTTTGCCAGTACCTGAATGTATACTTGGATTGGACAGACTTGGGAGTTGGCAGAACTCAACATTGATTCCTTGGCCAATAAGATAGGAGCCATCATAGTGGATAAGGCAAGTGAAATTCTCCGAAACAGCCCTTAATTGTCCCCATCCTTTCTCATCCAAGATGGTAGACGAAAACCAATAATGCATCCAAGGGTCAAAGATAGAGAATAAATGTTACCCCTACAGTTAAAAGACTCAGAAGAAGTAACGATTAATTCCTAATTTATCCTTATTTAGTTCACCAACGTGTCTTCTACAAAAAAATAAAGTCAATCCTAAAGAATGATAATAGACTACGCAAACTGAACCATACAGTAACCCTATTTATCGCTACCATACTAATTATGGTTTGTTTGCTATAGCAGATTAGCATGGTGCATGCTCAAGTACACAGCATCCATTCACTGCCCTGGTGAATGTAGTCTTTTTTTTTTTTTTTTTTTTGAGATGGAGTTTTGCTCTTGTTGCCCAGGCTGGAGTGCAATGTCACAATTTCAGCTCACTGCAACCTCCACCTCCGGGGTTCAAGCGATTCTCCTGCCTCAGCCTCCTGAGTAGCTGGGATTACAGGCATGAGCCACAGTGTCCGGTTAATTTTGTATTTTTAGTAGAGGCAGGGGTTTCTCCATGTTGGTCAGGGTCGTCTCGAACTTCTGACCTCAGGTGATCCACCCACCTTGGCCTTCCAAAGTGCTGGGATTACAGGTGTGAGCCACTGCGCCCGGCCTTGGTGAATGTAATCTTTCCCATTCCTCTTAGAAAGAAAGACCAGAAACAATTCGAGTTCACATGAGAAAGCAACAATATACATTTATGATCTTGTGCCAGAGCTATGTTCAATCTCTTAGTTTCCATTACCCTATAGGACTGGAACATCTATACATTCTACAGAACATCATCTTGGTTCACTATTGATGACATCCTATTAATTGAACCAGATAAGCAAGTAGAGGCAAGTGTGCTGGAGGCGTTGGTAACATGCACTCCAGAGGGTGGGTGATAAATCCAACGAAGATTTAGGAGCCCATAAAGTTTTTAGGGGTCCCATGATCTGGGATTTTTGACAACATCCCCACTCAAAACAAAGGACAAATTATTTTGTTTTGTATCTCTGATTATTAAAAAAGGACCATAATGCCTGGTAGGGTTCTTTGAATTTTGAAGGAAGCATCTTTTGCATTTGAGAATATTGCTCTAACTCATTTACTGAGTGATAGGGAAGTCTTCTAGCGATGAAAAAGAAATGGCTTTGCAGAAGGCTCATATGACAGTACAAGCAGCCCTGCTTCTTGAAACATATGATCTACTAGACCATTGGTATTAGAGGTAAGTGTGGTGGAAAAAGATATTGTGTAGAGGTTGTGACAGGCTCCAAAAGGGGAATCGCAACATCGGCAGCTGACCAGAGCCACACTGTCTGTAGTGGAGAACTATATACTTTTCACAAAACGGCTACCCGTGTAATATTAGGCATAAAAAGTCTGCCCACAGTATAAGTGAGCATGCAGCCAGAACCACCTATCAAGGAGCTGGATTCTTTCAGAATCATCAAATCATATTAATTAAGTGAGCCCTGCAGCAATCCATTGTAAAAATGGAAGTGGCACATCTGGGATGGGGCACAAGTAGGTAGTATAGACCCCTTTGTCATGGTTCATGTCACAATGGTGCCTCTCTTGCAGATCATACTTATAGCTGAATCATCTACTTAACGTGGAAACAGAAGTGGCCTGAAATGAAAATAATATACATATGGATTTATGAGTAGAAGAAAATGGCTGGTTGGTCAGGGTGTTGGAAGGAGAAAGATTGGGAAGTCAGAAACCAGACAGCAGGTCTTGGGAGTGATCTTGAAGTATGAATATTTTTGTGTAGCATGTTAACATCCACCAGAAAGCACCCACCAGGAACAAGGCCCTTCCTTGTGGAATGTATGATAGATAGAGATGATCTTGTTGACAGCATAAAGATTTCTCTACCTTAAAGCAACAGTGCTCCTTCCACAAATATTTATCAAGTGGCTAGTAGGGATCAGGCACTGTTCTTGTGTTTGGAACAGATATATCAAGGGAAAAAACAGGCAGAAATCCCTGGGCTGGTGGAGTTCTAATTGCTGTACTCCACAGCTTACTTCAATTTGACATTTGTGAACAAAGCAGTTGTCTTCCTTACCTTGATCACTGTCAGGAGTGTTTTACAGGCAGCCAAAGTTTGCTTACCATGAGTGTGAGTCCCTTGTTTTCACTAACTTCTATGGTTTGAACGTGTTCCCCAAAAGTATATGTGTTGGAAGCTTAGGCCTCAATGCAGCAGTGTTGAGAGGTGGGACTTTTGGGAGGTGATTGGATCATGAGAGCTCTGTCCTTAAGAATAGATTAATGGTTTATCATAAGAGAGGGTTAGTGATCATGAGAGTGGACCTGTTATAAAAGCCAGGTTGGCTCTCAGTGTGCTCCCTTGTCTTATGATGCCCCACACTACCACAGCACTCTGCATAGAGTCCTCACCAGCAAGAAGGTCCTCACCAGATGCAGCCCCTCATCTTTGGACTTCCTAGCCTCCAGAACTGTAAAAAATATATTTCTTTTCTTTATAAATTACCCAGTCTCAGGTATTCAGTTGTAGCAAAAGAAAACAGACTAAGGCACTATGCCTCCACGTCAGGGGTTGGCAAATTATGGCCACTGAATGTTTTTATAAATAAAGTTTTATTGGATCACAGTTACAACCATTATGTCTGTAATTGTTTTTATGCTAGTACAGTAGAATTGAGTAGTTTTGACAGAGATTACATGGCCCACAAAGTGTACAATATTTACCATCTGAGCCTTTATAGTAAATGTTTGCCAACTCATTCTGTGCAAGGGCTCTTGCAAAAGGAGGATTTTGAGTTTGAAGAACTTTGTAGCGACAGGAACCTCCCAAAGTGAGGAGAAAGCCTGACTCAGCTCTTTATGAGAGCCTGACTGCAGCCTTATCATAGCTTGTCTTCAGTCTGAGATGGACATTTTATAGATGAAAGCTACTGCTTTGCAACTCAGATTTGTGTCCTAGACATAGGAGGACAAATTTTGAGACAAATTTTAAAATAGAAACATTATTTGGCTGAGCACGGTGGCTCATGCAATAATCCTAACACTTCGGGAGGCTGAGATGGGAGAATCACTTGAGCCCAGGAGTTGAAGACAAGCCTGGCAACATAGTGAGACCCCATCTCTACAAAAACATTTAAAAATTAGCTGGCCATGGTGGCATACGCCTGTGGTCACAGTTACTGAGAAGGCTGAGGTAGGAGGATCACTTGGCCTGGGAGGTCAAAGCTGCAGTGTGCCATTAGTGCACCAATGCATTCCAGCCTGGATGACAGAGCAAGATTCTGTCTCTAAAAAAAAAGGAAGAAACTTATAATTCAACAACTATTATTGGCTATACACCAACAAATGAAATAGATTTATTCCTTTCCCTTATGAATCTTACAGTCTAATGGGGGAGACAGATACAAGAAATTACAACATAAGTAAGTATTTAATTACAAACTGTGAAAAATGCTATCTAGGAAAATAGTAGCCTTGTTGTGGCTTCTCTTTCCATTGTACTGGCATATGATAAGAGGAAATAACAGGATGGGGGTGAGGGCCCTCTTGCTGTTGGGGATTCTCTGCAGAGTCCTGAGGTGGCACAGGGCATCACAACCACCGTTACCTAGGTCAGGGAAAGACCTTGGGATCTGCAGGATCAATAGGAGGTAACCAAGTAGGGTGGAAGGGAGAACATTCCAGACAAAGAAACATCATGGAGGAAGTCACTGAGGTCAGGAAGAGAAACAGAAATACAGGAATATGCAGCAGAAGTGCAGTTAACAAGGGTAAAAGGGGCTGAAGATGAGACCAGAGTTGCAGGCAGCAGATTTGTAAGCCATGGGAAGGAGTGGAATTTCATTCTAAGAGCCATGGAATGTTTCAGCATGGATGATATGGCCTGCCTGGTGCTTTGAGAAGATTATTCCAGCTACTGTGTAGAAAATGGATTACAGGGTACAAATGTGAATGTCTGGAGAAGAGTTCTGAAGCAAGAGGTGATGATGACTCACGCTAGGCAGTAAAAACTGGAAAGAAGTGCATGGAATTGAGGCATGTTTTGGAGGTCAAAAGGACAGAAATGGGTGACTTTTTAAGTAAATGTGGATGTGTACATGTGGTGGGTGGGTACTGATGGAGAGGAGAGGACTCATGAATGACTTGGGTGGAGTGGGGGTGAGGGTAAGGCTGAACAAGAGGAGACAATTCAGGAAAAACAGTGAGTTGTAAAAATGGAATTCTCACAATACAGACACAAATGATCCTGTCATTAAAAAAGAGAGGCATTGCCGGGCGCGGTGGCTCACGCCTGTAATCCCAGCAGTCTGGGAGGCTGAGGCGGGCAGATCACGAGGTCAGGAGATCGAGACCATCCTGGCTAACACGGTGAAACCCCGTCTCTACTAAAAATACAAAAAAATTAGCCGGGCATGATGGCGGGCGCCTGTAGTCCCAGCTACGTGGGAGGCTGAGGCAGGAGAATGGCGTGAACCCGGGAGGCGGAGCTTGCAGTGAGCCCAGATTGCGCCACTGCACTCCCGCCTGGGCGACAGAGCGAGACTCCGTCTCAAAAAAAAAGAAAAAAAAAAAGGGAGGCATTTTGGAAACAAACCTGATTGCACAAGTAAGTCTTTGATGGGCTCAGATTTAAAATAAAAGTATTTTTAAAATATAAAAATAGAATATTTGCCATATTTGATATATTGTCATATATCAACAGTATATGAACACTGTCAGTATTCAACATA